>NW_011332688.1:0-305542 GCF_000001405.40 Homo sapiens
CAGCAGCTCATATATGCTCATTTCCATAGCCTCAGTATTAGGTCTATTCTCAGTCATACTCTCCTTTTGTGTTCCAAAGGTGGCTGCAAGAAGTTTCTGGAACTCTATGTTTTTAGATTCATATGTGGTAGAACAGAAAAATGTACCTCTCTGGTGACTTAAAAAAGTTCATACATGGGATCTTGTTGGCTCCAATTGGCCTGCCTTGGGTCATCTGTCCATTTTCCAATCAATAGCTGTGGCCAGAAGCATGGGATATGCTGATTGGCTTAAATCAATTGGTGCCTCCCTCTGAAGCTGAGAGTAGGTCAATTTCTCCCAAAGCTCCAAGTTGGCAAATTGGGAGTCCTTGTTAAAAAGGGAGACCAGAGTCCCTAGCCATTGTTCTTCCATTTATCATCATGTTCCCATTGTGAGAACACACAACTTTGCTCTTTCTGAGCAATGGGTATGTTTGTACCTATGGATCTCATGACTCTTATATGTGTGTATATGTGTGTGTGAGGGGGTGTGGAGTGAGGTGGGGTGGATTCAAATGATAAATAAATTAGGGAGGAGAGAAAATGAAGGTCAAGGAAGATAAAGCTAGGAAGAATTAGCACATAGAAATTAATGTCACAAACTTGTTCTTTGTCCCAGGCTCTCTGAGCCTTAGTTTCCTCATCTATAAAATGAGACTACTAATTCCAACATCATGAAATTAAATGAGAGGAAGTCTGTAAAAGTTTGTGTAAATACAAGCAGTTATAGATTTTTTTGTTCTCCTCCATTCCCACTGCTTTACTTGACTAGCCTAAAAAAAAGTTTGTGTAAATAGAAAGGAGTGGCCACTCTACCATTCAACAATCACTCATGAAAAGTGCCTACTATGTGCCAGGCTCTGTGCTGGGGATCTAATGATGGGTAACACAGACATGATCCCTGGCCCAAAGGGAACAGAACTTTCCAAGTACAAGAAATTATTTTTGTTATTATTAAAAGATGCTAATGCCAGAGGGGGATCTCCAACAAGTCACAGATGGTGCTATAGTTTGGATGTTTGTCCCCCAAAACTCATGTTGAAATTTGATTCCAGTGTTAGAGGTGGGGCCTAATGGGAAGCGTCTGGGTCATGGGAGTGGATTCCTCATGAATAGATGAATGCCCTCCCTTGGAGGTGAGTGAGTTCCTTATCTACTAGCTCCTGTGAGAGCTGGTTGTTAAAAGAGCCTGGTACCTCCTGCTTGCTCTCTTGCTTCCTCTCTTGCCATGTGATCTCTGCACATGCCAACTCCCTTTCACCTTCCTCCATGAGTGGAAGCAGCCTGAGGCCCTCACCAGATGCCTCCTGGACCTTCCAGCCTGCAGAACCATGAGCCAAATAAACCTCTTTTCTTTGTAAATTGCTCAGCCTCAGGTATTCCTTCCTAGCAACACAAAATTGATAAGACAGATGTGCCTTGGGCCACATGGTGGTGGAGCTGGGACTCGAACCCAGAATCTCCTGGCTCTCTCTGCTGCTTCCCTTGGCCTCTCCCTTCCCCCACACAGTAGCTACCCCCTGGTTAATGGGTCAGACTTCCCTCTGGTGCACTTAGGAACTGTGTTTGATGTGCTCTTCCTGGCTTCAGGAGAAGACAGTTCCTTCCCACTGATAATTGGAGTGGAGAATTAATCATGGCTTTGTGGTTGAACTTTCCCTGCCAGTAGCCCTGCACTGCTGCCCAGAGAGGGAGTTGGAATGAGAGCACCAGGTAATGATTTTTGTGTTTTGGGATGAGGCCACTGGGAGGAAGTCAGGGCTGCTCCGCTCTGTGGGTACATATGCCTGAGTGCATATGCACATTTGGGCATGCAGGCTGTGTGTGTGTGTGTGCGTGTTTGTAAGTGTTGGGACTATTGCTGGACAAGGTCGGGTCTCTCCCCAAAGGAGCCCTGGATCTAGACCTTGTTTCACCATTCTCTAGCTGGGTCACTAATGCCAAATCACCCCTCCCCTGTGGGTCTGCATTTTCTTCACTGTAAAATAGGGGTAATCCTTGCCTCATTCCTTGTCTTCCTTATGAGAAGTCTGCGAACATCAAAGAAGACCAGGAGGAAGAAACTGAAAAGGGCAGAACACCCACAGAGGCAGAATGGCCTCATGGTTAGAGTCTAGACAGCCTCTATTCAAGTCCCAGCTCCCCTATTTACTACTAGCTGCATTACCTCGACTTCACCTCTCTAGGCCTCAGTTCCTCATTTGCAAAGTAGGGAGAATATGAGAAGCTACCAAAATTGATCAAATCTAAGATTCCATCAATTATCAGATACCAGTATTTTATGTACCATAAATAAAGAAAAAAAGGCCACTAATTGGCCGTGCCCTGATTTTTCTGACCTGAGATGTGGATGCAGAGCAGCTCAAACTTCCAAGGAAGGTGTATGTGGCACGGTGGGATGATGACAAGCGACACTGGGCCAAGGCAGCTGAGGCCCCACACCTGGGAACTAGGGAGGGATAGAGATTCCTCAAAGGATGGGTCACAAACCACATGCCAGTCTACCTCTGATTCTACCTGCATGCCAGATGGCCCCAGCTCCAGTCAGTGAGACTATGAACTATATTTAAGTCATTAACTAAAACTTAAATCTACTGGAAAAGGAAGAAGGGGTGAGGGTCAGGAAGAAAAAGCCCTACGTTGATGGAATTCACCCTAATTTTCTCAGAGGCACACAAATCCTAATTGACTGAAATTAATCTGAAATGACCAGGGCTGCTCATTGGCTGGTTTAGGTTTCCACCACCAGGGAATGGGGAGCTTGAGACACAGACTACATTTGGTTGCAGAAAAAATAAATTGTGTTTCTCGTGTAAACCAAAAAGTATCTGAGACAAGTCTCAATCAATTTGGAAGTTTATTTTGCCAAGGTTAAGGACATGCCAATGGCACAGCCTAAGGAGGTCCTGATGACATGTGCCCAAGGTGGTTGGGCTACAGCTTGGTTTTATACATTTAAGGGAGACATAAGGCATCAATCAATACATGTAAGATGTGCATTGGTTCAGTCTGGAAAGGAGGGACAACTTGAAGTGGGGAGGGAGTGGTTCCAGGTCACAGGTGGATTCAAAGATTTTCTGATTAGTAATTGGTTGAAAGCGTTTATTTAAATACCTGGACTCAATAGAAGGGAGTGTCTGGGTTAAGATAAGGGGTTGTGGAGACCAAGGTTTTTATTATGCAGATGAAGTCTTCAGCTAGCAGGCTTCAGAGAGAATAGATTGTAAATGTTTCTTATCAGACTTAAAGAGTCTGTTCTGTCTTAAGGTCTCTGCTTTAATGTTAATGCTGGTTAGCTGTGCCTGTATTCCAAAGGGAGAAAGGTATGATGAGACACGTTCAATTACCCGTTCCCATCATGGCCTGAACTAGTGTTTCAGGTTTACTTTAGAATGCCCTTGGCCAAGAGGAGGAGTCCATTCAGTTGGTTGGGGCTTAGAATTTTCTTTCTGGTTTACATTTGCATACCTGAGTTTGTGTACTGGGAAATCCACACCTCCTGTACATTCAAATACACATGCCCCCATAAATAGATGAACATTCATGTATATATTGATATACAATATGTCTAGAAAAAAGAATCAAAGGAGAGATATCAAATGCTAACAGATTCTCTCTTGATGGGGCTACCTTGGTTTGTATCAGTTATCCCACAGATTTGGCTAGTGTCACAAATATCAGAAAAACAGTGGCTTTAATAAGGGAGGAGAGGAAAGGGTGAAATGGATGTGGTCCAGGACTACTGAAGGCGCTGACTGACATGTGGGGACCAGGCTCTTTCTGTCTCATTGCTCCACTCTCTCTAACACTTGTATTCTACCTCATGATCTAGTCTGGCTGCCCAGGCCCCTCCATCACATCTGCATTCCATCTAATGAGAAGGGAGACAAGGGAAAGGGAAGGCAGGTTTCTTTATTGTTTTTTCTTAAGGACACAACTGAAAGTTGCATGTATCACTTCCTCTCACTTGTCTTGGACATATCCTGGTCACGTGGTCACACCAGCTGCAAGGGATACTGGGAAATGAAGTCTTTAGCTGGGTAGTTTTGTGCCTCAGTGAAGCACATCTCTGAATATTCCAGCTCTGGAGCCTCCTGTGGGCTTGGCTGAGATCTCTGTTGGAGTCCACCACAGCCCAGCTGCTCTCTCCACCCAATACATTTCCCTTGGCCTGCCCGCACCCACCCTAGGTGTTGATCCTGAAAGCATCTGGCAATTCAGTGTGCAAGTCTCCTTCCCAGAGCCAGTTTCCCAGAGCACACTGCCTACAATGCACTGTGAAATGGAAGCAATATGGTTGTAAGGATTAGATGTGATATTTTAAAATGAAACACTTCCATTGAGTAGGTGCTGAATAAATAATGAAACTGGCAAACACCAGTTTACAGATAGCACTGCCTCTTTCAGAAGGTGTTCTAAGACCTTTTCATGCGTGACATCATTCACTCTTTGCAGCCAGGCTATGAGGGTGTACTGTCATTCCCATTTTACAGATGAGGAAGCCGGGGCTCAGAGAGGTTAAGTACTGCACTCCAGCTGCCCAGTTTGTAATTACTCTGATGCAGCACAGACACCTGTCAACCAGCGTGTCAGGATTACAAGGCCAGAGCCCGGAGGACGGTGATGTGGGAAAGGAGCCTGGGCCTCGGTTGCCGCTGCTGGGAACCTCCAGCGCTGTCACCTCATGGGCTCTTCGAGGCTCCCATGTGACCGCAGATGGTAGTGCCTTGTAAACTGTAGAGTACTGGGCATCACTGAGGTGTGGTCATCTCTCGTGATTCTTTTAATAACAATGATAATTGGGCCCATTTGTGGGGCACTCACCATGTGCTGGGCCCTACATTAAACACCTGACAAACATTATGTCATTTGCTTCTCACCAACCCCACGAGGCAGGCAGCTGGCACCGTGCTTCACCAGTGAGGACATAGAGGCTCCGGGAGGTCGGGTCAATTGCCTCAGGTCCCAGGGCTGGGGGGGTGGCAATGTAAGACATGAGCCCAGGTTGGAGTGAGGCCGGAGGGCATCCCTCACCTCGGGGCCTGTGGAAGGATGTTGTTCCTACTACACAGCTGCCCTCGAACAGCCACTTCTCAGGTTCCACTGCACTGACTCTAAGGGGATGGGGACTCGTTTTCCAGGACTGGCCAGTCTCCCAGAGGAAGGGGTCCAGGGAGTTCCTAGGGGACGGAGGAGACAGAGATCCACCCTGGGAAGGCCACTGGTTTGAGGGAGAGGTGCAGCTTCCACCCAGGCAGAGCTACTGGTCCAAGGGATACCCATGGGAGAGCTCCTGGTGTGGCGGGAAAGGCACAGGCTCTGCCTCGGAGGAGACCCCTGTCTAACGAGGGAGGCTTAGCCTCTGCCCCTGCTCCCTGCTGACGGGGACTCTGGATGCCAGCAGATGCCCCAGGAAAGAAGAAGCAGGGATGAGAAGGGGCTGAGGAAGGAGGAAACTGGGCAGGGCTCTGGCCAGAGGCCCATCTCTCCTACCTTGCCCTCCCCCATCTGCCCGGGGCCTCTGTACCAAGCCTGTGAGTAACTGCCCAGCGGCGGCACAGCCAGTCATGAGGACGTGATGAGACTCCATGAGGTAGCCATGCAGGTCCCAGTGAGGAGGACCTGGTGACTCAAGTGCTCTCCAGCCGGCTTGTGCCCTGGGCCAGCTCCACTGTCTGCCTGGGCTGCACCTGCCCCTTGTTGTGTAGCCCCAGGCCACTCCTCCTTCGCAGGCCTGTTTTTCCATCTGCGCATGGGGGAATGGCCCTGGACAGCTTCTCTCCCTGTGTGGCTCAGTCACCTCAGGCCACAGACCCACCAGGAACCCTCTATTTGGGAAACCTGGTCCTGAAGACCTCCTGCCTCTGGTTGCTGTCCTGGCTGGCTCTGTTCCTCACACCTTCTCAACCCCATGCCCCGCAGAGAGTCCCTTTAAAGGATGTCTTTGCCACCACAGCTTAAGGACAGTCCTTGCCTGCACAGTGTCTTTGACTTCATGACCTGTGTGTCCCTGGGCTGGATGGCATGCCACAGTCCCGGTTCTCCTCCTGCTGCTCTGTTGCCTCCGCACCCTCCTGCTGTCTGTCACCCCCGCACCCCCACCCCATGTTGGCAGGGTGCATGGGGTGGGGGACACTTAGCAAGAGGGCCCCTCTATAAGAATGACTCCCAGGGCTCATGCCCAGTGGGGCTTTCACATGGGGGTGTCCCCAGTACAACCCGGCAGGATAAATTAGGAAGATGCTCGTCGCAGTTCCCCATGCCCTACTGTGGATGTGCGGAGTGATTTTCCCCTTCTTCATCGTCATTAGTGAGGCCTTTGTATTACCCCACCCAGGGGGGATTTGGTCTGGGACCCAAAGCCAGGCATCCCTCAGATGCTATGCTCTAAAGAGTTGGGACTGTGTATATCTTGCACATTTTTGTAGCCCAGTTCTGTCTTCCAGGTCTGGCACATAGTAGGTGTTCAGCACATATTTGTAGACTCAGTGGGTGATTGGCTGGTGGAAGAAATGCATCACATGTCATCTGCACAAAGAGGTTGCATGGTACTGTCGGAAAGAGAGAGGAGAAAGGCCTGTGAGGTCCCAGCACAGTGCCGGACGCAGTCAGGGCTTGGTGCGGGCCGACAGTGGTTGAGACACCTGGCTACAGTTTGACAGGGCTGAGTGATGTGAGCTTGCACCTGTTGCCCCGGGTTCCTTCGGGCCTTGATTCGGATTCCTGCCCATGGCCTTTTGGATGGGTCCAGGCCAGCATCTGTCAGAGGAGCTCAGAACTTCTGAAATCTCAGCCTCCAGCTCCCGAGGACTTGTGCGGCCGTCCAGACCTTGATGTTGTCGGCCGTGCCTTCAGCAGTAATTGGAAGGGCAGCCAGCAGCCTTTAGAGGACTCCATCTGAAAAAACAAGGCCGAGGCAGGACTTCACATGAGGGTGACTCCTGGGCTGTGCCAGGCTTTGGATCAGTCCCTGAGTTTCTGCTGAACACCTGCTGTGTGCCTTGCCTGGGGAGGGATGGGCTCCAGGAAAACTGTGAGAAGCAGCTCCTGACATGGAGTTTGGTGTCAGGCAGACTTGAAGTCAAACCCAAACTGATGACCATGGAGAAATTCCTTCAACCCTCTCAGCCTCAGTTTCCTCAAGTGGCCAGACGACCAGGAGGCTGCTGGAGCATGGAGCGCAGCCTCGTATGCTGGAGCTTTAAGAAAAACACTTAATTCTAGGATACGGTCTTGACCCTAAGCATCTCTCTCACATTCCAACTGGGGAGATGGAATTGGAGAGAAGAAAACCGGTAGTTCATAAATCCCACCATGGCATGGATCCCATGTGACATGCAACTGGGAAGAGCGGAGACAGAAGCTCTTCTAGGTTAGAGTGATTAGGGAGGGCTTTCTGGAGGAGGTGGCTCCTGAGCCGAGCCCAGGGGAGGAACAGGCTGTGGACAGGTGGATGGGAGAACAGAGGGTGTGTGGGCAGGGGGACAAGGTGTGGGAGCTGTGGTTGTGGGATAGGACTCATACACTGAACCTGGGTACAGTGTTAATGGGAGGCAGTGGGGTGACCTGAAGACTCTCAAGGACAATTTGGGGTGTAACAAGAATGGGGTGAGAGGCAGGGCCCACAGTCGACAGTCTTCTGGTGGAGGTGCAGGTGAAGGTCGCTGAGTTGGCCCGGTTTAAGGGAGGTTTATTTCTTCAGCTCCCAGCAGAGTTGAAAATAGGTCTTGGCAGTTCAGGGGAGAGATGGGGGTGGGGGGCTACAGCCTCATATCGCCTTCAGGATAAAGTCCAAGCCCTCAGCCCTGTCTGCAGGAACCTCTGGGATTGGGGATTGGGCTTCTTCTCACCTCTCCAGCCTGAGCATCCCCACCCCAATCCTCTAGCCCTGCTGAGGCCCACCCTGTTCCCTGAGCATGCCTCTGCGCCACTGCTCCATGGATCCTTCTGCCTGGAATGCCTTCCCTCATACCCACCTAGCAAACCCCTACTAACCCCTTAAGACTTGGGTTAACATGACCTCCTCCATGACATTTGCCTTGATCTGCCCAGCATGATGGTGCAGGACACTCTCCTCTGTATCCCATAGCGCCTGCTATCCACATCCTTCATAGCCAATTCATTTTGCTCTCACGATAACTGGCTGTGTCACGTTGGTCAAGTAAATAAAATTCTCTGTGCCTCAGTTTCCTAATCTGCAAAATAGGGGCAATAATTGTAGCTGCCTTGGTTGGGTTAACACTTGTAAAGACTTTAGAAGAGTGCCTGGTGCTTAATAAATAGTAAATGTTACCCATTATTAAAATAATTATTCTTACCTCATAGGGCTGTTATGAGGATTAGAAGTCAAGTGCTTGTATCATGCTTGTAACATAGTGAGCCCTAACGAATGAGAGCTATCATCTCCACTGTCTTCATTGTCCCCCTCATCCCCACCATGATCCTCACCATCCCCAACACCATCCCCACCATCCTCCCTTCCATCTCCATCATCCCTACCACCATCCCCAACATCCCCACCATCATCCCCATTACAATCCCCACCACTATTTCCACCATTCCCACCACAGTCACCATCACCCCCACCATCTCCATCATCATCCCCACCATTCCCACCATCCTTACCATCAACATCACCATCCCCACCATCCCCAACACCATTCCCACCATCCCTACCATCACCATCACCATCCCCACCAACATCCCCACCACCCACCATGCCCACCACCATCCCCACCATCAGTTTGCCTACTTGCCTCCTCCAGACTGTGAACCCCTACGGCATGGCTGTGCTTTGGCAATCTCTGATCTCAGTGGGATGCTCAGAATCAGGCATGTAGTAGGTGCTTAGTACAATTTTCTTGGGCAAATGAAGGAAGCAGGGCCCTGGCTTGGGGGCTGGTAAGGAAGGGAAAGGTGTGAGTGAGGTTTAGGAGGGAGAGCTGTCAGGACTGGAACCCCATGGTGGGGGTGGGGGTGGTGGGGAGAAGACTCCAGGCTGGCGCTAACCTGGAAACTGCCCGTACTAGGGGACTCCATCCTCTACAAAGCAACTTCAAAACCCTTTGGATCCAGCCTCTATTGGAGCAGGTGGGCATTAAAAAGGATTTGGGAAAAAACAGATCCCCTCTGAAGTCAGGTCTCCCTAAGCCTCTGGTCTCAGGGACTGTCCACAGCCTTGGACTCCACCCTTAGTCGTAGCTGTTGATTCTATTGTGAGGGGGTCTCTGGGTGACAAGGTTGTGCACAGCTCCAGGAGGATCTTCTCAATAGCCTGAGATGTGGATGGGGGAAGGGAGAGCCTGGGTTACCAGCTCAGAGGATGGGAGAATTAGGGAGGGCTCCCTGGAAGAGGTGTTAGGAGCTAGGGTATAAATCTAGAGAAGGGATAGGTGGCACCAGTGGACAGCATAGAGTTGGAGAAGAATGAGCTCTGGGTCCTCAGGAACTCAACCTGTCCACCTCTTGCCACCTGATGCCCCTTCTCTAGTCCCAACTCTCATCAGCCCCATCTAGCCCACTGCATCTCCCTCTTTCCTGCCCTGCCTCCCTGGCATCCACTCCCTGCAGAGCATCCTGGGCTCAGAACCTTGCAGTGACTCCCACCTCGCTTGGAGTCAAAGCCAAAGGGCACAACTGGCAAACAAGGCTCTCATCCCAGCCCCTGCCTGCTGCTTCTGTCTTTGATCCCACCCTCTTCCCTCCCCCCTCCCTCCCTTCCTGGCCACAGAGGTCTTCTTGCAGCTCCCTAAACCCTGGAGGCAATTTTCCAGCCCAGGGTCTTTGCATAAACTCCACCCACACCGCCCCCCCCCCGCCCCAACCTGGAACGCTCTACTCCTGACAGTGTCTGGGGCTTTCTCATCCAAGGTTTCAGCTTAAATGTTGCCTTGCCCAGGAGGCTTTCTCAGACCTCTTTATTTGCTTCCTTTACAGACCTAACCATGATTTATAATTAAGTGTATTGTTTTAAAACTTATTATCTCTTCTCTTCACCAATATGTCAGCTTCATGAGGACAAAGCTCTGTCTGGCTCCTTATTGCTACATCCCTAGAGCTCCAGGCAGTGCCTGACATCTAAATAGGCCTTTAGGTTAAATGGAATTCTGTGCTTTGACATGAGGAAGGGAAATCAAGGAAGGCCCCCTGGAGGAGGTGTTTAGAGATGGGAAGAAAATGCAGAGAGGAAGATGGGTGCTCAACAGTGAGGACAGGGTTGAGGTGCTCAGAGCTAGGTGGAATGGGCCCAGGGGAGCCCCTTTGCCCTCCCTGGAATATTTTTAGTCCTACCTGAGCCCCGAGAACTTCTGTCTAGGTGTGACCTTGCTCCAGGCAAGCTGTCTTGTAAAATTCCAGAGCCAGGTATACCCAATTCTGCAACGTGGTAGCTGCATGACTGTACAAGTCCCTTAACAGCACCGGGCCTCAGTGACATCATCTGTTAAATGGGTTGGTGATGATAATGGTCAGCATTTATGGAGGAGCCCACACGGTGCTAAGTGCTTTACACATATCAGCTAACTGAATCCTCACTGCTGCCAATGAGACAGGTACTATTGAATCAGAGGCCCGGAGAGAGCTCCACGCGGTTGGTCATACTGGTGAAGAGCTTGGTTCAATGCCTGGTGAACTCTCGGCACAGGGGTTACCAGTGAAACTCATGCTGTGGGCATTTGTTTCCCTCCAAGAGGGACAGCCCCAGTGTCCCTGGACGCTGACTAGGACTGAGTCAGACCCATCCTCATTAGAGTCCCAACCTTGAGGCTGCCTGCACAGAGTGACGTCTGCAGATATGTGGGTCTCTCTCTGAGCCCGGTCAGGCTTCACGCCCCTCAGAGCCTGCCCTGATGTTACCCCCAGCAGGGCTGTGAGTTACCTGGTTCCACCTCCCTGGCTGTGAGCCCGGCCAGCTGCTTTTGTGCCTCACATTTTTATGCCAGTTAATTACAGCCATTACTGCCATTACGAAAAAGTTGTGTGATCTCAGGCAGGTCCAGGAGACCCCGAGGCTCCTGGGGGATCTGCCATGCATGGATGTTTGAGAGGAGGCTCTCCCGTGCCTGCCTGTTCTGTCTTCCACTGGACTAGGTCCCTTTGAGGTTAAAGATGGTGTCCCACATTAGGCTGGTGTCCTGGACAAAAATTTTAAAAGAATCTTTTAAAAGGCATGACTGAGTTGGCAAGAATGTAGAGGAAGTGCTCCAAAGCCAAAAAAAAAAAAAAAAAAAGAATGTCTACACAAATCAAGAGGGGGTGAACCCTCGACTGGAGGCTGGCCTAAAAGATTCCTGTAAACTAGAGCTTTGTTGTTTTTAAAGTTGTGGTCAACTTCACGTAGAGTAGAATTCACCCTTTTTAGTATAAAGTTCTTTGAGTGTTGACTAATGCATAGAGTTGTGTACCCGCCATCACAAATCAAGGTATAGAAGTTTAATCTCTCGTCAATGTCCCTGAATCCTTTGGAAGTCAATCCCTGTTCTCACTTCTGCCTCCTGGCAAACACTAATCTGTCTTCTCTTCCTATATTTTTGCCTTTTCCAGGATGTCACAAAAATGGAATCATCCAGCAACACGTTGTCTTTCGAGTCTGACTTTCACTTAGCATAAGGCAATTGAGATTCATCTATGTTGCGTTTCTAAGTGTGTTAGTATTGTGCAGATGTGCCAGTCTGTTGATCCACTCACTTGCTGAAGAATATCTGAGCTGTCTTCAGCTTTTGGTTATTATGTATTTTTTTTATTTATTTATTTAGACAGTCTCTCTCTGTCTCCTAGGCTGGGGTGCAATGGCGTGATCTTGGCTCACTGCAACCTCCACCTCCTAGGTTCCAGGGATTCTGGTGCCTCAGCCTCCCGAGTAGCTGGGATTACAGGTGTGTGCCACCAAACCCAGCTAATTTTTGTATTTTTAGTAGAGACAGGGTTTCACCATTGTTGGCCAAACTGGTCTCAAATTCCTATCCTCAAATGATCCGCCTGCCTCAGCCTCCCAAAGTGCTGGGATTACAGTGTGAGTCACCGGGCCCGGCCTCATTTATTGATTTTTAAGACAAGGTCTTGCTCTGCTGCCCAGGCTGGAGTGCAGTGGTACAATCATGGCACTGCAGCTTCAAACTCCTGAGCTCAAGCAATCCTCCTACCTCAGCCTCCCGAGTAGTGGGGACTACAGGCATGTGCCACCAGGCCCTGCTAATTATTCCTTTATTTTTTGTAGAGACAGGGTCTCACAATGTTGCCAAGGCTGGTCTCAAACTCCTGAACTCAAGCAGTCCTCCCACCTCCGCCTCCCAAAGTGCTGGGATTACAGGTGTGAGCCACTGCACCCGGCCTGCTTTTGGTTATTATGAGTAAAGCTGATACAAACATTCACGCATAGGTTATGGTGTAAATGTAGTTTTTTCACTTCACTTGGGCAAATAGCTGGGAGTGAGATTGCAGGATTGTATGGTAAGGGTTTGTTTGACTTTATAAGAAACTGCCAAACTGTTTTTCAAAGGGTATGTGCCATTTGATACTCCCTCTCCCACTACAATGTAGAGCTTTGCTTTTAACAGATGCAGGGGAGATAGAAGACGTAGCCCAAGGCCTGACCGAGTGGAACTGGGGTCTGAGCTCCCATACGAAGTCAGAGCTTCTGCAGGCAACATCCTTAGTGAAAGGGCAAACTTGAAAAAGATCTACCTTCTAAAAGGATATGGCAAGAAAAGGGTTGGTCTTGGCTTTCACTCAGAATAAAGAGGGAAAGAAACTCTCCCCTGAGCCAGCCCTTATGTGAGATCAGGGCCCAAATTCCCACTTTATTTTATTTTATTTTTATTTTTATTTTTTGTTATACTTTAAATCCTGGGATACATGTGCAGAACATGCAGGTTTGTTACATAGGTATACATGTGCCATGGTGGTTTGCTGCACCCATCAACTCATCATCTAGGTTTTAAACCCCGCATGCATTAGGCTTTTGTCCTAATGCTTTCCCTCCCCTTGCCCCCCAACCCCCAACAGGCCCCCAGTGTGTGATGGTCCCCTCCCTGTGTCCATGTGAAGAAATTTATTTTTAAATTAATTAATTATTTTTGTTTTAAAGAGATGGGGTCTTGCTATGTTGCCCAGGCTGGTCTTGAACTCCTGGCCTCAAGAAATCCTCCTGCCTCACCCCCTAAAGTGCTGGCATTGCTTGTTTGGTCCAGAAACACCAGGCTGAGAACCTAGTTTCAAGGAGTCCCTGGTGAATAGTACTCCCAGGTCTCCAGCAAAAACAAACTAAAATCCTTTCTAGAGAAACACATATCAAACCAGACCTTATAAAGTTCCTACCAGTTAGAATCCTGATGATCATGAGCTCACAATAAAAACATTTAAAAACATGCAAAGAAACCACAAACAGAGGAATCAGACCTGTAAACACTTCAAGGATTGGAATTAGAGTATTCATTTTGGGTAATAAGAGTGCTACATAATTTAAATAAAAGTGTCCTGCTGGGCACAGTAGCTGACGCCTGTAAGCCCAGCACTTTGAGAAAGTCACTTTAGGCCAGGAGTTCAAGACCACCCTGGGCAACATAGTGAGACCCCCGTCTCCACAAAATATTTCTCAAAAATTAGCTGGGTGTGGTGGTGTGTGCCTATAGTCCCAGCTACTTGGGAGGCTGAGGTGAGGATTGCTGGAGTCCAGGAGTTTGAAGCTGCAGTGAGCTGTGATCAAGCCACTGCACTCCAGCCTGGGTAACAGAACGAGACCCTGTCTGTAAAACAAACAAGCAAACAAAACAAAAACAAAAAAAGAAACATAAAACCATAAGCACAGAACAAGAGAGTATTAAAAAGGACCAGACTTGGTTTCTTATAAAAATTCAATGTACATTTAACATATGAGCCAGCAATACCTAAGTATTTGCCAAAGAGAAATGAAAACATGACCATGAGAAGATTTGTATAGGAAAGTTCATAAAAGTTTATAATATCCCAGCACTGAAAACAACATGAATGTTCATCAACAGCGAGCAGATAAACGAATTGCAATTTATAATGGAATATGACTTAGCAATAACAAAGCAATGAACTGCAGATACTTTCTCTTCTTTTTCTTTCTTTCTTTTTTTTTTTGAGATGGAGTCTCGCTCTGTTGCCCAGGCTGGAGTGCAATGGTGCGATCTCGGCTCACTGCAAGCTCCGCCTCCCAGGTTCACGCCATTCTCCTGCCTCAGCCTCCCGAGTAGCTGGGATTACAGGCACCTGCCACCACGCCCGGCTAATTTTTTGTATTTTTAGTAGAGACAGGGTTTCACCGTGTTAGCCAAGATGGTCTCGATCTCCTGATCTTGTGATCCGCCCGCCTCGGCCTCCCAGAGTGCTGGGATTACAGGTGTGAACCACCGCGCCCGGCCTCTTTTTTTTTTTAAGTACACTTGGAAGAGGGCCAAGTGGGTGACTTGTGAGATGAAGTGCCAGATACTTTCAACAACGTGGATTAATCTAAAAAACATTTTGCAGAGAGAAAGAAGCAAGATGCAAAATAATACCAAGTCTATGATTTCATGTGTAATTCTTTGCAGGACAGGCAAAAATCTAGTCTATAGCCACAGAATGCATGTGAGTGGTGGCTTGGGGACAAGGGTTGAGAAAGGGATTGACTGCAAAGGGAAAAGGGACCTTTTGGGGCTAGTGAAAATGTTGTAACTCTTGATTGGGGGTGGTGATTACGTGAGTTTATACATTTGTCAAAACTCATCAAACCATACACTTATTAAAATGGATGCTTTTACTGTATGTAAATTATATACACATGTAAATTATATGTCAATAAAGTTAATTTTATTATTTATTTATTTGAGACAGAGTCTCACTCTGTCACCCAGGCTGGAGTGCAGTGGCACGATCTCAGCTCACTGCAGCCTCTGCCTCCTGGGTTCGAGTAATTCTCCTGCCTCAGCCTCCCAAGTAGCTGGGATTACAGGCGCCCGCCACCACGCCCAGCCAATTTTTGTGTTTTTAGTAGAGACAGGGTTTCACTATGTTGGCCAGGACGGTCTTGAACTCCTGACCTCAAGTGATCCACCCACCTCAGCCTCCCAAAGTGCTGGGATTATACAGGTGTGAGCCAATGCGCCTGGCCCTAAAGTTAATTTTAAAACTAAAAAGGCATTTATCAGGATGGGAGGCCTAGCTGGGATCACTTTTCAGACCTTTTTCTTTCACATGCTGATCATGCTCCTTATCTGTTTATTTATTATTTTTATTTCTTTTAGAAACAGGGTCTTGCTCTGTCATCCAGGCTGGAGTGCAGAGGCATGATCTTGGCTCACTGTAGCCTAGAGCTGTGGTCTCAAGTGATCTTCCCACCTCAACCTCTCAAGTAACTGGGACCACAAGTGTGTGCCACCACACCCAGTTTATAAAGAAAAAAAAGTTTTTAGGGAGGGTTTGTGGCATGGGGTCCCACTATGTTGCTCAGGCTGGTCTTAAACTCTTGACTTCAAACAATCCTCCAGCCACCACACCTGGTGATCATGCTCCCTCTTGAGACCCTCTCTCTTCTGGGACATCCCACTTTCTCTTGGGTTTTCTCCTACCTCCCTGGCTCCTTTGTTCTCCCCAAACTCTAAACATTGGAGGGCCTCAGGGCTCTGTCCTTGGGCCCCATCTCTCTCCTACCCACACTCACTCCCTAGGAGATCTCTGGCTTTGAAATTGTCTGCCCACTCCCACAATCCTATGTCCAGCCCAGACCTCTGGCTTTGGACTCCAGTGAGATTAACCAGTCCCCTCCCCTGTGTTGCCCCTTGGAGGTCTAATAGGCACCTCAACCTCACACCTGCAAAACCATCCTCCTGATGTCCAGCCCTGCAAACTTGCCCCTCCCTGAGACTTCCCCATGCTTCTGGGTGCCTGTGCCAAAACCGTGAAGTCATCCACTCCTGTCTTCCTCTCACACCCCACAGTTTATCCATCAGTGAACCCTGTCGGATCTGCCTCCCAAAAATCATCTCTGACTGTTTATTACCTGCTCCACTACTTCCTCCCTGGTCCAAGACACCATTGCTTCTCGCCAGGATTATGATTGCTTCTCTGACTGGTCTCTCTGCTTTCTACCCTTGCCTCCCTCTAATCTGTGGTCAGCAAAGCAGCCAGAGGGATTCTGCCAAGTTATGCCTCTCCTTTGCTCAAACCCTTCCGGCAACTCCTCATCTCACTTGGAGGAAGCAGACCCTTCCTTTGGCCTATAAGGACAACATGATTCTGCCTTTCATTTCTCTGACTTCATCCCCTAGTACTCTGGTATGGTTTGGCTGTGTCCTCACCCAAATCTCATCTTGAATTGTAGCTCCCATAATTCCCACATGTTGTGGGAGGATCCCAGTGGGAGATAATTGAATTGTGGGGGCGGTTTCCCCCATACTGTTCTTGTGGTAGTGAATAAGTCTCACGAGATCTGATGATTTTATGAAGGGTTTCACCTTTGGCTTGGTTCTCATTCTGTCTCTTGCCTGCCACCATGTAAGATGTGCCGTTTGCCTTCCGCCATGATTGTGAGGCCTCCCCAGCCATGTAGAACAGTGAGTCCATTAAATCTCTTTTTCTGTATAAATTACCCAGTCTCAGATATGTCTTTATGAGCAGTGTGAAAACAGACTAATACATAACGTGTCCCTTCCCCTCCCCTACCCCTGGGCCACACTAGCCTCCCAGTGGTTCTTTGAATGAGTCAACCATGGTCCTGCACTTGCTGCTCCCTCTTCTGGGTCTCAGACTCTCCAGGTGTCCCCATGGCTGTGTCCTTTCATCCTTCAGGTCACTCTTAGTTTGCTTTGCTAGAGAGGCTTCCTGACCCCTGTAGAAATCAGTGCCCTTGCCCCACTCTGTGTGCTAATCATCACCGAGGCGAACATCGATCACCTGGCTGAGGTAGTGTTCATCAGTTTTCACTTGTTATGGGTTGAATTGTGTCCCTGCTACTCACCTAAAATTCACATGCTGAAATCCTAACCCCTAATACCTCAGAATGTGACCTTATCTGGAGACAGGGTCTTTACAGAGGTAATCACGTTAAAATGAAGTTGTTAAGGTGGGCACTAATCCAATGTGACTGGTGTCCTAATAAAAAAGAGTAAATTTGGAAAGACATGCACACAGGGAGACACCGTGTGAACGTGAAGATGGTCATCTATAAGCCAAGGAGAGAAGCCTGGAATAGCTTTGGTATGATTAAGCTTTGTGTCCCCACTCAAATCTCATCTTGAATTGTAATCCCCATAATCCCCATAATCTCTTCATGTCAAGGGAGAGACGAGGTGGAGGTAATTGAATCATGGGGGCAGTTTCTCCCATGCTGTTCTCGTGATAGTGAGTGAGTTCTCATGAGATCTGATGATTTTATAAGGGGCTCTTCCCCCTTCACTTCTCCTTCCTGTCGCCTTGTGAAGAAGGGGCCTTTCTTCCCCTTAGCCTTCCGCCATGATTGTAAGTTTCCTGAGGCCTCCCCAGACACGCTGAACTGTGAGTCAATTAAACCTCTTTCCTTTACAAATTACCCAGTCTTGGGCAGTTCTTTATTGCCGTATGAAAATGGACTAATACAAGCTCCTTCTCTCACAGCCCTCAGAAGGAACCAACCCTACCAACACCTTGATTTTGAACTTTCAGCCTTCAAAATGGTGAGAAATTTGGGAACAAATTTCTGTTGTTTAAGCGACTCAGTTGTGATACCCAGTTATGACAGCCGTAGGACATTGACACAGCACTGTAAAGTTACTCCCCCACCCCACCTGTCCATATTCTCCTCAGTAAATCTACATAAATTATTCTTCTCCATGGACAATATATGTTTTAGTCATATGTTTGTTTGCTTAGCCATTTGTTTATTGTCTATCTCCCCCAACCAGACTCTAATGCCAAGCATGTGTATTTTTGACTCTTTGATTCACTGCCATATTTTAGCACCTAAAACAGAGCCTGGCACACAGTAGCCACTTAAATATTTGGATGAACAAAATTAATGAGCCAGCAATGACAATAATTGGAAATGGACTGGAATAAATTATCTAGCTGAAAAACATATATTGTGAGAGTGGATGAAAAAGCAAAACTTTGTACTAGAGTAAAATATAAAATCAGGCCGAGTGTGGTGGCTCATGCCTGTAATCCCAGCACTTTGGGAGGCTGAGGCAGGTGGATCACTTGAGGTCAGGAGTTTGAGGCCAGCCTGGCCAACATGGTGAAACCCCGTCTCTACTTAAAAAATACAAAAATTAGCTGGGCATGGTGGCACATGCCTGTAATCCCAGCTACTCAGGAGGCTGAAACAGGAGAATCGCTTGAACCTGGGAGGTAGAGGTTGCAGTGAGCCAAGATTGCACCACTGCACTCCAGCCTGGGTGACAGAGTGAAACTGTCTCAAAAAAACTATATATATATATATATATATATATATATATATATATATATATATATACACGCAAATATACAATCATAGGAAGTAGAGAAGCAAAAGAATAGGAAAAGACATACCAAAAAAAAAAAAAAAAAAAGCCAACCCAAAGGAACTAGGTTCAGCTTTAATAAACGTGGATAAGATGGGCTTTAAAGTAAAAACGTTGTGAGGAAACAAGGGAGTTACCATATAATCTTAAAAGGTTCAATACATTGGAATACTGAAACAATTATGAACTTGTATGATCTAATAACATAAGTTCAGAATATATAAAGCTGGGTTTCCTGGGTTTTCTTTTTGCCTCACATATCCCAAATTGGAGAGGCAGCAACCCCAAAACATGAAGGGATGCAGACAAATAAGCCCCAAGAAAAGCTGGCTCTTTCTAGCCAAAGGACCAGGAAGAAGCAGCTGAGAAAGACAAACTTTCAGATGATAACTGCTCTACTCCAGCCAAACACTACAGAAAAAACTGTGACCTTAGCCTTACCTTTCCAGGGAAGGCTGAGTGGAAAACTTTGACTTCCACCTTTTCCAGACTACAAAGAGATGCCTCAACTTTTCAGCTGTGGTGACGTCAGAGAAGGCCGAGGAGCTGGACTTTGATTCTCACTGGGTGATAATGAATACCTTCATACTCTGTAATATCAGTAGACCATGCGGTCTGATGTCCGCATGTAGAGGGGCCTGATCGTCCACCTCTACACTGCAGCAATGAGGGGCTGACTGAGGTGGTAGCAGAGGAGCCCTAGAATTGCATCAGGGCTTTCACTACTGTCCAGTAGTAATGAGGATAACCTCCACTTCCATGTCAACAGTAGAGGCCATATGGGGAGCAGCAACAGGGCACCCCTGTCCCTCTAAGCCTAGTGGGGAGCCTGAGCTCTCACTTTCACTCAACAGTAATCAGAAAGCCCTCCCCACCAGATGTCAACAGAAGCTGAATGGGGAACCTGAACTTCCACTTCCTCCTGGCAGGAATGAGATGGCGCCTCTCTTTTCCCACTAGAGCAGTGTCAGAGAAGGCCTGCTATAACACAGGGTTTCAATAAGATCCAGAGTTTTATAACATAACACCCAAATGTTCAGATTTCAATAGAAAATCATTTGTCATACCAAGAACTAGGAAAATCTCAAGTTGAATGAGAAAAGACAATCAATAGACATCAACACTGAGATGACACAGATGTTAGGATGTTAGAATTATCTGACAAAGGTTTTAAAGCAGCTATCATAAAAATGCTTCAAAGAGCCATTGTAAACACGCTTGAAATAAATGAAAAGGTAGAAAAGCTCGGCAAAGAATAGAAGACACAAAGAACCAAATGGAAATTTTAGAACTTAAAATACAATAACTAAAATTAAAACTTAATGGATAGGCTCAACAACAGAATGAAGACAACACAGGAATTAATCAACAAACTTGAAAATAGAACAATATAATTACTCAATCTGAACAATAGACAAAAAATAGACTGGAAAAAAACTGAACAGAACTTCAGGGACCTGTGGTTAATAATAAAATGACCTCAGGTTTGTTATATAGATAAACTCATGTCAAGGAAAAAAGTAATAATAAAACAATCTAACATTCAGCCACTGGAGTCACAGAAGTAGAGGAGAAAGAGGATGGGGCTGAAAAAGCACTCAAAGAAATAATGGAAAAATTTCCCAAATTTGGCGAAAGACATGAACATACAGATTTAAGAGCTGAGTCACTCCAAACAAGGTAAGCCCAAATAAATTTATTCCAAGACAAATTATAGTCAAACTTCTGAAAAATAAAGCCAAATAAAATCTTGAAAGTAGTAAGGGAGAAATAACATCTTACTTATGGAGAAAACAATTTGATAGACTGAAGATTTGTCATCAGAAACCGTGGAAGACAGAAGAATGTGGCATAACATTTTTCAAATAATGAAAGAAAAGAATCATTAACCTAGAATTCTACCCTCAGCAAAATTATATTTCAGGAATGCAGATACACTCAGATGAGAGAAAATTAGATTTTGTCACCATAAACCTACCCTATCATTTCCTTTAAGCAGAGAGGAAATGATAAAAGAAGAAAATTTGAAACATTAGGAATGGAAGAAAGACAATAGAAAGAGCAAAATTATGATAAACACAATAAACTTTCTTCTCCTAAGCTGTCTAAATTATGTTTGATGGTTGAAGCAAAAATCGTAACACCGTCTGATGTGATTTTGAATGTATGTAGATAAAATATTTAAGACAATTATAAATGGGGAAAAAACAATGTAAAGAGAGACAAGTTTTCCATACTTCACTCAAACTGTTAAGATGATAATACCAGTAGATTATGTTCAGTTATGTATATATAATGTAATACCTAGAGAAACCACTAAAAAAAGTATACAAAGAGATACACTAAAAAACACTATAGATGATTAAAATATTATAAAAAATAGTTCCAGTAACCCACAAGAAGGTAGGAAAAAGAAAACAGAGAAACAAAGCAAAATGGCAGGTCTAAGCTCTAACATACAAATGATTACCTTAAATGTAAATGGTCTATATAAACTAATTAGAAGATGGAAATTGGTAAAGTGGATAAATATTACCACACTAACTATATGCTGTCTACGAGAAACTCACTTCAAACATAATGATATAAGTAAGTTTAACACAAAAGGATGGAAAAAGATATACCATGTCAACATTAATTGAAAAACAGCAGGAGTGGCTGTATTAATATCAGATAACATAGACTTTAGAGCAAATAAATTACCAGGGATAGAGAGAGCCATTACATATGATAAGAGTCAATTCACCAAGAAAATACAGAAATCTTAAATGTGTATGCACCAAACAATGGGGCTACAAAATATATGAAGTAAAAACCGATAAAACTGAGAAGAGAAATAAACACATTTACAATTATAGTTGAAGGCTTTAATACTCTTTCAACAATTGATAGAACAATTAGACAGAAACCAGCAAAGTTACAGAACTCAACAAACACTGTCAACCAACAGTATCTACTCAACATTTTGTATCAGCTCATCCAACCCAAGTAGAACACACATTCTTTTTCAAAAACCTGTGGGACATAAACCAAAATTGACCACATCCTTGGTCATATAACAAATCTCAAAAAATTTAAAAGAATTGACATTGTAGAGGGTGATCTCTGACCCCAATGGAATTAAAATAAAAATCAGTGACAGGAAAATTTCCAAATACTTAAAAACTAAACAGCACACTTCTAAATAATACATAGGTCAAAAAAGAAGTCTCAAGGAAAATAAAAATACAACATATCCAAATTTATGGAACACAGCAAGTTCTGAGAAGGAAATCTAAATCACTAAACAGTTACATTAGAAAAAAGAAAAAGCTTCAAATTGATACTCTAAGCTCCCACCTTAAGTAATTAGAAAAAGAAGAGTAAAAGAAACCAAAAGCAGCCAGAAGGAAGAAAATAATGAAGATAAGAGCAGAAACCCAAGAAAATAAAAATAGAAAAGCAATAGGGAAAAATCAGTGAAACAAAATCTGGTTCTTTGAAAAGATAAATACAATTGACAAATGCCTAGCAAGATCAACAAAGAAAAAAAGAGAGAAGACACAAATTACCAATCTCAGGAATAAAATGGGAATATCAAGACAGACTGTGCAGACATCAAAACAATAATAATGGAATACTTAAAACAACTTAACAAGCATAAATTTGACAACTTAGATAAAACGGACTACATTCTCAAAAAGTACAGCCAAAACTCACCCAATATGAAATAAGTAATTTGAATAGCCATATAGCTATTAAAGAAATTGAACTAGTAATTTTACTTTTTTCATGTTTTCCTCTATTTTATTATTTTTTTTATTTCCGTAGGTTTTTGGGGGAACAGGTGGAGTTTGGTTACATAAATAAGTTCTTTAGTGGTGGTTAGTGAGATTTCGGTGCACCCATCACCTTAGCAGTATGCACTGTACCCAATTTGTAGTCTTTTATCCCTCACCCCACTCCCACCCTCTCCCTTAAGTCCCCAAAGTCCATTGTATCATTCTTATGCCTTTGCATCTTTATAGCTTGGCTCTCACTTATGAGTGAGAACATATATGTTTGGTTTTCCATTCCTGAGTTACTTCGCTTAGAATAATGGTCTCCAATTCCATCCAGGTTGCTGTGAATGCCATTATTTCATTCATCTTTATGGCTGAATAGCATTCCATGGTGTATATATATTTACATATATCACAATTTCTTTATCCACTCATGGATTGATGGGCATTCAGGCTGGGTCCAAATTTTTGCAACTGTAAATTGTGCTGCTATAAACATGAGTGTACAAGTATCTTTTTCTCAGGGAATTAAATCTAAGACCTGAAACCACAAAAATTCCAGAAGATAACATCAGAAAAACCTTTCTAGACACTGACTTAGGCAAAGACTTCATGACCAACAACCCAAAAGCAAATGCAACAAAAACAATGATATACAGGTGAGATTTAATTAAACTAAAAAGTTTCTGCATAGCAAAAGAAACAATCAGCAGAGTAAACAGACAATCCACAGAATGGGAGAAAATCTTCACAATCTATACATCCAACAAAGGACTAATATCCAGAATCTACAATGAACTCAAACAAATTAGCAAGAAAAAAACAAACAATCTCATCAAAAATGGGCTGAGGACATGAATAGATAATTCTTAAAAGAAGATTTACAAATGGCCAACAAACATGTGAAAAAAATCTCAACATCACTAATGATCAGGGAAATGCAAATCAAAACCACAATGTGATATCACCTTACTCCTGAAAGAATGGCCATAAAAAAAAAAAAGATGTTAGTAGAGATGTGGTGAAAAGGGAACACTTTCACACTGCTGGTGGGAATGTAAACTAGTACAACCACTGTGGAAAACAGTGTGGAGATTCCTTAAAGGACTGAAAGTAGAATTACCATTTGATCCAGCAATTCCGATACTGGGTATCTACTCAGATGAATTAGTAATTTAAAAACTCCTGAAAAGAAATCTCCTGGCCCAGATTGTTTCACTAGAGAGTCCTACCAAATGTTTAAAGAATGTACACCAATTCTGCACAATCTTTCCAGAAAACAGAAGAGGAGAGGTCATTTCTCAATTTATTTTATCAAACTAGTAATACCCTGACATCAAAAGATATGAAGCTAAAATTTATTGAACTGCAAGAACTGGACAAATTTACTAATATAGTGGGAGATTTTAACATGTCTCAATAATTGATAAAGCTGACAAAAAAATTAGTAGTCAATAGGAGATCTCATGAACACAAATAAAGCTCCATCCAATCAACGTATAGGTGACCCTGCATGGGCCATGACACATTTTTCTCAAGCACATAAAACATACATGAAAACTGACTTAGGTGGGTATTGGCAAAAGCAAGTCTCAACAAAATTGAAATAAAGTGTATCATCCAGACCACATCCTCTAACTCTAAAGCAATTAACTTAGAACTCAGCAAGGATAATAAGAAAACCCTATTCATCTGGAAATTTTAAAAACCAGTCATTTAAATAACTCATTGATCAAAGGAGACATTGCAATGGCAATTCCGAACTGAGCAGTAGAAAGGTCACATATGAAAACTCATGGACTCAACTAAAATTGTGCTTAGAAAGAAATGTATAGTCTTGAATGTTTACAGTAGGGACGAAGAATGGCAGAAAGTGAATGAACTAAGCGCCAAACTGGAGAATTTAGAAAAATAATGAAATTAACCCCCCAAAAGGAAAGATAAATGTAAAAGTGGGAATTGGTGAAAAAAATAGGACTAAAACAAAAATCCAAAAGTTGGTTCTTGGAAAAGATTAATTAAATGGATGAACTTTTGGCAAGGTTCAATGGGAAAAAGAGAAGTCTTAAATAAAGGAACTTAACAAGACAGGCACACAAGAGCGTAACCTTGTGTTACACTCAGGAAACGGAGAGAAGCCACCACAGGAAACGGAAGAAGCCACCTCTGTTTCTGGAGGAGACTGGTACCATCTCAGACCTACTAGCCCTTGGGGGACCCCAAGAGAGGGGACACCCATCTCCTGCAATATTTTGGGGAGCCAAGCTTGTACCTGCAAACACACAGAGCCCAGGCCTCCAGAAAAGTGTCTGCATCCTCCCTGAAGGAGCCCCAGGCCAGCAGCCCCTTCCTGTCACATTCCCCTCCTCCCCAGAGGTAGAAGGGCTGTCAATCTATCACAGCGCTGCAGCTGCACCGGCGTTTCCCAAAGTGGCTGCACCATTTACATTCCAACCAGCAGTGTATGAGGCTTCCAGCTTCTTCAACTCCTTGTCAACACTTGTTGTGGTCTGCCTTTTTGATTATAGTCATTCTAGTGAGTGTGAGGTAGTATCTCATTGCAGTTTTGATTTTCATTTCCCTACTGACTAATGGTATGGAGTATCTTTCATGGGCTTATTGGCCATTTGTATATCTTCTTTGGAGAACTATCTACCCAAATTCTTTGTCCACTTTGTAATCTTTTCATTGTTGAGTGATAAGCATTCTTTACATATTCTGGACACTAGAGCCTTATTGCATTCACAATTTGCAAATATCTTCTCCCCACTGGGGATGGTCTTTTCGCTTTCTTGATATTGTCCTTTGAAGCATCAAAATTTTAAATTTTATTTATTTATTTATTTATTTTTGAGACGGGGTCTCGCTCTGTTGCCCAGGCTGGAGTGCAGTGGCACGATTTCGGCTCACTGCAAGCTCCGCCTCCCAGGATCATGCCATTCCCCTGCCTCAGCCTCCTGAGTAGCTGGGACTACAGGCACCTGCCACCACTCCCGGCTAATTATTTGTATTTTTAGTAGAGACAGGGTTTCACAGTGTTAGCCGGGATGGTCTCGATCTCCTGACCTCATGATCCTCCTGCCTCAGCCCCACAAAGTGCTGGGATTACAGGCGTGAGCCACCGTGCCTGGCCCAAAGTTTTAAATTTCGATGAAGTCCAATTTATGCGTTTTTCCTTTAGTTGCTAAAATTAAATTTATGAGACTGACATGCTGCCTACTGCACTGAGGAAGCAACTTAAATTTAAATTAAAAGAATGTATATGCCAAGAAATGTGGAAATTTAGATAAAAATGACAAGTTTCTTGGAAAATCTAACTTATCCACACAACCCGTGTGGTGTTCTGATAAATATTTAACAATTGGCTTTCCAAACCAACCAACCTAATGCCGCACACATAAAAGCCCCTTTCGTGTAGTGCTAACCAGTTTCCATGGTGTAAATACTCCCACCATGGCCAGTGTGACATCCCTGAGTGTGGTGTTGGGAAGAGATGTGCATTATCTGCTCTCCAGAGCCAGCCTCCAGTGCGTCACTGAGCTGTAACACAAGAAATGGAGAACCCAAATCATTCTATAACCATAAAACAAGCGGAATCAGTGGCCCAGCCCTCAGTCCTGCACCCATAATCTTCAAGGCTTGCCATGACTTTCTGCAAGAGGGACCACCAGGCCACCCTCCACTCTGGTAGAGTTGCTGATGTGGCAACCAGTGAAGAATGCCATCAGCAAAGTCCCACTGGAGAGGCCCAGCCCAGTAGGTCATACCCAGTCCCGGTCCAGCTCTCTTCCCCTCCTCTGCCCCTCCTGCTGAGCAAAGGTTCTGCCTGAACCTTTGGATCTAACCAGGCACATGTAGACCCACGTATCACAGGATGTCAGTGACCAGCTCCTAGCAATGAAGGCTCAGAAAGGTCCAGCAAGATGCCCAAGGTCACACAGCAGGCCATGGCAGAGTTCAGCTGGAGCCCAAGCCTCAGAACTCCCATCCCAGCCTTGAACTGTGAAACTAGAGTCTGGCCCATGAATCCTCTTTAGCTGAGCCCTTGGGCCCCCCATGCAGGCCTGAGTGGGCCTGGGGATCTCAATGGGCTTGAATGTGTCCCAAGGCCAGGTCTGCCTATGCCTGTCCCATCACTTCTCCCCAGGGAGTTCAGGGAGCCCCACAGCCGGGGCTACAACTGAGGGCACAGCCAGCTCTGAACCATGGACAGAGCCTAGCCCCTGCAAGTCAGGGGTTGAGGTGACAGGATGCTCTGGGCGCTCCCTGGAGGAGGCGGGCATCGCCTGAGGCCCTTCTGGAGGCTGCTAACACAGTGGGGAAATCAAGCGTGCGCTTTGGAAGCAGACCGAGCCAGGCTGGCATCCCAGGTTCCCACGTGGTGCTGCGTGACCTCGGGCAAAGTGTCTCAACATCTGGAATCTCCTTTTTTTCCTCATAAAGATGCCTGGTCTCACAACCGTTAAGACTTGAATGAGGTAATGTTATGTTCAAGTGCTCTGCTCTGGGCTGGCACAGGGTTGGTGGCCCATAAACAGTAAGTTCCACTCCTTCCCTAGTGGGAGCAGCTTAGCTGTCTCAGCAGAGCCCTTTCCCCTGCTTGGGGATCCTGGTGGCTGGTGGGGGTGGGGACAGGGAGGAGGGGTGGTACAAACCTCTACAGAGTGCATACATTTTAAGTGTAGAGCTCTGGGCCAGATGCCATGGCCAGGTCCTGGGTTAGCCTCCTCAAAGGATGCCATAGGGGCGGATACAGAGCCAGGAGGACAGCCCCACAAAGGGCAGCCCCCTAGGCCAGGCACCGTGGCTCACATCTGTAATCCCAGCACTTTGGGAGGCCGAAGCGGACAGATCACCTGAGGTCAGGAGTTCGAGACCAGCCTAGACAACGTGGTGAAATCCCATCTCTACTAACAATACAAAAATTAGCCAGGCGTGGTGGTGGGTGCCTGTAATTCCAGCTACTTGGAAGGCTGAGGCACAAGAATCGCTTGAACCCGGGAGGTGGAGTTTGCAGTGAGCTGAGATCATGCCACTGCACTCCAGCCTGGGAGGCCTTGGGACTTGGTTGGTGACTGGAGCCAGAGACTCCATCTCAAAAAACAAAACAAAACAAAACAAAACAAAAACAAAGGGCAGCCCCCCAGAAACCCGAATACAGAAGACCTATCCGACATCCTGACCTGTCCCCACAAGGACAGCTGGAGGGGAAGTGCTGCTCCACGTGGCTCCAGTGCTGCAGAGAGCCCTGGCCAGGGATTGGGAGCCAGTGTTGGTGACCTTGGGCAGGTCGCCACCCTTCTCTGTTCCTCACCATTCCCATCTGTAAAAGGCAAGGGTTGGACCAATTCATCCCCTGGGTCCCTTCTGGCTCTGACCTTTGGGGATTCCCAGCCTGCTCCCAGCCTTGACTTTCAGAGAAGCTATGGACTGGCCAGGGCTGCCCCTTGGCAAGTGTTTCCTTTGGCTCATGCAGAAGCTGTGCCCCAGGCTCGCTAGTCCAGACCAATAAGCCAGGCTCATAAACGCCTGGCGGGGCAGCCGGTCTCCTTCACATAAAAGTCATTTTCCAAACAGGATTGAGAAAGGCCAGCTCCGGACAGGCCATCTCGGGGGCACTGGAGCAGAGAGTGCCCGATTGCCTGAGCCTTCCTGGCCAGCTCCCCCTGTCATCTGCCTCGTCTTGGTGCCTATCTCCCTCCCGCTTACCCTCTGGAGATAAACTGGGGCATGAGTCCTGCCTCCTATGTGGCCTTGGTCCTGTCACGTCTCCTTCTGGGCCTCAGTTTCCCTATCTGTCAAACAGGGAGGCCCATCCCTGGCTGGCCTCACTCGGCAGTGTGTGACAGTGCCTTGCCAGGAGTGAGCAGCGAGCTGGTGAAGAGTGGCTCTCAGCCCCTGGGTGACCCTCCCCATATCCCCCAGCCCAGACCTCTCATCTCAGCTCTGGCCTCCCACCCTGGCCCAGAACCACATGCCCAGAGGGAGCTCTGCACACATGGGCAGAAGAGGCCTTGTGACTTGGCTGCTGGCTGCATCTGCTGGGTGTGCTGCCTCCCCCATCAGACAAGGAATCAGACCAGAGGCTTCCTGAGGACCAGAGCTGCATCTCATCCATCAGACCAGGACCCCTGAGGACAGCAGCAGCTTCGTCTCCACCCTCAGAAAGAGGTGGGTCTTGAAGGTAGCAGTGAGTCCCTTCCACCTGCAGGAAGAGTGTCCTGAGAGCTCCTCCATCAAAAGACTCCAGGGCAGGGCTGTGTCTCCCCCATTAGATTAGAAGGTTCTCAAAAGAGAGAGGGAGCATTGCCTACTCCTTAATTCTTATACCATGGGAGCTGTGTTTCCCCCATCAGACTAGATGATCTGTGTGTTCAAGGGCTATGCCTCCCCATCAGATTGGAAGCTTCCAAGCGCAGGGGCTGTTCCTCCCCGATCAGCGAGGAGGCCCCTGAAGGACAGGCATTTTGTCTCCATGCTCAGTCTGGGGTCTCACTGAGCATGACCTGAGCCTCCTCTTCAGACTGTGGGCCCCACTGTCTTCCTTCAGAGCCAGCACCTGGGCGGCCTGTGCTGGGTGTCTGGGAGAAAGGAGGATGCACGTGGGCTGAGGGGAAGTGGGGCAGGAAGCGTGTATTAAGGCAAAGAGGTGGCTCAGAACCAGGTGCCCACCGTGCCAGGCTGTGCTGGCACCCCGTGCTCCCAGGGCAGAGGGCCAGGGCAGGCTGGGTGATTCACGCCTAGGTTGGAGCTGGTTGCTTCTCAGACTCCGCCCAACCCTGGCTGGCCTCACTATGGGTTACCTGGGGGGATCTGTAGGGGGACATGGAGGCTGGGGGCACTGGGATGCTGTTTGGGAGAAGGCAGGGGAGAGGCCTCAGGAGATGTAAGCCTCACCTGGTCTCACTGAGTCAGAGCTGGACAGGCCCCTGAGCATCAGCTACCCAAGCCCCTCCTTGCAGAGAGGGCAGAAGGTTGCACAGCCGGTCTCCAGGGTCTTAGGACGGGGACCTAGGGATCCTGAATCCTGGCCCAGTACTGCTTCCAAGCTGGTGACCCAGCTTGTGTTATTAGACAGGCCCCTCCCACATGAGTGGGGAAGAGAGAACCCTCACTTCCACCTAATTGTTAGCACTGAGTCCAGATAACCCAGAGGGCAGGGCAGGGGCCTGTCTGGGAGCCTTCCTAACCACCCCCATCCTTTCTTCCGGCATCATTCCTCCTCCTTGCCTTTTATTATTCTCCTCTGGCTTTGCAAGCCCATTCCTCTGAAAGCCTCATGTAAAGGGTCGCTTTACATGAGACTTTTCAAAACTGACACCTCAGTAAAGGCACAAGTAGATTCATGCAACCAGAGGTTGCAGCTGCACAGGCTGGCTGCAAGCAGAGAATCTCCTTGAAGCTTCCTGCTTAATATCTGTGCACGTGTGAATTGAGTTCCACTCCGCAATACAGGCCTGCTGCGAATGCTTGGGCAGGTTGTTCACTGCATACAGAGGAGGAGTTGGGGCTGACTTCCCATCCGAGCGCCTCTTGCCAAGCTTTGTGCCTGAGTGGGGCTGCATCTATCCCAAAGAAGGGGCATGCTTTTTCTCACTTTGCACAGAGGTGCCTTATGGACCAGCAGGGGCCCTGCCATGACCCGGCCAGATTTGTCTTAACATTTTCAAATACTTTTTTTTTCTCTCAAATTGTTGGGTAAATTGATGCTGCTGCAGGGAGCTGGGCCATGTTTTCTCAGGGGCTTTGTGGATCTAGATCACAGCCTGAGAAGCTCAAATTGACCCCAGATCACAACCTCCTGCCTGGTAAATTAAGACGATGGGTTGGCTTTATCTGTAAATTAAAATTTGGGCTTTTACATATCTTGTAGCAGGCCTCGCCTGGTGGCTCACGCCTGTAATCACAGCGCTTTGGGAGGCTGAGGTAGGTAGATAACTTGAGCTCACGAGTTCAAGACCAGCCCGGGCAACATACAGAAATCCTGTCTCTACTAAAAATACAAAAATTAGCCAGGTGTGGTAGTGCACATCTGTAGTCCCAGCTACTCAGGAGGCTGAGGTTGGAAGGATGGCTTGAGCCTAGGAGGTAGAGGTTGCAGTGAGCCGAGATCGTACCACTGAGCTCCAGCCTGGGCAATAGAGCCAGACCTTATCTCATAAATAACATAAAATATAAAATAAAATAAAAATCTTGTAGTGAATGCTGTTTCTGGAAGGTTTTTGACTCTAAACCCCACCAGTTGTACATGTGGTTACCTGACAATGGCTTTTCTGGTTTCTATCCTGGTTTGGGCGTGTTTTCACTGTACGGAAAAAAATGTTTAATTGCTTATTGAAGTTCCTATACACAAAGTACATAAATTTTAAGTGTATAGCCCAATGTATGTTTACATATAATTACAGCAGTGTAATCACCACTCAGATCAAGATACAGAACATTTCCAACACCCCAGAAGGCTTCTTCATGCCTGCTGCTAGTCAATGCTGCCTCCTCTAAATGTAATTACTTTTCTGATCTCTATCACCACAGGTTAGCTTTGCCTGTTCTTGAACTTCATATAAATGGAATCACGCAGTATTTAGTCTTTTGTGTCTGGATTCTCTTGCACATCAATATGTCTGTGAGGTTTATTCTTGTTGTCACATGGAACTGTGATATGTTCTTTTTCATTGTTGTATAGTATTTCATTTAATGAAGATACTACAATGTATGTATCCCTCTCTCTATTGATGGACATGTGGGTTATTTCCAATTTGTGGTTATTGAAAGTAAAGTTGCTATGAATGTCCTTGTACATATCTTTTGGTGGGAAATGGTCTCATTCTTCTACAGTGTCTAGGAGTGGAATTGCTGGGTCATAGGCGTATTAGTCTGTTTTTGCATTGCTATAAAGAACTACTTGAGACTGGGTAATTTATGAAGGAAAGAGGTTTAATTGACTCACAGTTCTGCATGGCTGTGGAGGTCTCAAGAAACTTGCAATCATGGTGGAAGAAGAAGTCAGCATCTTCTTCACAAGTCAGCAGGAGAGAGAGACAGCACAGGGGAAACTGCCACTTTTAAACCATCAGATCTCATGAGAACTCCCTCACTATCACGAGAACAGCATGGGGGAAACCACCCCCATGATCCAATCACCTCCCACCAGGTTCTTCCCTTGACACGTGGGGATTACAATTTGATGTGAGATTTGGGTGGGGACACATATCACAGGGAAAGTATGTATTGTGCTCCAAGTCTAATAGATACTGCCAACAGTTTTCCAATGTGATCCTACCAATTTCCATTCTCACAGGGAGTGTCTGAGAGTTCTATTTGTTCCACATCCACATCGCCAACACTTGGTATTGTGAGGCTTTTTAACCTTGGCTATCCTGGTGGTGGAGTCTTCTTTTTGTTTTCATTTGCATTTCCCTGGTGACTAAAGAAGTTGAGCATCTTTTCCTCTGTTTATTGGCCTCTTGGTATCTTTTATGTTTTTAAGTGAAGTGCCTGTTCAATTTTTTTTTTCTTTTTTGGGGGAATAGAGTCTCACTTTCTCACCTAGGCTGGGATGCAGTGGCGCAATCTTGACTCACTGCAACCTCTGCCTCCCAGGTTCAAGCAATTCTCCTGCCTCAGCCTGCTGAGTACCTGGGACTATAGGCGTGCACCACCACACCTGGCTAATTGTTTTACTTTTAGTAGAGACGGGGTTTTGCCATGTTGGCCAGGCTAGTCTTGAGTTCCTGACTTCAGGTTATCCACCCACCTTGGCCTCCCAAAGTGCTGAGATTACAGACGTGAGCCACCAAGCCCGGCGAATTTTTTTTGCTCGTTAAAAAAATCAGGAGGTCTGCCTTTTTCATATTTATTTGTAGGTGTTCTTATAAATTCTGGATGCGAGCTCTTTGTCAGATGTAAGGATTGTGAGTTACCTCCTCTATTAGCAAATTTAACTTGCTTATTCATCAACTCATTCCAAGAGCACCAATAAGGAATGGGCCAGGCCCTGTGCTGGGTGCTGGGTTATCAGAATGAGTATGATGTGGCCCTCATTCTTGAAGACAGCTCGACCGTGATGGAGGAGACAGGCATTTAGAATAAGCATGAAATAAAGGTGGCTGTTAAGGGGTCAGCTCCCCTCACCAAAGTCACTTTTGATTTACTTACAAAAGTTTTCTTAAGATTTCTTCAGAACCCAGGTAAGGTGAAAAGCAAGGGTTTCCCTATGCTTATTTTCTGGGCTGGGTTTTTAAATCCTTTGCAGTGAGTACTGCTTTTAGAAGATTCCTTGACTCCATCAGCTGAATGCGTGCTCATCTGCTGATCCCTCCCTTGGTTTCCGCCCTGTTTTGGGGAATGTTAGGCTGGACCCACCAGGATGTGGTCAAATTCTTGGCCCTGGAATCCAGTTCCTGGTGCTCAGTGTGGGTAAGTCAGACCCAGCCAGGAGGGCGGAGGCTTTGGTCGGGAGTGGGGGTGGGGCCAGGCTGGCGAATGCTCTGGAAAGCTGGGTCCAGTTTAGAAATCTTCACCTCTCCTGGGAAAACTTGTCATGTCAGGCACAGCCAGACTTCCCCTCCCACCCCTCAGGCTGCCAGCCCTGATGGGGACTCAGGGGGCTGTGAGTGGCATGGGGACAGAGGCCAACACATTGGAGTGAAGTGGCCATGCTGAGGCCACAGGCGGTGGGCAGGCATGAAAGCCGGGCCCAGGACATGGAAGAAGCCCATGGCCAATCGGTGCATGAATGATGGGGGGCACCTTGGCAGGCTCGGGGGGCATCGTGTCCTGGAGTCTGAAAACAGGCACAAAAGGGCAGTGCACAGGGTGCCGGGCAGGGCATGAGCCCTGCATTCTAGCCTGGGGCCTGTTCCTAGCTCACCCAGTGCCACCCAGCTCCTTTCTCCGTTCTCTGCTCTTGTGGCCCATGTGTCATTAAGGGCCCAACAGCTCTGACATTCTCTGTAGCTTATCTAGGAAGGAGGCACTGTGAACACCTGGGAGCAGGTAGGCAGTGGGGCCTGGCCTTGGGGAGCCGAGTGACCACAGGGAAGCAAGGGGTGTGCTGGACAGAGGGGCCTGACACCCAGTCCCTTCCTCACGCTGCTGCTACACTGTCACCTCCCAGGAAGGCTCCTGACCCCGGATGGACCCAGAGCCCATGGTCCTGGGGGGACCTCTCTATGTTCATCATCTGAGACACCAAAATAGATGCCCCTTTATCAACTAAGATGGACCCCAAGGTTAAGGAAACAAAAGTTACCTACAGGCAGAAGGTTCAAGGCCTGGTTGGCATGGCAACTCTCTAAATTCCCACCACTGCAAGAATAACCACACCTGGCCGGGCACGGTGGCTCATGCCTGTAATCCCAGCACTTTGGGAGATCAAGGTGGGTAGATCACTTGAGGTCAGGAGTTCGAGACCAGCCCAGCCAGTCTTTACTAAAAATATAAAACTTAGCTGGGTGGTGGTGGTGCGTGCCTGTCATCCCAGCTACTCGGGAGGCTGAGGCAGGAGAATCGCTTGAAACTGGGAGCTGGAGTTTGCAGTGAGCCAAGATTGTGCCACTGCACTCCAGCCTGGGCAACAGAGTGAGTGAGACTACTTCTCAAAAATAACCACACCCAGCTGGGCGTGGTGGCTCATGCCTGTTATCCCAGCACTTTGGGAGGCTAAGGCGGGCTGATCACGAGGTCAGGAGATCGGGACCATCTTGGCTAACATGGTGAAACCCCGTCTCTACTAAAAATACAAAAAAAATTAGCTGGGCGCTGTGGCGGGCGCCTGTAGTCCCAGCTACTCAGAAGGCTGAGGCAGGAGAATGGCATGAACCCAGGAGGCGGAGCTTGCAGTGAGCCGAGATCGGGCCACTGCACTGGAGCCTGGGCGATAGTGTGAGACTCTGTCTCGGGAAAAAAAAAAAAATTACCACACCCTTGCTAAACTCTTAATAATAGGAACTGTCAGGCAAATCGTCACATCCTTCATGACTTGGATTTACAACCAAGACCACTACAGCTCTGACTGGATGGAGGAACTGCCTGACAAACATTTTTTCTTCTTCTTCTTCTTCTTTCTCCTCCTCCTCCTCCGTCTTCTTCTTCTTCTTCTTCTTCTTCTTCTTCTTCTTCTTCTTCTTCTTCTTCTTCTTCTTCTTCTTCTTCTTCTTCTTCCTCTTCTTCTTGTTCTTCTTCTTCTTCCTCTTCCTCTTCCTCCTCTTCCTCTTCCTCCTCTTCTTCTTCTTGTCCCTCTTCCTTCTCCTTTTTCTTCTTCTTCTTCTTTTTGAGACAGAGTCTCACTCTGCTGCCCAGGGCTGCTGTGCAGTGGCGTGAACATGGCTCACTGCATCCTCGACCTTCCAGGCTCATGTGATACTTCCACCTCAGCCTCCCGAGTAGCTGGGATTAGGCATGCACCACCATGCCTGGCTAATTTTTTTTATCTCTTGTAGAGACAGGGTTTCACCATGTTATTCAGTCTGGTCTCGAACTCCTGGGCTCAAGCAATCCACCTGCCTTGGCCTCCCAAAGTGCTGGGATTACAGGCATGAGCCACTGCGCCTGGCCTCAAACATTCTCTTCTGATACGCAACTGCAGACCTTAAGCCATTTCAGCAGCTTATAGAGTCTGCAAACAAGCTGTCTTTGTGTCCTGCACCTTTTGCTATAAAGAACGAAATTCCACCTCATTTTAGTACTAGAACCCTAGCCCAAAGTGAAAGTGGGGTCTGCTTTACACTACGTGTGTGAAAGTGGGGCGTGCATTACACTACGTGTGCCTGTGTGCATACACTCCCCTCCCTTCATAAATATGGATAGCCTTTCCCGCAAACCTGCTGAATATGTATGACTCTATTGCGTCATATGGGCTCCATGAGGCACAAAACCCAACCTGCCCTTTTCCTCTCCCAAGAGAGAGCACGTCCAGAACACGCCAGAGACTGTCTCTTCCTGGTTTGCAAACTCATACCACTAGTAAAGCTCCTTTCTGCTATTTAGCTATCCTGGTGGTCTTTTGGGCAACATGCTTATCTGGGAAGAGCTGTCTTGTAATCTCTGTGTCTGCATCAGACTCTGCCAGCCCTAGATTGGGAGCTCTGAGATGACATAGGCTGCGTCCCACCCCAGCAGCAGCATGCAAGGTTGGGGACACATGTGAGGGTGTGTGGTGCAGCCCTGAACAGCCTCAGGCAGACTCCCTGTATTCTTGTTCCCAACCTCCTCCCTCCCTAGGTCAAAAGGCTGTGGCAGGAGGCCAGGCAGATCACAGCGTCCATGCCTAGATGCTCCCTGACCCCCAGGAACCAGAAGTGCTGTCTCCTGAAGGCTCTGGAAACCCGGAATCAGCCTACGAGGCACCAGGGCCACCTTGGAGGGTGGAAATGAGGACCTCAGGCCCCAGAGGGCATGCAGGCGAGGTGAAGTTCAGGAGAGGTAAGCCTAAGGACCCTCAGAGCTATCACACTATGCCCTCCACCCAAATGATGCAGACAGGAAAACTGTGGCCTAGACCGGACCACCACGGCCAAAAAGGATCTTTGTCTTGTCTTGTCCCACAGCCAGGAAGTGTCCCCCTCTTCCCGGCCTGCTGTATCCCAGGACACAGGGCGTAAGTGTGGAGGAGGAAGGGCTGCAGGGTGAGGCAGCCCACACTTTGGCTCAGGACAGGGATGGGACCGGGACATATGGGAAAATAGTCTGGGGGTCCTGGGTAATGGCAGGAGCATGAGCTCAGGGTCGGGTGGCTGTCCTGGATGACCTGTGGGACTCTCTTCCTCTCCAAGCCACGCTTTCCTCAACTGTCCCTTCCTTGTGGGATGCAAGAGGCCACGGCGAGCGAAGGCATGTGCCAAGAGCTGCCACTCAATGTGAGTCAGCGTGCTGGTCCTCCCTCCTTTTCTCCAGGGGGCCTAGGACTTTTGGGGGGAGCCTGAGGACATGCTTCGCTGATGTCACTGTGTGGAGTGTACAAATGGCCACCCTGCTGCTCGTTGGTTCTATATGGGCATCCAGGCTGGAGAGCAGGGGGTGGGGAGATGGAGATGCCACCAGCAGGGGACTGGTTCCTAGAAGAGAGGGCGAGTTTGGGTGGTCCCAGAGGTGTTCTTCCCAGAAAAGAGAGCAGGAGGCAGGAGGTGGGCATGGAGAATGTGGAGGGGGGCATTGACAGTGTTCTCCACCACCCATCAGATAAGACCTGGAGCCTCATTACCAAAGACTTAATGAGATTCGCTTTGTTTTCTTATGAGCCAGGCAAGGTGCCAGGGGAAGCGGCTTCCAGCCCCAGGCTCTGCAGCTGGCTGCTGTGTGACCCAGAGCCAGGCACCACACCTCTCTGGGCCTTAGACTCCTTATCCATGAGCTTCCTGCCTGCACCCTAACATTCAGTGTCATTGGCCGAGTTACCCAATGGCTCCCAGCCTCAGTTTCTTCATCTGCACATTAGGGATAAGTACAGCCATCCACCTGGGAGGTGTCAAGGGGGTGTGGCCGCAGCACCCAGCCCATGCACAAGTTCAGTGATCATTACCTGTCTCCCCCAGCCCTGCCTGAGTGCCAGGATCAGCAGGCTTGGGAAGGGGGAGCCCCCAGGGATGTGGAAAGTGGAGAGGGAGCACATGGGCTCTGGGGCCTCGGGGCTCCTGGGCTCTGTTCTGCCTGTCTGGGAGCTGTCTCCTGCTCTCCCTTGCAGTGTCTCTGTCTCTCTTCGTTCTGTTCCTCCCTCTGTCCTTCAGTTTTTCCCTCTCCATCTCAGTCTCTGGTTGTCTCAGTCTCTCTTTGCACCTCACTGTCTCTGCCTTTCTCTGCATCTCTCTTCCTTTCCTGGGCTCTCTCTCTCTCTTTCATCCCTGTTTTGGGCTTTCTCTGTCTGTGTCTCTCTGTTTTTCAGTCTGCTTCTTTCTGTCTCCGTTCATTTCTCTGTATGTCTTTGTCCCCTGCACTCCCATTCTCCTCCCATGCTGTCCTCTCTGGGGGCTCCTCTGGCTTCACTGGGCCACAGGCCCAGGCTGGGGTGTGAAGAAGCAGGAGCTCCCCCGTCAGATGACGCTAGGTGCCCCAGTCAGGGCAGTGGGGGCCAGACAAAGAGCTCTGCGAGGGGTGGCAAAATCCTCTTCCCAGGGAAGGGAATGTGGGGGCTACTGGCCAGCTGTGGGATGGGTGGCTGAGAACTCTCATACCACTGTAAATTCTAGATGTTTTTCACTTATATCAGCTTCCTGATCCCCCTGAGCCAAAGGCCTAGAAGGTCCCTGTCCCTGTCCTTTTGGAATGTGCAGTCTTACTTACCAGAGTGACAAGGGGAACAGAGTTGAAACAGGTGGTTTCCCAGCACAGGAGCCTGTGGGGGCTGCTTAGAGAACAGCACATTCCCTGGGAGCCAGAGCCATCTGGGAGGGCTTTCTGGAGGAGGCAGATCATGAGGGATCAGGATGGGGACTAATATGTGCTGAGTGCCTGGTGGTGCTTTATAAGTATCAGCAGATTGGGAGATAAGCATAGCCACCCTGTGGAGACACCTGGGAGGTGTCAAGGGGCATGCATTGTAAAGGCCCAGAGTGGTGAAGCATCCACCAGCTGGTAAGTGGTAGCCTCGGGTGGGGCCTGTCGCTGTCCCCATGCTCTGTCCACTACTGGTGTGGCTTGCCCCACTTGTGACCATCGTTTCTTCCCCTCCACCCCCAGTGCCACTTCCTCTCTCCCTCGTTGTAGGGGAAAGAACATGGGCTGTGTGGCCTTGGACCAATTGCTTGCCCTCTCTGGGCCTTCTTATTGGTGACAGACAGACTGGTGACTTTCTGAGAGGATCTATGCAACCTCAGGCTCCTGCACCTGGGTTACAGGGTCTTCTGGAGGGGAAGAGATGAGCAGGTAGGCTTTGACACCTGCCTGCTTTGTCCTGAGTGTCTACTATGTCATCTGCTTTAAATGCGAAGTCCCTGGGACTTGCGAGTTATCTCTAAGCCTTCTCTTTTCCTGACTTTCTGGGAGTGTGTGTACCCCCATTCCCTCACCCCAGCCATCAGGGCCCTTTCTGAGTTGGGCCTCCTTCCTAGCTCTGGGCTAGGCCCCAACCCTGGCCCTTTCCAAGGCCAGCAGGAACTGGAAGGTCCGTACTCATGCCCTGGGAGGCTCCAGGCTCTAAGGGGTGCTGGAGTGATGGAGTTGGGCGGCTGGTGCTCAGAGGACCTTAATGGTGTGGGGACAGCTGGAAACTGGTTGTCTCTTGAACCCTCTTGCCACCAGGCCTCTGTCCAGGAGGGCTGCTGGGGGCCAATGGGCCAGACACCAGACAGTCACACCTTTGGCAGGGCTGAAGTCGGGGGGTGTGTGACACAATGGGAGGGGCTGGGCCTGGCAGTCCCTGCAGCCTATAAGCACCAGCAACCCATGAGGGGACACAGGCACCCTCTGGCCTCATCCTTCTTGGAGCCAGTGGGATGTAGCAACTAAAATACAAGCTCTGAAGTTTCATGGACTGGAGTTGCATCTCTGCTTCCATCCTAATTAGCAAGAGACCTTGGTCACGTTGCTTAAACTCTGACACTAGATTTTCCCCCTCTGCAAAGCAAGGACAATAGCAGTGCTCCCTTCCCGGGTCAGTTGCAAGGATTAAGGATGATGTCTGCAAAGTGCTTAGTCAGAGCCGGCATACGGTAAGTGCTCAATAAATGCTGGCTCCCATTATTAGTATCCCTTCCCTCCACGCCCTCAACACATCCCTTTATCATGATGGAATAACCAATTGCCTGGTAACAACATGTTCACACTTCCACGCTCCCCATCAACCATGCTCACCTATAAGGCAGGCTGCGACCAGCTCCTCTTCATCTATTCATTGCCTGGCCCATGCTAGGGGCCCAAGAAATGTCTGCTGCATCAACGAGTGATTTTGGGAAAGGTGCTGAGCCCTTCTGTCCCATGAAGTTCTTGCGAGACAGTGTCTCACCAGCAACCTGGATCGTGAGAACCACAGCGGGTGGGCCAGATCTAGATGGAGAGTGTCCATTGGGCAGAGCTGCTTCTGTGAAAGGAAAGGAAGTTTTTCAAGAAACCATGAGGGGGGCCCAAGAATCCAAGTTTCTAACTCTGGGATCGGTTTTCTGTCTTTTACCTCGGTTTGCCTCTCCCTAGCTGTGTGGTTTATGGCAAGTCACTCTGTGCCTCTGTCTCCACGTGTTCAAGGAGGCAGCCGGTCCAAGGGGCCTTCATAGAAGGGGCTGCCGAGATGTGAGCCCTGCATTGGGGGGATGCCCCACAGAGGTGCTGTCCCCCATCCCCTTTCCAGGTATGAGTGTCCCCCAGCTCTGAGTGAATCAGTAGGAGGTGCTGGACCTGGGCTGATTCTCACAGTGGGACCTCAACTCTAGCCCCGGGTTGGCTGACATTAGAGGACTTTGGGTCGTTGTTCTGGCAGCTGCAAGGAAGAGCCAATGTCAGGGAGGGAAACCCCACATTCCCTGGCACTATCCAAACAAAGGTTTGGTTAAAACAAAGAATTCTCATGGAGAAGAGTCTGAAGGACCCAAAACACATATTTCTGTAGACATCCCATCCCAAAATAAACCCATGGATCAAGCCAGACCCAAATACAAGGATGCTGTGAACCACATGGTTGAATATTCCACACTTTCCCCATCCATTAAACCCCACCCAGGGTGGGAAGGGGATGGATTTCCCTCAGTTCTCAGGGCCTAGAAGAGCAGGGCTTTTTTCCCTCAACTGGTTGAGTTTTACTTTGTGAGCACCATGATTCCTAAAACCAGTTATATTTTCTTTTTCTCTTGGGCCGCCAGGGAACTCACAGCGAAATCTACCAACCAAAGAGGATGTCCATACCTGTCTTTTTCTTTCTTCCTTCATTTTTTGACTTAATTTCCTCACTTGAAAAAAAAAAATAAAACACCTTATTCAGGGTATACTTTATGGGCAGTCTTAATTTTTTTTATTAGGATGTGGGATGTAAATCCATAAAAGAAGTAGAAGTGCTGAGCCTTCCTGTGGAGTGGGTGCTGGAGGGGAAAAGGTGGAGTTAGGGGAGGGAAGGGGAGGGCAGGAAGGTTGGTGATGGGCAGAGATTCACAGAGACTCCCAGGTCAGGGAGCAATCCCCCAGTCAGGGCAGCAGGAATGCCCAGAGGAATTCTGATCGGGACAGACGTCGGGCACTGAATGAAGAGAGGTCCCTCAGGGGCCTGGTCTCAGGGGCCTTGAATTCCACGCAAAGCGTGTCTTGAGCATCAACTATATGCCAGGCACCTTTTACATATATTATTTCTTACTTCTAAATTATTCCAGATTTTAAGCCGGGTGCAGTGGCTCACGCCTGTAATCTCAGCATTTTGGGAGGCCAAGGCAGATGGATAACCTGAGGTCAGGAGTTCGAGACCAGCCTGGCTAACACGGTGAAACCCCGTCTCTACTAAAAATACAAAAATTGCCTGGGTGTGGTGGTGCATGCCTGTAATCCTAGCTACATGGAAGGCTGAGGCAGGAGGATTGCTTGAACCTGAGTGGCAGAGGTTGCAATGAGCTGAGATTGTGCCACCGAGCTCCAGCCTGGACTACAAAGTGAGACTCCATCTCAAAATAATAAATAAATAAATAAATAAATCTATCAATCCAGATTTTACCAATTAGGAGACTGAGCCTCAGAGAAGTTAAATCACTTGTCCAGAGCCCTGAAATTGGAGAAGCAGCTGCGCTCAGACTGGAACCCTAGATGGTAGGGCCCCTTAGTCCTCCTTTATCTTGGGGGGATCCAGGGAAGGCTTTTCAGCAGGGGAATGATGCAATTGGATACACATGTCAGGGGGAACATGACTGCTTGTGGCAAGGAACGCAGTAAGCCTGGGGTCAGGGAGACCAGGAGCTGCTGAGGTCTCAGCTCAGAGATGGTGGCTGGAACCAGGAGGGTGATGGTGATGGTGGAGGTGAGGGTGGGGGCAAAGAGGAAGGGAAGGATCAAGAGATGTTTGGAAAGTAGAGGTGATACTCAGGAGGGGTGCGGGAGAGGGAGGGAGAGGTTGCCTGGGCTGGCTTGGGCAGCTAGGGTGGAGGTGGCACCATTTGCTGAGATGGGAAAAGCCAGCTGGGGCAGGGAAGGGGCTGATGTGCTTGGAGGCTGCTGAGTTGGCCACCTGTGGGGATGACTCGCCTGGTCACAGCCCCCCGAGGGCAGAGGACACATGCCTGCTCAGCTGGGGCTGTGCCATGTCCCGCCCTGCCCCATGAACGGTATCATTAACACTGCTGATGCTGCCACATGGAGCCTTGGATGTCCCCAGACCCGAGGAGGGAGTTGGTAATTCCTGCAGGTCTGCACAGCCCAGCAGAGCCTGGTCTGGAGTTTGGATGCTGAGGGGATAGCGTGGATTGAGTTGGGTGACTCATGGTCCTCACCACTTCCCGCCATTAGAGCCTCTGGCCTGCCCTCTGGCCCTGTGGGAATCAGTGGGTACCCTATTTTCTCACAATGGCCAAGTCAGAACCCCCAAGGCTTCTCCCCCATTCACCAGGAGGTCCAGGATCCTGCCCTGGGTGCCAGGAGCACAGGAAGGGGTTGGGTCAACATAGGGAGCTGAGCAGACTCAGCAGATGTCAAGGACTCTGACCTCTGGAACGGCACCTATATATAAAAAGTGCCTAATAGATGTTTGTTGAATGAATGAAGACTTTGGATCCAAATCTGGCTTCTTGTGACTTTACTGTGTCACCTTGGGTGAGTCACTGCTTCTCTCGGTGCTGTGGTTTACCCAGCTGGAAAGTGAAGGGGCTGGATTGATAGTTTCGGGGGCCCTTCCAGCTTGAAGTTGGGTGATCCTGGAGAGCAAGTGGAACTGTCCCTGTAGTACCCGGGGGTGCTGGGAGGGGAGAACGGTCTCAGACAGGGGGTTACAAGAACTGGGCTCTGCTGATCCTCCCTACCTTCCTCCATGGGGTTCTAGGTGAGCTCAGGCACAGCAGGCAGCGTGTGTGTGTGTATGTGTGTTAGGGAGAGGTCCCCCGGACCAGAAGAGCCCACAGCTGGTGTCGGCAACACAAGTAGACCCAGAACCTACCCTGATTGGTCCCAAGGCCTGAGGCAGGCAATTTCCATGCCTTGATGGTGGCAAGCCTCACTGGGGCCCACATTGCTTACCCTCAAGGGCATCAAATGACTTCCCCAGCCAGAGTTATTCCCTCCACCCCTCTCCTTACCCACCAACACAAAATAACCAATGCTGGGGGCTCAAACTCATGGCCCAAGAGCTAGGTCTGGTCTACCGATGGGTTTTGTTTGACCTCAGTATTCTGTTTCTGAGAAACACTGACTTAACGCATGAGCCCAGCAGGCTCTGTCCCCTCTGCAGCAGTTACCACCCCTCCCTATTTTCTCCCAGCTGGTAGCGTCACACATATCTATTATCTGCCTGCCCTCCTGAAGGTGCCTGAGTTTGGAAACTCTGATCCAGCTTAACAACCCATTTTGTAAATAGGGAGACTGGGGGGTTGTCGGGGGTGATCCTAGTGTTTCCGGATGAACGAGGTCAGGCTGCTTGCTCTCGTGGTCCAATAAGGAGATGCAGACAGACTGAGAAAGAAGGGAGTTTATTTCTGTAACCGGTTACAGGGAGAAGATCGGAGTAACTCACCAGACCAACTCGAAAGTACAAGTTTTTCCCCCAGTGTTGTCTACATTCTAAGCTGTATGCCTACGTGTGGGAGTATACGTTGCCAGAGAGTAGGTCTGTTTCATTCCATCTTTATCTAATCTTTAGGGTCTAGGGTCTGGGAAGCTTTTTCTAGAGCCTTGGAAAGTTTCTTAATCTTTTTTTTTGAGACAGAGCCTCACTCTGTTGCCCAGGCTAGAGTGCAGTGACACAATCTCAGCTGACTGCTACCTCTGCCCCTGGGTTCCAGCAATTCTCATGCCTCAGCCTCCTGAGTAGCTGGGACTACAGGTGCACACCACCACATCTGGCTAGTTAATTTTTTTTTAGTAGAGATGGGGTTTCGCCACGTTGCCCAGGCTGGTCTGGAACTCCTAGCTTCAAGTGATCCACGCACCTCAGCCTTCCAAAGTGCTGGGATTACAGGCATGAGCCCCTGTGCCCAGCAGAAAGTTTCTTAATCCTAAGTGGGCCCTGGTATGAGGTGTATGTGTAAGAATACTTTCATTATTTCATCAGACTTTCGGGTCTGAGAAAACCCAGGAGCGGTCTTAACAGGTTTGTTTTCACATTCCAGCCCTCATACTCGGGCACCATTTTCTTCAGTTCTCTAATGTTTAACTTATGCATTCATCAGAATGAGAGGAAAGGGCTCTCTCTCTCTGTGTGAGAGAGAGAGTGGCTGCTCCGGCTGTTAATGGAAACCCAGCTTGCCACACTAGGTTCATGGAATCTTAGACCATAGACACCTGTTTTCCTGGGCTCTGTATCCATGGAGTAAACTTAGAACTTGCCTTGGTGCCTTTAGGTGTGATGTACTCTGCAGATCAATAACATTTGCAATAGGAAAGATTATTTCAAAAAGATCTTCAAAATCAAAAGTAACCAAATAAATGTTTATGTCATTATCACTAAGGTCTCATTTCCAGCTCTCTACTCCAATATCATTTCTTCAGATTGGCCTTCTCTGATCACTTGACTCAAAACAGCACACCATCCCCTCCTCTCTTCTATTTTATTTGTCTGAATCACTTCCTGGTATCACAGTTTTTATCCCACCAGCTTTCTACCTGCCTGCTCTCCACGATGTCCCACGAGGGCAGGGGCTTGGTCTATCTTGTTCACTGTGGTATCCCCAGGGCCAGAATAATGTCTGGCACATTTTAGGTGCTCAAAAAAAATTGTTGAAGAACAGGGAAAATGAAGCCCTGGCCATTGTAGCCCCAGCACCAGCCACCTTCCCTATAGTGGTTTCTTGGGTTGTTCCAGGGGCTTCCTGGGGTCGTCTTACAGTCCCCTAGTCACCGGGCAGCTGGCAGGCCTCTACCCTGCATGGGGCCCCGTTTCAGGCTAAGTGGGGCCGGCCTCCCAGCTTTATGTCCTCCTTCAGAGGGGAAGGAGGCAGTGATGTCACAGAGGTCTCCCACCCTCGCTCCTCCCCAGTCTGACCGATCAAGGCTGAAATCCCAAGTTCAAAGAGACCACAGCATGGGTGTGCAGGATGTGTTGTTTGTGGGTTGTAGGTAGGGCAGGGGCCCAGGCAGGTCATGGTGTCTTAAAAGAATGTTCTTTGAGCTGGAAGACTGAAAAAGGGAGGCGGGGAAGGAATAGCAGAGGGTGGGGAGAGAAGCCAAAAGGAGGAAATGCATCTTATTTTTCCTCGAAGAGAGAATAATGAGGGTGGCTTCATTTTTTTTTTTCCAACAGTAAAAATGTTGTTTGCTCATGAAAGTGATTCAAACAACACACAAAAGCATGGGGAAGAAATGACCTGATATTCTGCCTCCCAGGGATCTAGTCAGCAATCAGCCCACCAGGGTCAGATGGCCTGGGGTTGAATCCTGATGGGACCAACTTCCAACCATGGACTTGGGAGGGTCCCCAACTTCTCTGTGCCTCAGTTTCTTTTGCTGTAAAATAGAGATGTGCTTATCCTCCTCTCTTCCTCTCTGCCTCCCTCTGCTCTTCCCTCCTTGCCCCCCTTTCTCTTTCCTCTTTCCTCTATCTCAAAGAACATTCTTTTTTTTTTTTTTTTTTCAAGACAGAGTCTTGCTCTGTTGCCCAGGCTGGAGTGCAGTGGTGCAAGCTTGGCTCACTGTAACCTCCACCTCCCAGGTTCAAGCAATTCTCCTGCCTCAGCCTCCCAAGTAGTTGGAATTACAGGTGCCTGCTACCACATCCCGCTAATTTTTGTATTCTTAGTAAAGACGGGGTTTCACCGTGTTGGCCAGGCTGGTCTTGAACTCTTGACTCGAGATCCGCCCGCCTCGGCCTACCAAAGTGTTGGGATTACAGGCATGAGCCACTGTGCCCAGCCCGAAGAACATTCTTTTAAGACACCATGACCTGCCTGGGCCCTGGCCCTGCCCACAACTGGCCAAGGGCACATCCTACACATCCATGTGGTCTGTTTGAACTTGGCATTCCAGGCTTGATTGATACCTGCCACCCAGTATTATTGTGAGGATTAGGTAAATGAATACATGGAGAGGTCTTAAAACAGTGGCACATGGTGAGGGCCATATATGTGTTTGCATCACCATTATTGTTGTCATCATCACCATCATCACCATCATCATCATCATCATCTTTTTAGACAGCTCTTTATGCACCAGCCTGCCTTTCTTCCTGCCTCCCTTTTTCCTATCGTTCACCTATCCATCTGTCTGTCCATCCATCCATCCACCCACACATCCATCCATCCATCCACCCACACATCCATCCATCCATCCATCCATCCATTTAATCTTCTCTAATGGGAACACACCCATGTGCTCTGCAGGAAACTGCTTGTTCCACTCTGCATTCCATTCCATAAGAAATGGACACGTTTATGTCAATAAATGCTGTTAAACAAAATGACTGAGGTCCTGGTAAATTGAGGTTTGGGGTTTGGGTGATGGAAAACCATCCCTGAACACCTGTTTCCCTGGGTTCTGTATCCATGGGGTAAAATTAGACTTTGTCTTGGTGACTTCAGGTGTAATGAACTTTGCAGATCAATAACATTTGCAATAAGAAAGATGGTTTCAAAAATATCTTCAAAATCAAAAGTAACCAAATAAATGTTTATGCCATTTTACTATTTCCTGCCTCCCTAATCAGGCTGGGGTTCCTGCAGCCAGGGACTGTGTGTCCCCCACATCTTCCATCAGACTGACAACTCCTCAGGCAAGGCTGTTTCTCTCTCTCTCTCTCTCTCTCTTTCTTGCTCTTTGCTGCCCTGCCACCCCAGCCCTGTGGACACTAGAGTTCTGGTTTATGTGCCCCTTTTCCCACTCTGTATAAGAGCCCCCTGGAAGAAGAGGACCACATTACTGAGGATGGGTGTCCTGCGATTCCAGAGCAAACGGCTCTTCTCATCACCCCCAATGCCCGATATGAAGGGAACACGTCACCTGCAATTCACCACCTCTACCCCAAGCTCTAACAGACATCTCATGTCGAACAAGTCCAACAGAGAATGGCCAAGCTCCCTGCCCAGCTTGCCCTCCTGCAGCCTTCCCTATCTCTCTGATGACAACTCCATCCTTCTAGTTGCTCGGGTCCCAAATACTCCAGTGATCGTTGACCACTCTCTCTCACACCCACATCCAACTCATCAGCAAACCTCATCGGCTCTACCTTCAAGATACATTCAGGATCCAACCACTTCCCACCACCTTCCCTGTTACCCTGGGACCAAGCCATGCCATCCCTCGCTTAGATAATGGGAAGAACCTTAATGCACCATCTGATGTCATACACACTTTACTCATTTAACTTCACCTACGGTCTGTCTCCCCCAGAATATAAATGTCGTCAGAGCAGGAATCATGGTCTCTTTTGTTCATAGTTGTATCCCTATCACCTAAATGAGTGCCTGACACATAAAAGATGATTAACAAACACTTGTCAAATTAACAAATGAAGTTCTACAAAGAGCCTCAGAACAGGCTGAAGCTTGCTGTGCTGAGCTGAAAGAAGAGGGATTTTCAGAAATGAGTCCACGCTCCCAGGTCATTGCTCTGAGCTCTTTTTCAAGTTCCCTCCTCTCTGGCTCCCCAAGAATGCTTGCCTGGGGTGGCTTCTGCTGTCTGTGGAGTCTGGGCACAAGGGCCTACCCTCACCTGTTGGGGGGTGGTATTGTGTGGCGAGACGGGTGAACCTGCGTGGAAGTTATAACTCTACCACTTACTAGCAGTGAGACCTGCAGCCATGGTTCTCTTACCTGCAAAATGAGGATAAAAGTCATAATTGTTAGTGTTTTAGTGAACACAGGTGCCAGGAGCTGTGCTAATCTTCTTACACATAACTCATGTCTTTCCCACATCAACACAATGGGACAGGTACTACTGTTACAGCTGCCAACTTACACATGAGGCAGCTGAGTCACAGAGAGGTTAAAAGGTTTGATAAGGATCACAGGTGGTTATAGGCAGAGCCCGCACATAGTCAGCCCACAGAAACACTGACATCATTGTAATAGGGGTTCAGGCACCAGGAGTCTTTGGAGGGGAGGGCAGAGGCTGCTGGGGAGCTCTGGAGGGTCTCCTGTCAGCAGGTGAGTCCTGCTTCGCCCGGGGCCCCCAGTTGAAGCTCCCCTTCCCCATCTCCCAGACAGGCCTTGGGCACCTCCTCCCCTGACCTCCTGGATTGACAGCCCTGAGTGAGGAGGGTGTGGAGCCAGGAGGTGGGGACCAGGCTCAGCCAGGCTAATCAGGTCGCAGGGTGAAATTTAAAGGGAGGAGGAGGCACCAGTCCATCAGAACTCACACTTCTTCCTGGCAAAGAAGTGCCCAGGACGGGAGCTGGGGAGCCAGGGCTGATCTAGGAGGCTGGGAGCCAGGTGACAGGATGGCCCCAAAGAGAGTTGTGCAGCTGTCCCTGAAGATGCCTACCCATGCCGTGTGTGTGGTGGGAGTCGAGGCACATGTGGACATTCACAGGTAAGAGCTGGGAGGCGCTCTCCTGGCTGCAGAGAGCTGGGTTAGAGTGTAAGTCAATGGGGTGGGTGCCTGGTAGACAAGTCAGGCACGTTGGAAAGGATGCTGGCAGGAGATAGCAGAGAAGGTGGAGTTGGCTGTGGAGTCTGGAAGGAAGGAACTAGGGTCTAGTCAGGTCCTCCTTGGGGCCCCAGCTCCTGGGCACTGGGCTCAGGACATTGGCTTCAATCCCCTGGGTAAGAGTCCAGCCTTAGATTTCTAACTCTGAGCCCTGGGGTCAGGCTTTGGGGTCTGGGCCCTGCATTCTGACACCTAGGTAGAACTTGTGTGGAACATCAGATGGCTCAAGATGGGGAAGAGAACTGGTTCCCACCTCCCTCAATTTCTTGCCAAGCCCCCATCTCTTTGAGGTGAAGGGACGTGTGTGGTAGCTTGACCCTTGGAGGTCAGCCAGAGATAACTAGATTGATTCCAATCAGGAGGGAGTGGTTAGGAAATACTCGATGAATTAATATGAAGAGAGAACCTGGAGCAAGACGGCTGGGACTTATGTTTGCTGTGAGATGATGGTGATGACGCTGATTATGGTGATGAACAGTGATGATGGCGATGATGGCGGTGATGGTGGCAATGATGACATCTGAGGGGGCATCAGTAGCATTTGCTTCTCCTGTTGACCCAAATCTTTCCTGTGCTGGCTGTGTCCAGATGGGGACTCGGGGACTCAGCCTTAGTTTCCCTACCTGGCCACTAAGGGAATTGGATTTGGTGATCTCTGGTGGCATTTCCAACTCTGAGAGGCTGTCTATGGATTCCATCCCTGCTGGAGCAGGTGGGGCTGAACCCCTTGCAGATAGGGGGCTCGTGGTGGGAGTCTCCCTCAAAGAGGAGCTGGGTGCTGGGGGTCTGTTACTGGGTGAGATCTGAGCTCCTTTCTCCCTCTTGGGACTCAGCCCCTGTACCTGCTGGTCTGGTTAATGTATGTGGGGCCCAGGGCCAGCTGCCCACCTGGCCTCTGGTGATCCTCTGCTCGAGAAGCCCTTCCTGCTTCTCTGTTGGGCAGTGGTCTGTGACCCCGGTGGCAGGGCTGGGGAGGAAAACCAGGAGCCATGGAAACCAAACCTTGACTCTAAGTTGCTGCTGGGAGCCCCGCTGTGGGGGCTGGTTCTCTCGGGTCTAGGTGGCCAGCAGAGACCCCATTGTCTCTTGCCCTGTTAACATAGGCTTGCCAGATTTAGCAAATAAAAATACAGGATGCCTGGTTAAGTTTGAATTTCAGATAAAAAACAAAAAGCTTTTTTAGTATATTGCATGGGAGATATTTCTACTAAAATAATCTGCTGTTTAGCTGAAGCTGAAGTCTTTTTTTTCTTTTTCTTTTTTTTTTTTTTTTTTTTTGAGATGGAGTCTCGCTCTGTCACCCAGGCTGGAGTGCAGTGGCGAGATCTTTGCTCACTGCAACCTCCACCTCCCGGGTTCAATTCTCTGCCGCAGCCTCCAGAGTAGCTGGGATAACAGGAACCCACCATCACACTCGGCTAATTTTGTATTTTTAGTAGAGACAAGGTTTTGCCATGTTGGTCAGGCTGGTCTCAAACTCCTGACCTCAAGTGATCAACCCACCTCGGCCTCCCAAAGTGCTGGGATTATAGGCGTGAGCCACCGTACCTGGCCACTAAAGCTGAAATCTAACTAGGCATCCCACATTGTATCTGGGAATCTACTTTCACACCAAGAGTAGGAAAAGGGTCCCTTGCAGGCCCCCTTCTTCTTATTTCAGGCTTCTGCTCTCATCTGAGGGCATGGCTGTTTCTAGAAGGTGATTTCAGAACCTCTGGCTCTACACTGTGCTGCTAAGGCCAGAAACATTTCACGGGGAGCCGGGAGACCTGGTCTTAGCTCTGCCACTGACTTCCTGCTGGATGTGGGCCAAGTCACTTGTCCTCTCTGGGTTTCATTTCCTCATCTGAGCCCCCATGAGATGAGCTGAGTCCACTCTGCAGTTCACTGTGGAGGTGAAGTACCCAGACCCTGGAGTTGAACACACTCCATTCTCAGGCTGGCTCCAGGCGTGGCTGGAGCTGCACTTCCGAGCCTCAGTTTCCACATCTGAAAATGAAGAAACAATATAACACCAGTTATAATGGGTTCAGGGGAAGATAAATGAGCCCATGCATGTATAAGACCCCTTGCGCCGTGGGTGCCCTGGCAGTGCGCACAGCTCTGGTAGCTCTGTGAGTCCCCTTTTCTCCAGCATCTGTCCTTTCCCTCACACCTGAGAGGATGGGAGGAGACGAGGACAGCTCAGACTGCAAGTGCTGGGAGCATAGGGTGTCTGTAAAGCTCCTTAGCGTCCTCAAATGCAGGCCCTGGCCCAGCGGAGGGGCAACGGGAAGTTGCCTGGGCTATTCATAGCTGTTGTGCTCTGGTTGGCTCTGGGAGGCAGAGGTTGCTCTGGGATCCTGAGTGAGCACACAGGGCACCTCCATCCAAGAGCCCTTCAGGAACCTTCACCTGGGTGTTGGTGGTGACTATGGTCATAGCTACTGAGAGCCTCCAAACTAGGACACAGAAGTTGATTCTGCAGCATAAGGAAGAGCTTCCTGCTGGCCAGGTCTGCGATGGGCAGGGAAAGAGGGGCATGGAATTGTCAACCTGGGAAGGTTTTTAAGAGGAGCCTGAAGCTCACTCCAGCAGCTGGGCTGGCAGCAGGAGGAAGGGGTTACACTTGATGACAAGTGATGAACTTGGGGCCTCCCCAACCCCTTCACCCAGTGTCTGACTCTAGCTAAGGCCAAGTAAGGGGTTTCTAGTTGGCCTTACTGGTGGGAGGGGGGAAGCCCCCAGAAGAGGAGGTGTTGCCAGTCACCTGAGCTGCTGGGAGTCTGAGCCCTCCAGGAGATGGGTGTGTAGGGATGACATCACAGGAAGTGATTCATTCCCCCAGGGGCTGTGTGAACTGGTTATTTGGAGAAACACTTGTGTTTGGGGTAATTGTGTGCCCCAGGGTGTCCCAGCCTAGGAAACCCTTAGGAATCCTCGACTCAGCATGTGCTGCAGGTCCCATCCCCACACCCCAGTAGGCTAGCCCACCACCCTGTCCACCCCCGACTCCAGTGGGCTAGCTCACCACCCTGTCCACCACCCACCCCAGTGGGCTAGCCCACCACCCTGTCCACCCCTGACTCCAGAGGGCTAGCTAACCACCCTTTCCACCCCCCACCCCAGTAGGCTAGCCCACCACCCTGTCCACCCCCGACTCCAGTGGGCTAGCTCACCACCCTGTCCACCCCCCACACCAGAGGGCTAGCTCACCATCCTGATGACCCACACTCCAGTGGGCTAGCTCACCACACTGACCCCCACACCCCAGTGGGCTAGCTCACCACCCTGATTCCCTGGATCTGGCCAGACTGCCCTGGCTATCCTTGTCCTTGCCTAAGGAGTTCAGGTGGCTCATGCCAATAAAGACAGGGGTGGGAAGTGTGAGGAATCCATCTGCGGTCCTGTGTGGCCCTCCTTGACTGCCCAGAGGCCAGAACCAGAGCCTGAGGCTGGAGACCATAAAGAACCTTTATTCTTTGGGATGCAGAAGGCCGGCCTTGTAGGAGACAGGGACATTCTCCTGCACTTTCCCCCAAGCCTTCCCCACCACTGCAAAAGCAGCAATGCAAGACTGAGTCAGGATCAGACAGCGGTAGAATTGGAGGGGCATAGGGAGAAGGGACTCTGCAGGCCTCTCAGATGCATTTTCTGGAATTCTCTGTATTTCAGAAAATGAAAATGCCAAAACAGAGTTCGAAAACTTGTGGTATGTGTAATGTGTACATCGAGTAAATTAATGCTTTTAACTCGCACAGAAGAACAATGAGGCATAATTGTGCTCCTCAGGGGAAAATTACAGGATTGACACTGACACTAATTTCCAGCGACCGACAGGCTGCCGGCCCCTGGCTGGACACATTCTCTGCTCCGTCCTGTCACTGTGTCACTGCAGCAGGAAGAACACTATTCACCAGAAGAGACATTAAAAGTTCAAGTTTCAGGGTCCCTGGAGAATATGAAGCTGGGGTCCTCCGCAAGTTCCACAGGGCCCTGACAGGCCCGGGGGTTGTAAAAACTGGACTCAGAATGGAAGAGGGTAGCATTCTTGAAACATAAAATATTGACATCACGAAGGGCCTCAGAGGTCAGCCACCCCTTAATTCTGTGGAACTCCCTGCTCCCCTGGGTCCTAGCTGCCACTTGCCATTTTGGGACTGGCTGGGAATCTCTCCCCCTCCCTCTGGCCCCCCAGGCCCTCCGCTTTCCGCCTCCTTACCCCTTCCTGGCATTTCCTGGATCCTAGTCTTGGAATGTCTCCTCACTCTGAGCCTTCTTCTCTTCCCTTCTCAGCTCCCATCCCTTTTACTTCCAGCTGGTCTTTGCAGGCTGTGTGACCTTGGGCCAGTCACTTAGCATCTCTGAGCCTGTTTTCTTCGGAGTGACATCCCTTATTGTTTGTACCTGCGAAGCTGGCACCTTTATTTTTTCCATTTTATTTTATTTTTATTTTTATTTTTGAGATGGAGTCTCACTCTGTTGCCCAGGCTGGAGTGCAGTGACATGATCTCGGCTCACTACAACCTCCATCTCCCAGGTTCAAGTGATTCTCCTGCACTCCTCTGCCCCCCAAGTAGCTGGGATTACAGTTATGCACCACCCCGTATTTTTAATGGAGACAAGGTTTTGCCGTGTTTTCCAGGCTGGTCTCGAACTCCTGACCTCAGGTGATCTGCCCACCTCGGCCTCCCAAAGTGTTGGGATTACAGGTGTGAGCCATCTCACCCTGCCTAAGTTTTTATTTTATTTTATTTTATTTTATTTTTTGAGACAAGGTCTCGTTCTGTCACCCAGGCTAGGGTGCAGTGGTGTGACCATGGCTCAGTGCAACCTCAAACTCTTGGGCTCAAGTGATCCTCTGCCTTAGCCCCCCAAGTAGCTAGGATTACAGGCCTGAGCCACCGCGCCCGGCCAATTTTTTTCCATTTTACCTTGAGGAATTCCACAATCCACAGAATGCGGACATGCTTTGGGGAGAGGATCGGTGACTCACGACTTGGACTCTAAATTCAGGGCCCTATCTCTCAGGGACATTCTGGTCCCCAGCCCCTGTTTATCTCTTCTGGGAAGACCAGTGAGTGAAAGCTGTCCCTCTTCTCCAGCCTCCATTCCTGGCTGGGCAGAGCTCCACTTGGGAGAAAGCTGGTTCAGCCTGCGCCCTCAGCCTGGGCTCTCTGGGCGTGCCCCTCCCCAAGCAATGACAGGGCATAAGGCACCCACTAGTGTGATTTCTGTGAATGAGGGAGAAGACAGGACACAGCCACATCATGTGTGATTCTAGACTCCTGAGAAAATGCCTGAGCCTGCTGAGGGGTCTGGGACATCAGCCATTGCCCTCCCTCAACCTCCAGCAGCCCCAGCCAGCCCCGGGGAGAGGATGCAGGGGAAAGCTAAAGCCAGGGTTGCAGCCAGGGGACTGGGGGTTGGAGCTGCCCCCTCCTACTGTCTGGTGCCCACACCTCCCATCTCAAGGAACCTCCTGTGGTCTTTTCCCCAGGGCCGTCTGCTCCCGGGCACCTGCTCTGTGCTGGGTTCTGGCACTCGGTGATGATACGGCCCATGGCCACATGTGAGGAGCTTCCATCCTAGTTGGAGAGTTAAACAAATTTCAGGATGTGGGTTTCAACAATTGCACACCTGACCCATTTTCTTGGTCAGGGAGGAGAGTGAAGGGAGGTGCCAGGGTCCTATTAACGACAGGGCCCTGTGTCCTCTTTTGTCCGGGTCTGCCCACTCCTCCATGCCTTTCAGATGCCCTCTGTGACTGTAATGATCATGATGGCAGCCCTGGTTTTTTGTTTTTGTTTTTGTTTTTTTTTGAGACGGAGTCTTGCTCTGTCACCCAGGCTGGAGTGCAGTGGCACGATCTTGGCTCACTGCAACCTCCGCCTCCCAGGTTGAAGCAATTCCTCTCCCTCCACCATGCCCAGCTAGTTTTTTGTATTTTTAATAGAGATGGGGTTTTACTATGTAGGCCAGGCTGGTCTTGAACTCCTGACCTCAGCCTCCCAAAGTGCTCGGATTACAGGCATGAGCCACCATGCCCAGCCGGCAGCCCTGTTTTAAGTGCTCACTGCACCATCTCAGTTAAACCTCACAACAAGCCTGTGAGATGGGGACTACTATAATCCCCATTTGCAGACACGCGGAGACACAGAGAGGTTAAGAGACTTTTCTGAAGTCACACAGCCCACAAATGCCAGAGCTGGGATTTGGACCCAGGTCCACCTGGTTCTAAATTCTGTGAGCCTAACCCTGTGACTGCCCAGGCTCTGAGACTCTTCTATGTTGCTGGGTAAGTGAGGGGTGAAGTGAAGGCAGGGCAGCAGATGAGCTTTGGAATCAGACCCAGGCAGGGGCCAAGCACGGCTGTGCCCCATCACCCTCTGTGTGACCTCTCTGTATTTCAGCTCATTTTCTGTAAAATGGGGAGAAGAATAATCACTCCCCTATTAGCAGGCAGGGGCCATGGGGATGGAATCAGAGAATGGAGTAAAAACCCTCCGTAGACTCTGTGGACCCCACAAGGGCAAAGCCAAGGATGATTTGTCTCTGCTTTCCTGGTGCCCAGCATGGGACCTGATGTACAGTAGCTACCCAGGAAGGTACGTTGAGGCAGAGCCACTGGCAGCACTAATGGGAGCCCTGTGTGCCCCAGGGAAGCTGCTGGCCTTTAGCTGGAGCTCACGGGGTGGCGGCCAGTACCCCGGGACTATCAGCCTCCAGGCAGATCCCTGGCTCCAGGCAGAATCACCCACGGAGCTGGTCACCCCAGGAGATTTGCTGGGCCCTGCTGCCTGACCCTACGGCATTTCTTGTGGCTTCATTCCAGGACACCTAGCGGCTGGCACCTGTGGGGCTCCTGGCAGGCCAGATCCTGGCCAGGCGTGCAGGGGAGCCACAGGCTCAGCCAGCAGTGCCTGCTCTTCAGCCTTTTCGTCCGATTCTGCCTGATTCTCCCCCTCCTGCCCCCACCACTCATCCAGCACAGTGCCCCAGACGACCCCCAAGAGCACATTGGCCCCCACCCCCACCCACTCAGTTTCTGCCCCCAGGATCTGGCCATGTCCAAAGTGCAGGATAGGACAGTTGGCAGGGAAGCATTCCTCTGTGACTGCTGTATTTCTCTTCTCCCTAGAGACCAGGTGGTACATTTCTGAGCTGTTGACCTAAGATTTGGCCGGTGGAGCCCCAGTGGGCCGAGGCTTCTGGGAAGCAAGTTGCAGCCACGCAAAAGGAAAAGCTTTCTAATTACCTGAACTGTCAAAGCAGAGAGGGGTGTGAGGTAGTGAGCTGTCAGTCTTTGGGAGTGGGCAGGGGGCTGGCCGGGATGACCTCCAAGGCCCGTCTCTGACCCAAGGCCTATGCTATGCAAGATGCTCCCTGGTCTCTTCTGTCATTTTAGGGCAGACAAGGACAAGAAGATCACAGGCACCACCCCCCTCGCCTTGCCGCTGTAAGATGTGGGTGTGTGGTGGGGCCAGGGGGCTGTGGCTTTCCTGCCTTGGTGCCGCCACCCTCCCTAGGCCTCCCTGGCCTGCTGCCAAAGAGCCATGCAGAGGAGCTCGAATTGCACACTCTCTCAACACATTCCTGTTTCCTTCCGACATCCCTGATCGTCTCCTCCTTCCAGTCCCCGACAAGGGCATGCTCAGGGCACACACGCACTCATTTTAATACCAGCCAGGACAGCTTCTCACTTTGCTATCTGGGTGACCTGAGTAAAGTTACTTAACTTCTCCGAGATTTCTTCATCTGTGAAGTGGGGACGTAATCTCCTACCAGGCTGGTAGGAGCAGGGAAAAGTAAAAAAAGAAAAGAAAGCTGATCAGCTCCAAGCCTGCCTTTCTTCATGGTCCAGGACGCATTGCCCTCCTATGCAAGTAACTCACAATCTTCCTGCACCCAGCTTTCACCAGACCCCTGCAACTGAGCTCCCCGCGGCCTGGGCATAATCAGTACTGCACAAAGCCCTCTTCAACAGACAGATAAACATCGTCCTATAAAATCCCCAGCAAGTCTTTGTTTCTTTGCAGTCGGCTTCACCCCAGAGAGAGGCTTCTTTCTTGAAGGCTGACTTTTGTGTCTCTGGCGATGTATTTTCCTACTTTCTGTAATCAATCTGCTTTCCTTTACACACAGCTGTCCTGGTAAATTCTTTTACTCCTGCATTACCGGCCGTCATTACCCTGTGACAAGTAACACCTACCTTGGTCGGGGAGCAGGAGTTGGAGTGAAGTCTAGATGAGATCATGGATAGCAAAAGCTAAGCACGTGCCTGGCACACGGCAGGTGCTTGAAAATGCAGGCTCTTTCCCTGCCCCACTAGAACCCATGGAACATGCTGCCTTATGCCATAACCAGTGGGTGAACCTGCACCTTACCACAGGAGGCGGGCAGGGGTGGAGAGTAGTTGGTTTTACACTCCTCATCCCGCCCTCCGCGTCTCCTTTTGTGAGATTCTCTAAGAATTCACCCCATTCTGCCCATAACCTCTCTATTGAACCTGATGCAACTGGCCCTGCTGTGGGCATGAGGTTGGTGGGCATTGCAGGGTGAGTAGGAGGACGCTGCTCTGGGCGGCGCAGACGAGATGTGAAGTGGCCCCCAGGAAGGTCTGAACCAGGGCCATGGGGGCACAGAGGAAGCACATAAGGTTTCTGGCTGGAGTGAGTTGGGCTGTCTGGGGATTCTGAGAAGAGTAATTGTAACCATGGTGACAGCATCTAACGCTGAGAAGTCATCATCTCAGGGAATCCCTCCAACAGTCTAGGAAGTAGCTCTTGGGATTGTGTCCATTTTACAGCGGAGGAAAATCGAGGCAGTTGAGTGACCCAGTTGGAGGCCATGCTCCACACAGAACCCACACTTCACTCCATGGAAGAGGTGGCATTTGAAGTGGGTCTTGAAGAATGCAAAAGACCCCCCTGCCCCCCGCCCCATGACTTGGCCCAGCAGAGATGGGGGAGCAGCCTGGTGAGGGGCAGGCTCATCAGCATAACAGTGGAAACCATGATGATATAACAGTGATTACCAAGACACCTGACAGGGTGACTCCTGTAGTGGTAATGATTTGGCCTTTTTTATTTGGAGGGGTGCTTTCAAATCTGTGACCTCACCTGACTGTGCATTTGGGGACATGCCAGTACTGCATATCTGGGGGTTGGTTAGGTCTGGGGGCTACATCATGAGACATCACCAAAGAGAAGCATCTTGGAGAGGATTATTAGATTTGGAGGAAGCCGGGAGCAGCTCCAGAAAGCTGGCGCAATACAGCCCACTGCAGGGTGGCCTGGGGCTCCCCACAAGCTCCCACTCCTGCCTGTCACACCTCCCAAGGGCAGCCCTTCATCCATGACCAGGCCCACAGATCTGGGCACCTGAGAGATAAGGAAAGGCAGTATAAGCCCCGTCTCCCAGCCCCGGGGCAAGGGTTGGGGTAGGATGCCAAGGGAATGAGAATCAAAGGCAGCGCAGGGCTCACCCGGCATAACCTGCCTTGCTTGGGTGCCAGAGAGAATAAGCAGACCCCTCCTCCTGCCTCTTCCTGGTGGTTTTCAAAGCTCCTGCTGGGGTACCTGCCGCTCTTCTGTAGCTGAAGCTGACCTGGATGGGGGTGATGGGAACCAAGTCTTGAAGGCAGTGGGGCTGGGAACTAGAATAGGCCCCTCCCCATGCCTGTGGGAGTGGCCCTGGGCCTCAGACCTGCATAGCAGGTGTCTCCTGCAGGAAGCCACATTTCCCCCAAGGCCTGACCCCTCTAGGCACTGCCCACTCATCTGTTACTCACAGGGGAGGGAGACACTGAGACCAGGAGCCCAGCACCCCAGAGAGAGGTGAACAGAGGTGTGAGCTATTGAGCAAGTTTGGGGTGGGGAGGGAGCAGATCTAGACTACAGGAAGCTAGGCTGGGCTTGGAGGGTCTTGATAGCCCCAGAGAAATTGTACCTGTCATTTCTTCCCCCTTCTTTCATCATCATCATCATCGTCATCATCATCATCATCATCATTTTCTACCAAGACTCCAAATAGGGGGCTGTGACTTAGAGATGTCAACTTTTGCCCAAAGCTAGGGATTGGCTCCACAGAGTCCTGCTTCCCTTGAAAGGGCTGTGTCTGGCACCGGTGGTCCCTGAGTGGGGTGGAGCAGGAGTCACCCATGAGCTAGAAACCCTTCTGCTGCCAGCTGGGTGCCCTGGGCTTGTGGCTACTTGCTCTTGGAACTCATGGGCCAGGCCGACTGGATTCAATCATGACTCAGCCACCTCCCCGCTGGGCAGTCCTGAGAAAGCCACTCCACCATCCTGAGTCGCTGTGTCCTTGTCCAGAACGCGTTGATTGTGCCCCTGGTTCATGCCAGGCACTAAGCTGGATGCAGAGATGACAGCAGCGATGCAGACAGCATAAAACAGAAAAAAAATCTCTGCATTTTAGAGGGAGAGACTGCAATGAGCAGATATGTGCTCTGTCAGGTGGCTGGGAGGTGGCCGGTGCCATGGGCTGGAATGAAGCTGGGGTTGGGGAACCAGACTCATGGTGTCATTTGTGTCACGCCATTTGCAACAGGCAAGAAGGGTACATCAGAAAGGCCTCGTATGCTACCCTGAGAGAAGGAAGTGAGGGGCTGGGCGGACCGCAGGGATTGGTGACAGGAACATTCCGGACAGACAGAGCTGCAGCCCTGGCATGCTTGAAGAACGGCAGGAACAAGCAAGAGGGCGTGGGGAGGGAAAGCAATGGGTCAGGAAAGCCTGGGAGGCCACACAGGCTCTGGTGACAGCCTCTGAGCAGGAGGGATGCAACGGGACTTCTATTTTAAAAGGTCCCTCTGGCTGCTATGTTGAAGCTGGACTGTGGGGAGAGAGGGGAAGCAGGTCACTGGCCTATGATAAAAATCCACATGGAAGCAACTGGTGGCTTGGACAGGATGTGAGCTGTGGCAGAGGTGAGAGCGGTCAGGGTCTGCAGTTGCTATGAAGGTGGAGCTGATGGGATTTGCTGAGGGGCTGGCTGTGCGAGTGAGGGAACAAGAGGAGGTGAGGCTGAATTGGAAGGTGGAGCTGCTATGGACAGACTTGCGGTGGGTTGGGCAGGAGCAGGTTTGAAAGGAGTGGGGAAGGAGTGGGCATGGGGAAGCAGGAGTTTGGCTTTGGATGTGTGAAATTTAAAATGCTTGGTAGGGCTGGGCGCAGTGGCTCACGCCTGTAATCCCAGCACTGTGGGAGGCCGAGGTTGGCAGATCACTTGAGGTCGGGAGTTCAAGACCAGCCTGGCCAACATGGCGAAACCCCATCTCTACTAAAAATACAAAAATTAGCTGGCGTGGTGGTGAGCTCCTGTAATCCCAGCTACTTGGGAGGCTGAGGCAGGAGAATCGCTTGAACCCAGGAGGCAGAGGTTGCAGTGAGCTGAGATCATGCCTTTGCACTCCAGCCTGGGTGACAGAGCACGACGTTGTCTCAAAAAATAAAAAATAAATAAAATAAAATGCCTGGTAGACACCCAGGGAGAAACTCAGAAAGCAAGAAGTCTGAGAGTTCTAACCATATTGATGTGGCAGGTGGAGAAAACCAAGGGAGTGGGTGTAGACAGAAGAAAGGAGGAGAGGAGAGGGGAGGGAGGGGAGGAGAGGAGGAGAGGGGAGGGAGGGGAGGAGAGGAGGAGAGGGGAGGCTGAGCCCTAAGCCAGGTGCGCTGGGGCCAGCCGCACTCTGAAGAGTACCAGTGTAGGGATTCTGCCCGTTGCCGATGGTGCCTATTCCAATTACACATTTCAGAACTTGTTGGGGTGGGGCGGAACCACACATGGGCTCAGGGGCTACTGGACCCACTGTAAGATGAACCTGAGCTGAAACTCCATGGATCACCTGGCCTCCATGAGCCCCTGCTCTGCCAGGTGGGCCGCAGTGTTGTTTAGGGTCTCCTAGACCAGTTCAGGGCCGGTGTGCAGGAGAACTAGAAATGTACGATTATTTCCTTTTCCCCAGTGACAGTCACCCTGGTAAAAAGTTGTGTGTCCTCTCGGGGAAGGCTGGGAGAAAGTTGAACAGTGTGTTTGTGGCAATGTACCAGGGTCCTTCCTCAAGGAGATCTGATTGTTTAATTTTTAAGAAGGTTATGAACCCCTTGTTAAACACAGCCACTATTTAAAATTAAATATACACACAATTAAGCAAATTATATTAAAAACAAAGGCAGTAGTACTGAAAACTCATCACTGCTTAATTATTTTACTGCATTTTACCATTGTCCAGATATAGTGGAAATAGTGATGTCACGAGGTGCTATTATGCAGCTCTTTGAAACTCTGAGTCCAATGATGTTGGGCTGGTAACTTGAAACTGGCTAGAGTGGGAGTGTTTACACCACAGACATTGGTCAAGGCTACAAATCAGGGCTTCATTCATCGTTTTATCAAATGCCTAGAGTTCAGAAAGTGATGGAGACAGGTTAACAATGTCAACTCAATTTAAAAGTGTATTGCGTCTATAGCCATGACATTGTGGTTAGTACCAAAAATTGATGAAATGTTCCTCCAGGATTATCTGATTCAGCAAAGAGGTTGCTCATATCCTAGATGAATGAATGAAGGGTGACATGCATCTTCATTGTTTCCCCTTTCATCTTATTCGTGAATGCCAACAAAAATATCAACCAACGTTTACGTCACATATCAGATTTAGTGACAATAAACTTATGGAGGAAAGAATGAGCAGATTGGGATGCAATTGCATTGGTCAAATCATGGTCAAATTGCAACCACAGGTTGGCTACAGTTGCAAGAGAGGGCATCTGGAGGAATCAATGTACTATATAGAATTTACAACACATTTTACAATAAAGAATTATATGTATTATACTATTATTTTTACATTATGTGCTACACACTATTTACATCAGTAAAATTTATAATAAATTTATATATACATATATATGCATAAGAACCCCCCCACTCCAGAGAGCTGGTTGTTAAACATTTGCCAGCACACCACTGCCTGGAGTTAGGGGGTAAGGGGGAGTGACACAGCAAAGGCATTAGAGGAAAGGCCACGGAGTCAGAGGAGAGCAAGCAGAGCCCGTGTCCCAGCTGCCAAGTGGGAAAGTGTTTCAAAGACAGGTGATCATCTGGGCCAAGTGCCTCTGACAGGTCAATGAGGGGAAGAAGAGAAAAGACCCACTGGGTTTGGCAACAGTGGAGTTTCCTTGGTGTGGTGGGAGGAAAGGCTGATTAGAGGCAGGTTGCAGACGCAAAGAGAAGAAATAATTGGAGGTGTCAAGGGAGCAGAAGAAATGAGGAGGTCAAAGGAGAATGAGTTTGGGGATGGGTGATATTCACGTCTGTGTGCTGGGTGCAAGGGAGGGGAGAAGGGGCAAGGCCAGTGATGCCCTTGAGTAGGGGATGTGCCCCAGGAGGGCTGGTCTTGGGCAAGAGCCCAGACAGCACACCCCTCTTCCCAGGAGGGCAGGCATGGTCGTGGACTCAAAGGCAGGAGGGCTGGGAGATGAGGTGGTGGGAGGAGGGAGGTTGAAGGCTCTGAGTGACAAGGGGGAAGAGTGGGGAGGCTTCTGGAGATAGGAGAAGATAGGACATAGTCCTCTAGGACACTGAAAGAGAAAAGAGCCTGGAGCAATGCTGTAGGAGCACGAGCATGTCACGCATCCATTGAGGTCAGCAGTCATGAGTCCAAGTGAACCATGGTCAGCCGCGTGGTGCAGGTGCAGAGGGGGTGGAGAGTTGGATCTGATTGTATAGCTGGAGCTCTGCCAGGCAGCTCAAGGGAGGGAAGGATGAGCAAAAGATTAGGGAGTGGAGCAAGGGGGTGGCCGCAGCGGGGGACTATGGGATCTATGGGACTATCCTGGGGAAGGGAAGAGGGAACATGAGGGATGAGGGACAGCAGTGGGGGGCGAGTAGAGAGGACTCAGCCTTCAAAGGTCAAGCGTCCCAGTGGGCTGAAGGTTTGGTTGCACTGGTGTGTTAGGAGTGAGCTGGAATATTGGGAAGCGGTGTCCGAGTGGGTTGCTAACAGGGGAGCTTGTAGTGGGTGCAGTTTTTTGATAATAACATTCTATAGCACCTGCCCCGTGAAGGAGGGGATGAGGCCAGGTGGAGGACAGGAGCATTGGATGAGAGGTCAAGGGACTGAGGGACCAGGGTGCAGCACACCATCTACATCGCCATTGAAGTATAAACTGGTGACGGCAGCCGGCTGAGGAACATGGCAGGAGCTGGCACCCTCGAGATGAGGACAGAGCGATGGTGTGCAAAGGTGTCCCTGTAGATGGGTGGTGTAGTCTGGAAATGTCAATGCAAAGCTGGGGGTTTACGGAGTGAAGAAAGATGATGATCTGGAAGGGACATTGAGGAGCATGAAGGACCCTTGCCCACCTCCAGGCCCAGGGGCTGGAGGGAGTAAGGGGGAAGCAGTCACCAGGGAGATGGCTGAAGGGGAGGCCATGCCTGCTATTGGGGGCAGGCTTCTTTTACAGTACAAGATCAAGGAAACTGTCCAGGGTGGGACTGAGGATATCGTGCAGATGATGGTGGCTGGGATTGAAAGGGAGTTGGGGAGGATGAGGAAGGGGGTCAGATGAGAGGATGATAGTCCAGGAGACTTGGGGTTTCCATGGCAACTGATGTAAACGATGAGGAAGAGCAGGTAAGGTGCGAGGACCCCCAAAAGTGCTGTGGAATGTGGTGATTGTAAGGCCAGGAGTGGGGGATGGGGGAGGTGGGTCTTGCCAGCAGCCTGCAGGGGCTCCTGGGGCCCCTGCACACTCCTGCCTCTTCTGTAAAATGGGGATTATAATCTTTGCTTTGGGGGGTTGTGATGAGCATTAGGGAGCGCCAAGTAGGACTCGTGATTGTTGGAATTAGGACTGTTGTCACCGCAGTCAATGGAGACAGTTTTTTGATGGGGCCAAGTGATCATGGCAGAGGTTGTGGAGGGGGTCTGGTTTCTCCAGAGGGCTGAATATTTGGGTGGTTTTTTAGGGGTCCAGGAAAGGATGAAGGCGGGAGAATATGCAGAAGGACCCCTTTTGCAGAGTGGCAGAAAGTGAGAATCCAACCATTTATTAACAAGTGTTTATTGAGCACCTACTATGGGCCAGACACTGTTACAGGTGTTGGGGATGCAGCTGTGAGCAAAACAGACAAAATTCCTCCAGCAGCATCTTTGTAGTCAGGTGGATGTCTGTAAGTGGACTTGACCTTGGGTGGTGTCCTGGTGGCTGATGGCTCTGCCGTGGGGGATGATGTTGGAGAGCCCTGACTTACAAAGGAAGAACAAGCACCAATGTGTAGTTCTCTCATTCAACCTCCTCTCCAGAGTGTGAGCGCCACAGGCTCAAGAGCCTCCTGGAACTCTGGGGATTAGTGCAGTGCCTGGCACAGAGAGGCCATAGTTCACGCTTATGCAGGGGATGAAGAAGAATGAGATGCCACCCACAGAGGCCCTGTTGGTTTTGCTCTGCGTGCCCTGTAGCCTGAGTTTGCAGTGCATCCCCCTCTGATGCTGTGGGCCAGGAAGGCTGGCCCCAACCAGCTGTGGCTGGGAGCAGCTGGTGGTGTGAGGGGTAGGGTGGGGGCCCGGCAGATGAGTGCCCCAGGCTGGGGCCAAGGCAGATGGGAGGCTTCTCAACACCCATTTCTTGATCCCAGAGCTCTGATGTATCAGGTGAATGCGGTGTATTGGGTGATGGAAAGAAGTTGCACGGGGTGCTGGCATTAGTCAAGTTCTAGATCTCCACTCAAGTGCAGATGGGCTTGAATCCCCCTGCAGAGTGGCAGAAAGTGAGAATGCATCCATTCATTCACACGTGTTTATTGGGCACCTACACCTACCATGTGCCAGACACTGTTATAGGTGCTGGGGATGCAGCTGTGAACAAAACAGATAAAATTCCTGCCCTTGTGGAGCTGACCTTCTAGCAAGAGAGATGGACAGTTGACTGGCATTGAGGTGGGAGAATCGCTTGAACCTGGGAGGCGGAGGTTGCAGTGAGCAGAGACTGCACCACTGCACTCCAACCTGGGTGAGAGAGTGAGACTCTGTCTCAAGAAAAAAAAAAAAAAAGAATCAGAGCAGGGGAAGGGAGATGGGGGATCAGTCGGGGGGAAAGGTGGGCAAGGTGCAGCATTAAATGGAGTGATTGGGTGGGGGCAGGAGCTTGCTGAGAAGGTGACATTTAGGCAGAGCCTTGAAGAGGGTGAGGGAAGGAGACTTGTGGACATCTTGGGGAGGAGCAGTCCATGCAGCAGGAGCGGGCAGTGCCAGGACAGCCTTGCCATCTTCATGGCACAACAGGAAGGCCAGCGTGGCTGGAGCTAAGTGAGCGAGGGAAAGCGTAGTAGGGAGGAGGCAGTCAGCAAGGTGGCAGGGGCGCATCAGAAGGGCCTCTTATGCTACTCAAGAGGATTCTGCCTTTTACTGAGTTTGATGGAAACCACTGCTTTCCAGCAAAGGAACAACACGCTCTGCTGTGTGCAAAACAGACTGGAGGGGCCTGGGTGGGACCACGGACCCATGAGAAAGCTGCTCGGTGATCCAGGCGAGGGGTGATGGTGGCTTGGGCCGCAGTGATGTCAGTGGAGGTGGTGAGAGGTGGTGGGTTAGTGGATCTCTGTTGAGCTGGAGAGTTTGGAAGTGTCAGATCTGGAAAGGACTTGGGTGTGGGCTGGGGGTGTCCAAGGGTTTACCATCTATGCCCTGGCTTCCAGATGCTCCTGGCCAGTGGCACTGCCCTGTGCCTCCCCAGCCTGACTGTTGAGGGGTGCCATTTGAACGGCCTGGCAGCCCCAAGCCCCCACCCCACTGTGGCCACTCCCCTGAAGAGAGATGGGAAGACTGGTTCTCTTCCCATCTCTCTTCTCTGCCAGTGATGTGCCCAAGGGTGCCAACAGCTTCAGGGTCTCTGGAAGCTCCGGGGTGGAGGTCTTCATGGTCTACAACCGCACACGTGTGAAAGAGCCCATAGGCAAGGCCCGTTGGCCGCTAGACACTGATGCAGACATGGTCGTATCTGTGGGCACAGCCAGTAAGGAATTAAAGGACTTCAAGGTAAGAGGCCACTTTCTCATAGAAAAGGGTTGGATCTCTCCACCCCCATCCAAGGTAAGAGCCCCACATTGGCAATTCCCATTCCAAAGCTCCCCACTTAACCAAACCTCACAAAGCTTATCACAGTACATACACAAAACGTATCCTGATACAATGCCACTGACGCCCAAAACACGCAAACCTCCACCACCACTCCAGTATCACACATGTACACGTGAGTACTCCCACAAAACACAAGCTCTCCTAGTCACCCCCTCAGATTCACAGACAACTTCACATTAATCCCTGTATTCAGCCCACACACGGACCCAGCAAGATGCCCCAGTGCTCTCGTGTGGGCAGGACCGCACAACAACAACCCGTGCAGGTGCACACACACACGTCCACATCTTTGTGTGCACGGATCTCCCACACCTAAGCCAACCTTCTCTCTCATCGCCTGCCCGAAGCTCAGACGAGTCCCTCCTCACTCGCCCCAGCCCCCAGCACCCAAATCCTAGACATGGCCCTTTCTCCCCGACAGGGAAAAGGCAGGGATAAAGCAGCTGTTGAGGGAGGGGCTCAGGAGCCCACTGTGGGCTCAGACCCCACCTCCTCTGCTTGCTAGCTGAGGGACTGCTGGACTGCAGGCAGGGTCCGGACAGTCTCCTGTCGACTGGGGCCATCCCAGGGGCTCACTGGGATGACCCGGCTGGAGGGCTTGGCACGGATTCTGGACCACGCTAAAAGCTCCAGGACCACTGACTGGGGTGATGGAGTGGGGGTTCTCATTCCCATCTTATTGAGGAACTACCCGAGGCTTAGAGGAGCTGAGAGACTTGCCTAAGTCGATGGAGCCGGCTGCTCCTCCCTCATCTGCCAGCTGCTCCTGCTGGGAGCTGCCCCACCTTTCCCATCCCTCCACCTTTCCCCCACCCTCCTTGCTCCTCACACCTGCTCTGGGAACCAAGGTGGGCTCCACAGCCACTTGCTGGAGAAGGTAGCTCTGAATCCCAGCCGGGAGCCCTTGAGTCTTGGGACTTCAGAGACTGGGGGGGTCTCCAGGCCTCCTGTGCCTCTAAGTAGGGCTGTCAGGATGTGTCCCTCATCACCTCTGCCTCCGCCATCTCTGAAGGTGATGGCCGTGCAGGCTTAGGGCTATGTTCTGCAGGTGAGGGTCTCCTACTTTGGGGAGCAGGAAGACCAAGCTCTGGGCCGCAGCGTGCTTTACCTCACTGGCGTCGGTAAGTAGCAGCTCCCTGGCTGCCCATCTATCCCTTTGCCCCTCCAGGTTGACTGTTTGAGGGTCTTAGTGGATTCCTTGGAGTGGAAGACCCATGGCCAGCTTCCTCCATCACTGAGGGGCTTGGATTCCTCGGGACCTTCTGTCCACTCTGGAACCACAGGGATTGAGACCCAGCAGTCCTTAGGACCACAAGGATCTAGAAACTTCACTGCCCAGTGAACAACGGCTAGACCCACAATAAGCCTCCTTCATCCAGAGTCCCACGTATACCCTCATTAGACCTCCAAGACCCAGCACGGAACGTGCCCCCTTCAGCCAGGGCCAGGGTCAATGTAACGGCAGAACCCAGCCCCTGCAACCTCAGGCCATGTCCCCAGTTCTCAGAGTTTGGGGTCACCAGCATATGATTTGGAACCCCAAAGCCACCAAGAGCTAGCAGGTGGACATGCACAGGCAAGCAAGTGATTCAAGAGCCAAAGGCTTGGGTCCCTCCAACTCCCAGAACCACAGGGCAAGCCACAGAGGTCTCCCAAGTGTGGGGTCTGACCCCCAGACAGGGCTTCCAGTCCTCACGGGCTTGGGGAGGGGTCAGAGTTTGCCCAACCTGGACTTTAGGGGTGTGAAGATGGGGCTGGATGAGCCCCTGGCAGCCCCTCTCCATCTCTTTGCAGATATTTCCCTTGAGGTTGACACAGGCCGCACAGGCAAGGTGAAGAGGAGCCAAGGGGACAAGGTGAGACCCTTCCGGGCACCCCAAGGCTGCGGGGTTGAAAGGCAAACTTGGGGTGGTCCCGGGTGGATTGTGCCCTCCCTCCAGAAGAATGATGGATCCCCAGGGTCTGTAGTATCCAACCATGTAGGGAACCCATCTGGGACAGCAAAATTGGCATGAGTGGACATTAACCTACACCCTGTAACCGACATGCTGTGTGACTGCTGGAAAACAGCTTACCCTCTCTGGGTCTCTCTTGTGCCACTTTGAAATTGGGATTGGTTCTTTTGTTGCTGCCTTTTTTATTTTGAGGGCTATATTTGGACCCCTACACATGTGGGAGTGCTTCCTAAAAGATTGTTGAGTGACAGAAGGCAAGGAGAAGACAAGCCTTGGGGTAGAGGAGGCTATGGTGGTCAGCCCCAGGTAACACCTGAAGAGTAAGGAGGAGGACAGAGTGGGCTCAAGGCGTCACCCCACAGGAACTATCTGGAAGCTGTCCTGGGAGGGGTAGAAGGTACAATTTAAAGGGAAAGACTCCAGAGAGGCAGCCTGGATCACAAAGCTTTGAGGACAAGGTGGGCAGGGCTGCCATGGATGGCTGCGTGGGTTGTTCACTGCACAAGACTGCTTGGGCATGGTGGCAACTATGATACAAATCATGTCTAGGGCCCTGCTGCAGAGTGGCATCTACCCAGAGGGTGGGCAAGAGTGCCATAAAGGCTAACAGTGGCCCTGTGCAATCCCAAGAACCTGGGTTTAAAGGCCAGCTATGCGGCTTGGGACTCACCTCTCAGAACCTCCCCGCACCCTTCTGTGAAATGGGGAAAGTAAGCCCTGCCTTGTGGGTCTGGTGGGGAGGTGTGTTGGGGACAGCAGCAACCACAGAGGCAGGGAGAGCTCCAGCCATGTTTCCCGACTTGGCTCAGACCTCAGCTTGCAGAGCCTGCAGGACTGCATGCGGATGCCAGAGATATCTATGGGACAGGTTCCAGGAGAGTGCTGGGATGGGAAGGGTCTCCCAAAGATTCTCCAGATCCCGACCCTCATCAAGGTCATGGCAGGCAGCCTCTGCCCACCCCCGCCCCACAGGCAGAGCTAAAGCTTAGCCAGCTTTTGAGGGCCATTTCTTGGTGTGGTAATGACACCTTTGCTTCTCCAGTGTGATGGCTGGGTAGAGCCATTGTGTATGGTTGTGCAGGTTGCTCACTGCACAAGGATGAGGTGGGTCTAGAGCCTTATCTGGAACTCCATTCCCCAAATAATCCTTTTTAAAATCTTTAAGCAAACTAAAAATATGAAAATCTATAATCTAATAAAGCAGCCCGCCCTGGCCATGTCTAGAACCCCTTCCTGGAGCCTCCTGGGTCCCACTGATCCCAAGGCATCTTATTTTGCCACAGAAAACCTGGCGCTGGGGCCCTGAGGGCTATGGGGCTATCTTGCTGGTGAACTGTGACCGGGACAATCACAGGTCCGCAGAGCCTGACCTCACCCACAGCTGGCTGATGTCGCTGGCTGGTGAGTGACACAAGGTGTTGTCTGGGGAGTGGGGAAGGGGGATGGAAGTGGATCCTGTTGGTGGGGTGGAGAAAGGGCGATCTCAAGAGGGCCACTCTCTCCAGACCTGCAGGACATGTCCCCAATGCTGCTGAGCTGCAATGGCCCCGACAAGCTCTTCGACAGCCACAAGCTTGTCTTGAACGTGCCCTTTTCTGATTCCAAAAGAGTGAGGGTCTTCTGTGCCAGGGGTGAGTGGCCTGATGGGGCCTTTTCCTCCCAGCTCCATCCATATCTATCCTCTCCTCCCCCATCTCTCTCTCTTTTTTTCCATCACCTTTTTGTAACTCTCATTACAGCTTACAAACAACCACTCCATCAGTACCAAATATAGTCCTCAAGGAGGAGGTTCAACAACAACGAGTTCCATTTTATGGAGAGGAAAACCGAGGCTCAGATGCAGGAATTCACTATGGCACAACCATCTGGGGTGGAGCAGGCATTCCAACCCAGGTGTCTTGGGTGCACCAAAGCTCCTCCTTTTACCATTGCCCCACACCCGTTCCCTCCTCTGGTCAATCAGCGTGGACTGAACTGCATGCCAAGCACTGTCCAGGCAGGGAGGGCGTGAGAACCAGTGAGGCTGAGGCCCGGGCCCTGCCTCTGGCCCCAGAACCTGTCTTTCTCATCAGAGTTTTTATTAATCAGCCTGTGGCTTAAAAAAATATGGCCAAGGCTGGGCGCAATGACTCACATCTGTAATCCCAGTACTTTGGGAGGCGGATCACCTGAGGTCAGGAGTTTGAGAGCAGCCTGGCCAACACAGTGAAACCCTGTCTCTATTAAAAATACAAAAATTAGGCCGGGCACGGTGGCTCACACCTGTAATCCTAGCACTTTGAGAGGCCGAGGAGGGTGGATCACAAGGTCAGGAGATCGAGAACATCCTGGCTAACATGGAGAAAACCCGTTTCCACTAAAAAATACAAAAAAATTAGCCAGGTGTGGCGGCAGGTGCCTGTAGTCCCAGCTGCTCCGGAGGTTAAGGCAAGAGGTGGAGCTTGCAGTGAGCTGAGATCACGCCACTGCACTCCAGCCTGGGCGACAGAGTGAGACTCTGTCTAAAAAAAAAAAAAAAAATTAGCTGGGTGTGGAGACTCATGCCTGTAGTCCCAGCTACTCGGGAGGTTGAGGCAGGAGAATCACTCAAACCCAGGAGGCAGAGGTTGCAGTGAACCAAGATCATGCCACTGCACTCCAGCCTGGGTGAGTGAACCAAGATCATGCCACTGCACTCCAGCCTGGGTGACAGTGCAAGACTTCATCTCAAAAAAAAAAAAAAAGAAAAAGAAAAAATTGGCCGGGCCCAGTGGCTCATGCCTATAATTCCAGCACTTTGGGAGGCCAAGGCGGGAGGATCACTTGAGCCCAGGAGTTTGAGACCAGCCTGGGCAACATGGCAAAACCTTGTCTCTACAAAACATACAAAAAAATTAGCCTGTAGTCCCAGCTACTCTGAAGGCTGAAGTGGGAGGATCACTTGAGCCCAGGAAGTCAAGGCTGCAGGGAGCCGTGTTCATGCCACTGCACTCCAGCCTGGGAGACAGAGTGAGACCCTGTCTCAAATAAATAAATAAATAAATAAATAAATAAATAAATAAATAAATAAATAAATTACCACTCCTTAACCCCGGACTGCTCTTACTTGTTTTTACAAACAGCAACAGGCTTCTACCCCTTCCCGATTCCCCTTCACCCTTCGCTGTTCAAACTGACCCAGAGCTTGTTGTTCCAGCTAAATGAGCCTGGCAGGAGCCAGAATGTTCCCTCCCATGCACCAGTGGTGGATGTTTAGGCAGAGGACTCAGCTTAAAAGTACTTAGTGTGACACCAGGGCGTAAGCAAAGTCTCGACAAGTGAATGGATAGCCTCTCTTGCCGTGTGCAGCCACCAATGTGCTCTCTGTATCTCTGAAATTCCCTATCTGGATATTTCATATAAATGGAACCATACAATAGGCTTCTTTTAGTTAGCATAATGTCTTCAAGGTTCATCCATGGTGTAGCATGAATCAGTGCTTCATTACTTTTCTTATGTTTTAGAGACAGGGTCTCACTCTGTTGTCCAGGCTGGCGTGCAGTGATGCTATCACGGCTCACTGCAGCCTTGAACTCCCGGGCTCAAGCGATACTCCCACCTCAGCCTCCCGAGTAGCTGGGACTACAGACATGTGCCACCACGCCTGGCTATTTTAAAAAATTTTTTGTAGAGATGGGGTCTCCCTATGTTACCCAGGCTGGTCTCAAGTGATCCTCCCGCCTTGGCCTCCCAAAGTGCTGGGATTATAGACATGAGCCACCATACCTGTCTGGTCATTACTTTTTACGAATTAATAATATTCCATCTTATGAATATATTACATTTTGCATATCTATTTATCCATGGGTAATTTTCACCTTTTGTGCCAGGTGCTTCTATCTCTTTATTTAGTTTAAAGTTTATATTGGCCTCATGAGAAAATGTTAGCCATTTTACAGATAAGAAACTGAGGCTTAGAGAGGTTGAGTCATTGAGCTAAGGCCATGCAGCTTGCACGTGGCAGAGCCAGAGAGGAACCCAAGCTGCTCTAACCACAAAGGGGGCTCTGTCCTGGATTCCTGGGCTTGCAGCCCCTCACCCCTGTCTCCTCGCTAGCCCCTGACTCTTGTTCTTCCTAGGTGGGAATTCTCTCTCGGACTACAAACAGGTGCTGGGGCCCCAGTGTCTGTCCTATGAAGTTGAGCGACAGCCAGGGGAGCAGGAGATCAAGTTCTATGTGGAGGGGCTGACCTTCCCCGATGCCGATTTCCTAGGGCTGGTTTCCCTCAGTGTCAGCCTGGTGGACCCGGGGGTGTGTACAGCACTGGGGGGTGGCCAAGGAGGCTGAGGGGTTTGGGGGCCCAGTTTGCAGGCTCCAGGGCTGGGCAGGCTGGGGGCTGGGGGGGCTTGAGGCAGGCTAGGGGTCCCTGCAGGGCCCACCAAGTCCTCATTTTCCCCTCAGACCCTGCCCGAGGTGACCCTCTTCACAGACACTGTGGGCTTCCGCATGGCCCCCTGGATCATGACGCCCAACACTCAGCCTCCTGAGGAGCTGTATGTGTGCAGGTGAGGCTCCCTCCCTCCAGCCCTCCCCCAAGTCTGGAGTGCAGAGGTAGGGACAGAAGCTGCCTCAGGGCTGCGCCCCTCACTCACACCGACGGATTCATTGCGGGCACCCATTCAGGCAGAGCTGGTGGCAGGACAGCAGCAGGTGGGCTGGGGCCCCACCCTGCCCAACCCTGACCCACCCTGCCCTGTGCAGCTAAGGCCTCTCCCAGGTCACTGGCTCAAGCTCTGGCTTTCCTGCCCATCCTGTCCTGTGGCTGCAGCCCCAGAACATCTCAGATTTAGTCTGGGCAGTGGAGCCAGGCCCTGCACAGGCTGCTGGTGGCCATCGGAGACCTACCCTCACTGTAACATGGGTACGATCCCTTGCCTGCTATGGACATGGGAACCCAGTCTCTGCAAGCCCGATCTCACCCAGCTTGCTGGTCCTTCTGCCGTCTCTCAGAATCCTCATCATGCCCTTGAGGGAAGGATCAGCCTCGATTGGCAAAGCCCTGCCAGGCCTCTGTGCCAGAGGTCAGACCACTGGAAAAAGCCACAGTTGAGCTGGTCATAAGTTAAAAGGCTGGGAAGGGTGTGGCCAAACAGGTTTGCTCTGCTTCCCCGGGTCTAGGTGTGTGTAGGTGTTAAAAAGAGACTGTTCTCCTGCTTGCTAACCCCACCCTGACCCCTTTGCTTAGGCCAATTGTGTGGAACAGGAGTAGATGGGGCTACCTGCCCCTCACTGCTATTTTAACCCAAAAGATTCAGCCTCAGGTCACCTCTGTGGCGACTTCCCTGACTCCCTGTGCTGGGTTAGGTGCCCTGCCTCTGGGCACCACTGCCCGCGCTTATGCCTCACCTTGCACCTGTCACCTGATGTGATCTGGAGACTTTATCCATCTTCCCCATGCGCCTATGAGCCTCTCAAGGTCATGAACTGGAACCCCTGTACCCCAGAGGCTGCACAGGGCCCAGCACAAACTGAAGGCCACTCACACCTCAGCCACAGTCAGAGGCCATTAGCATGCTCCCCTCTCCCTACCTTTTACAGAGTGATGGACACTCATGGCTCCAATGAGAAATTCCTGGAGGACATGTCTTATCTGACATTGAAAGCCAACTGCAAGCTGACCATCTGCCCTCAAGTTGAAAATCGAAATGACCGCTGGATCCAGGTGGGAGCTGGGGGCAGCTCGGGAAGCCTGCAGCCTGGCTTGGGGAAAGGGAAGCCGCACAGGTGCCTGATGGACCCAGTGTCGCTAGAGAAGCCACGGCAGCCTGGGCCAGGCCTCTGGGGCGAGGGCTTTTCCGCTGCCTGCATCAGCCCCAGCCTCCACTGCTTCCCTCCAAACGCTCTGGTCCCAGATGAAAGTCCTCTCCTGGCTGGGGTCCTAAGAGGCCTCACTTCTACCTCTGCCCCTCACCAGGTCTTAGGGAAGACCCGCTGCCCTGCCCTGCCCCAGGCCTGGTGGGGACCACCCTGTTCTGTAAACCACCCGAAAAAGGTCACTGTGGCTTTTTCATCTCTCCCCTCCCAGGACGAGATGGAGTTTGGCTACATCGAGGCCCCTCACAAATCCTTCCCCGTGGTCTTTGACTCCCCCAGGAACAGGGGCCTGAAAGATTTCCCCTATAAGAGGATCCTGGTACGTAGCGACAGGTAGAGTGCAGAAACCCTGGTTGGGTCCTCCTGGAGGCGCACCAGTGAAGTCTCATCTGGACCTAGTCCTATAGGGCTCAGAGAACAGGAAGAGGGGGCAGAAGGATACAGGAGGTGGGATGTCAGCAAACTGGGGAGCCAGTGCGGAGTTTGGGCAAGAGAGGAAATGATATGCAAATCACATGCAAATAGGCAGCAGCCTGATTGTTCCTGTGTTGGGAGGGGCAGGTCAGCAGCCCTCTTCTGGATAAGGCGGCTGGTCACCAAGGGGGAATTGGCAGTGTGGTCAGCTCTGGGGAGACCAAACTGCCTTTTGGAGAGAATGCACCCTTAGTGAGCCTGCACGGCTCTTGTTCTTAAGAGCTAGGGCCTCTCTTTAGGTGCCAAATGTTTTCTGAACACCTACTACGTGCCAGGCACTGTGCTACCTCCTGTGCACAAGATGGCAACAGCAGCACCCACCGTTACTTATTGAGTTCCAGGCACTGTCTCCTAGCTTTCCATGGCTTACCTTATGTATTCCATGGGGTACTCCTACAGATAAGTGCTATCATTATTTCCTCTTTATGGATGAGGAAATCAAGGCTCAGGGAGGTTAAGTAACTTGCCCCAGGCCATGCAGCAAGTTAATAGTGGCACCAAGATGCAAAACTAGGGGGGCTGTCCCCACAGCCCTGCACTCAGCCTCGAGGCTGCACTACCCCTCGAGGTGAGTCCACAGTCTCTGCCTGTTTCCCGGCTCCCACTCTTCCACTGCTGGGACGGTGATGGTCCAGGTAGGAGCTGTGATGGGATGCAGTCTGTGGGCACACAGAGCAGGGACATTCAACCCAGCCTGGAGGGATCAGGTGACAATGAACCCTGTAGGTGAGTGCACCCGCCAGGGCCAGCGTGCTGGAGGGGGACCCACCTGACCTGCCCCGGGCTTGGCCTGTAGGAGCCAGGGGATTTTTTCACTGATTTCTGCTCTCATCTTTATCATTTTCATTTTCTACTTTCTTTGTGTTTAGTTTGCTGTTCTTTTTCTGGCTTGAAATGGAAACTAAGATGTTTCAGCCTTTTCTTTTTATTTTATTTATATGTATATATATATTTTTTATTATACTTTAAGTTCTAGGGTACATGTGCCATGTTGGTGTGCTGCACCCATTAACTCGGCATTTACATTAGTTATATCTTGTAATGCTATCCCTCCCCCATCCCCTCACCCCACATCAGCCTTTTCTCTTCCTAAAAAAAACACGTGTTTGTTTGTTTGTTTTTGAGAAGGAGTCTCACACTGTTGCCTGGGCTGGAGTGCAATGGCGCGATCTTGGCTCACTGCAACCTCTGCCTTCCGGGTTCAAGCGATTCTCCTGCCTCAGCCTCCCGAGTAGCTGGGATTACAGGTGTCCCCCACCCTACCACCACGCCTGGCTAATTTTTTGTATTTTTAGTAGAGATGGGGTTTCACCATGTTGTCCAGGCTGGTCTCAAACTCCTGACCTCGTGATCCACCCACCTCGGTCTCCCAAAGTGCTGGGATTACAGGTGTGAGCCACCACGCCTGGCCTACTTTATTTTATGAAACAGGGTCTTGCTCTGTCACCCAGACTAGAGTGCAGTGGTGCAATCCTAGCTCACTGCAGTCTCCACCTCCTGGGCTCAAGCCATCCTCCCACTTCACCCCCTGAGGAGCTGGGAGCACAGGCTTGCCCCACCACGCTCAGTTTAAATACACATGTCTAGAGCTCTGACAACTCCCTAGCAGTGCTGCCTCGTCAACATCTCATGAGTTTTAATGTGCTATCAAAAGACAGCAGATTTTTATGAATTTCACTTCAAAATCTTGTCTAATTTCCACTTTGATTTCTTCTTTGATCCATGGATTCTTTAGATGTATACTGCTTAATTTCCAAACATTTGGGGGAGTTTTTAGTTATCTTTGGTTATTGATTTGTCTTTAATCGCATGGTTCGCAGAGCCCAGGGGGGATTTGTAAAAAGTGGACAGAGATCGTTTTTCAGGTACTAAGAGCCATGGAGTGGGAGACCCCCAGCAACTCCCCTCTACTCCAAGAACTGCCTCGTCCTGTCCTCACTGACCTCTCCTTCTTGGGGTGGGGGTCTCGCTGGTTCTTCCATAGGGTCCTGACTTTGGATATGTTACCCGGGAGATCCCGCTCCCTGGTCCCTCCAGCCTTGACTCCTTCGGCAACCTGGACGTCAGCCCGCCCGTCACGGTGGGCGGCACGGAATACCCCCTGGGCCGGATCCTCATCGGGAGCAGCTTCCCCAAGTGAGGGGCTGGGGCGGGAGGTGGGGAGGCACAAGGGAATGACTGCAGCATCCACCCTCCCTGTGCCCCCATCACAAACACAATTCCCCAGTCTGAGAAGTGATCTTAACTTCCTGCGTGGAATCCTGGAATCAAAGACTCGGCAACCTAGGATCTCAGATTTAAAAGATCAGAGAATCTTAGGAGAAAAGTCACACGCTTGTGGCCTGCGATCTTTTGGCCTACCTCATTTTATGAGCTTAATGAGTCACCAACATAAACAGATATCGGGAGGGCCTCCCATAAAAAGGCAGGTTTCTGGCTTCTCATGAAAAATTGGAGAAGCTGGGGAGGTGAGATACAGTCTGGCACAGAGACAGAGGAATAGACTCATTGACTTCTCCCATTAGGAAGTCAGAATAGCTTCTGTCCTAACCATGGCTTAAAAGGGTCCTGAGGTCATGAAGTTCCCAGGGCAGGTGGCTGCAGGTAAGCAAGTGATTGGCCAGGATACCCTGATGACAGAGGTGAGTCAGTGGATCTCACCCTGGACAGATGTGATGGAGCAGGAAACAAGGTATTTAGGTTTTAACGCTCAAACAGGTGGCGATGTCTGTTAGGTCCTGCTGAGTGGGTGCACACCCTCCCTGCAGGTAACCAAAGAATGACGTGTGCAGTTCAGGGTCCTGGTGGGTCCCCCTGTTTCCTCCCTGGAGATGACACCCACTGTAAGCCCTGGAGATCACCTTCCTGTTTGTGGGGTTTTTGCATAGCAGGGGTGCCCCCACTTACCCCCCAAGCCCTGGCTGACCATCTGGTCTCCAGCCCAGAGGAGTCAGGCAGTGCTGAGAAGGTCACAGCCTCACCTGGTGAATCTGGCAGCCTCAGAGCTCTGGATCGGATGAGGCGAGGCTTCCTGGCACCTACCCAGGCACGTAACTGGGTGCCCAGACAGGATGCCTGGGGCTGAGACTGGCCAGGCGAGAGGCATGTGCTCACCCTGTTGGTGACTCATGCCCAGACACTACTGTGTGGGCTGTTCTACCCACACCCTTGGGGGCAGACGGTCCTTGAGGCCTCAGGACAGTCTTTCTCTAACTCAGGGAGGAACCCGTGAGGAAGGAGCACAGGCTTTGGAATCAGATGGACTTGGGTTTGAGTCCTGGCCCTGCCACTTGCCAGCTACATGATTTGGGATGAGTCCCCCAAACCAGTGTATACCACAGTGCCTGGCACACAATAGGTACTCAATTAATTCACTTAAAAATATTTATTGTATGCCAGGCACAGTTAAAGGTACTGGGGATACATCAGTGAACAAAACAGATGCATTTTAAATGAGCAAATTATTTTGTACTCCATGCCTCAGTTTCCTTATCTTTAAAACGGGCCTGATGAAAATCCCAGTCCTAGCTACAGAATCAGCATTACTGGGGATAAAGAATTCGTGTCAACCACCTCTTGAATGCTTAGGTATTTTTCATTTGGCCCCAGTAGTGGGGCTGCTTCAAAGCAGGTTGGAACTAACTGGAAAAATGTATTGACCAGCTACTACCTACTACATGTCACACCCATAGTGCTTTCCCCAGGCTACCTCATTTAATTTCTACAACAACCCTGTGAGACTGAGACCATCATTATCCCCACTTTACAGATAAGGAAGCTGAGGCTTGGAAAAGTTAAGTTACGTGCATTCTTTCATACATTCATTTACCAGTTCAGTAAATATTTATGGAGACTTCCTATAGGCCAAGCCCAAAGTCTAATGCTGGGGATACAGAAATGGCTGAGGAGCTTGCCCTTGAGATTTAGAGTCTAATGAGGGAGACAGGCAAGCAATGGATCAGAGAGGGGATCACATATCATCCCACGTGCGTTGTCCTAGAAGGCTTCCTAGGGGCAGCCAACGATATTGACGCTTCTTTGCGAGGCCAAGGTGGGTGGATCACCTGAGGCCAGGAGTTTGGGACCAGCCTGGCCAACATGGTGAAACCTCGTCTCTGCTAAAAATACTAAAATTAGCTGGGCCTGATGGTGCACGCCCATGGTCCCAGCTACTTGGGAGGCTGAGGTAGGAGAATTGCTTGAATCCAGGAGGCAGAGGTTGCGCTGAGCTAAGATCAAGCCACTGCACTCCAGCCTAGGTGACAGAGCAATACTCCGTCTAAACAAACAAATAAATGAAGGAAAGAAGGAAGGGAGGGAGGGAGGGAGGAAGGGAAGGAAGGAAGGAAGGAAAGAAGGAAGGAAGGGAGGGAGGGAGGAAGGGAAGGAAGGAAGGGAGGGAGGGAGGGAGAGTGGGAGGGAGGAAGGGAAGGAAGGAAGGAAGGAAGGAAGGAAGGAGGGAAGGAAGGAAGGAGGCAAAGTAGTGTGGAGTGGACCATGTTGCAGGCAGAGGGAAGCGCTCAGGCAGAAGCCTGGAAGCCAGAGAAGGTACAGCTCAAAGGAAAAGTCGAAAAAACTCGGTATGGGTGGCATGTAGATGGGCAGGGATGGACCGGTAGGACCTCAGGCAGGAGGGGGCTCTGCGGGTCCAGCTGGGGACAGAGTTCAGGGAGAAACCATTCTGTTCAGATGCCTCATGGGGCAGTTCTCTCCTCCAGGATCCTTGGGACCTGGGCTCAGGAGCAGAGAGCTCAGAGGATGCAGGCTCAGGGGCGGAGAGCCGGAGGATGTAGGCTCAGGGGCAGAGAGCTCGGAGGATGCAGGCTCAGGGGCAGAGAGCTCAGAGGATGCAGACTCAGGAAGGGGAGGGGCTCCTTGGTGTTCTCCAAGGACTTTGCTCCCTTCTCTGTCCCAGGCTCCTGCCCCAGTCTCTATATCACACTGCAACACATGGACATCCTTACCTGTCTGCTCCCACAAGCCTCACGAGCCAGTGAGCCAAGCCAGGAACCTTCTCTCAAGGGTGCAGGGGTCTGCTCTGGGAACTCCCAGGCACAGAGCAAGGACCCCACATGGGAAAGTGAGGGGTCTCCTGTGTGGACGTGTCCCCATTCCATTGGCTGTTGGACTGAAAACCAGGAATGAGGCCTTTGGTGGATAGATAGGACCTGAGGTTTGAAAAGGGTTGGCTACGTATTAGGACCACATAGCAAGTTAGCAGTACGGTCAGAACCCAGGTCTCCTTCTACCTGGGCTCCAAACTCAAATTTAGCACCTCAGGCTGCTGTCCAGTGACCCTGCCTTGGTTTCTGACCTTAGCAATGGACAAACCAGACAACCAAACATTCCAGCAGAGAGAAACAGACAATAAGTGAACAAAACAAATAAGTACCTCCAATCATATGTATGAATATAGTATGAATGCATGAACAAATGCATATAACTTTAATTTTCTGGGACTCAACTCCCTCACCTGTAAAATGGGGACAGTAATAGTCCCAACCCCACAGGGCTGTCATAAGGATTAAATGAGGTAGCCTGGGTAAAGCATGTGTGTGGCACATGTCAATAAATGTTTGTCTCAGCTTTGCTGAGAGTCTGCTGTTTAAACAAAGCCTTGAAGGAAAAGAGGCAGTTAGGCCAAGCACAGTGGCCCTCACTTGTAGTCCCAGTGCTGTGGGAGGCCGAGGTGGGGGGGTCGCTTGAATCCAGGAGTTTAAGACTAGCCTGGGTGGCATGGCGAAACCCACCTCTACAAAAATTACAAAAATTAGCCGTGCGTGGTGGCACATACCTGTTGTCCAAGCTACTCAGGAGGCTGAGGTGGGAGGATCACTTGAGCACGGGAGGTTGAGGCTGCAGTGAGCCATGCACTCCAGCCTCTAGGCTGGGCAACAGAGTGAGTGAGACCTTGTCTCAAAAAAAAATTAAAAAAGAGAGAGAGAAAGAAAGAAAAAAAGAAAGGAAGGAAGGAAGAGGAAGAAAGAGAAAAGAAGGAAAGAAAGAAGAGGCAGTTAAAGATGTGGCTACTTAGGAGAATATTCCAGGGTGTAGAAACAGCTGTGCAAAGGCCCTGAGGCAAGAGCAGGCTGGAGACAGCAGATCAGCAGGGAGGCTGGTGGGCCTGGAGCCAAGTGAGCAAGGAGGGGCGCAGTGGGGAGTGAGGCCAGAGAGCTTGGCCGAGCACGCTTCAGATGTAACTTGGAGCTGGTATTTCTATGTATATCATAGGGTCATCAGGAGGCTTAAACAAGACACTTACTGCGAGGACCCTAAGGACAGCACACAGTAGGTGCTCAAATGCACACACAAATGCACAGTCCATTCTCTGCTGTCTTGGCTTCTCCACGCTCTACGCCCCACGTTTAAAGCGTTCTTTGAGCAATTCCGCCCCCTGGTGGCAGATCTGATGATGACTCAGGCAAGGCCTGATGCCTCTCAGGCACAAGGTGACTGCCCGCCCTCTCCCTCCTGGCCAGGTCCGGTGGGCGGCAGATGGCCAGGGCAGTGCGGAACTTCCTGAAGGCACAGCAGGTGCAGGCACCCGTGGAGCTCTACTCGGACTGGCTCTCTGTGGGCCATGTGGACGAGTTTCTGACCTTTGTGCCTACCTCTGACCAAAAGGTGCGTCCCCTCCTTCCCTGCCTGAGCCACCTCTGCCCTTGTCTGACCTGATGGGATGAGTCAGGGCAAAGCCATCTGGAACCAGCTCAACCCTGTGCCCCGAGTAAGCTCTGGATTGGGACATTTTCTGGGTCAGGGCACCCTGACACGCTCATCCTCACACTTCCAGGGTATTTGTGCTTGGACCCAAATCCCTTATCCAATAGTCAGGAATGATATTGATAATAATTGGTAATATTTATTGAGCACCTACTATGTGCCAGATACTCACATGTTTTAATTCATTTAATCCTCCAACAAGCCCGTCAAGTGGGTGCAATTATTATTGTCCCATTTTACAAGCGAGGAAATTGAGGCTCAGAAGGGCAATTAACCCATCCAAGCTCACCCAGCCTGCAGGTGTCAGGATAGGATTCAAATCCGGGTTCTGGGCCTCTACAGTAAGCCTTGCAGAGGTGGCTTGGGAAGGCATGGCCAGGGAGCCAGCAGCCTGGGAGAGGAGGCTTCCCAGTGACCAGTGGTTACAGCTCTGCTAGGGACAGCTCTGACAGTGAAGGAGGAGACATCTGAATTGGGTATTTTGTTTGTTTTTTGTTTGTTTGTTTTTCGAGACAGAATCTTGCTCTGTTGCCCAGGCTGGAGTGCAATAGCGCGATCTTGGCTCACTACAACCTTCACCTGCTGGGTTCAAGCGATTCTCCTGCCTCAGCCTCCCAAGTAGCTGGGATTACACCACCATGCCCAGCTAATTTTTTGTATTTTAAGTAGAGACAGGGTTTCACCATGTTGGCCAGGCTGGTCTCAAACTCCTGACTGCAGGTGATCTGCCCACCTTGGCCTCCCAAAGTGCTGGGATTACAGGCGTGAGCCACGACACCCAGCCCTGAATTGGGCCTTGAAGGAAGAAATCAGAATGCCCTGGTGGGCAAAATGCGAAGGGCGTCCAGGGAGGGAGAACAGCACAGACAAAGTTCTGGAGGTGGGAACCTGCTTGGAGGACTGGGAGAGTTGCAGACAGTGCTTTGTGGCTGGGGTGTAGACCGAGTGGGAGAGGGGAGTCCCAAGAACTGTCAGGCCCCTCCTGAGTCCTGAGTCTGGGGTCTCCTGTGTCTAAGGGGACCCTGTCCACTGAGCCATTCTCCCTCCCTCCGTGCCAGGGCTTCCGGCTGCTCCTGGCTAGCCCCAGCGCTTGCCTCAAACTCTTCCAAGAGAAGAAAGAAGAGGGTTATGGGGAGGCAGCCCAGTTTGATGGTGAGTGCCAATGACCCGGTCACCCCTGGGGGACCCTGCCCTTTCATCACCATCCTTGGGTACAGCCCCTGCACCTGCAGATCTCTCAGCTGGACTCAGAACCCAACACCCACTCTCTGTTTCTTGGGTCCCCAGGTCCTCTGATGGGTGGGGGAGTTCCTGGGCCACACCCCAGGAGAGGAAAGGCACAGGAAGTCATGAGTGCCCCAGGTGCCGGTCAATGCCAGGCATGTTCTTGTTCTCACTCCCCTTTGATCTCTCTCCCCTCTTCCTTATCCCTGTTCACAGAAGTGGAAACTGAGGCTCAGAAAGGTGAATTGGCTTGGACAGGGCTATGCAGCCAGGGAGCAGCAGGGCTGGGGCCTTGAGAGAGGAAGGAGGAGAAGCCAGGCTTGGTCAGGGCCCCTCTGCAGAGCTTCCTGCAGGAGCTAACAGACCCTCCAAGGGCTTGGTTGGCCCATCTCCCCTCCTTATCACAGCCTCAGTGTTCTCATCTGGGGAATACCTGGGGAATAGAGCATTGGAATGGATGTGGTGCAGACATCCACAAGGATAGCCCTGAGTTCAAATCCTGATCTTGGCATTTGCTGGCTGTGGTATCAAGGGTGTGTTCTGAACCTCTCAGTGCCTCAGTTTCCTCTTCTCTGAGTTGTAGATGATAATTAATCCCTCCTATAGTTGCTTTAAATATTAATAATACATTAAGTAGGATGCCCAGAGCATGGCAGACATTCAATAATGGTAGCTGTGCCATAATTATTAGGCTCCAAGTCCAGAGTCACTTCCTGAGGGGTTCCTTATCCATCACCAGGTTTTCCTTGCAGCCATGGCTTGGTCCCTTCAGGGGTTCTCAGTCTCTGGCTTTCTCTGTCCTGGCTTCTGACCCTGGCACTGAGGTAGGAGGGAAATCCTGGCCTGGATTATGTAGCCCCAGGCTGAAGACGGCCTCCAGGCAGTGCTCCCTGAGCTATGTACTGTCTTTCTCTTCTTGCAGGGTTAAAACACCAGGCAAAAAGAAGCATTAATGAGATGCTGGCAGACAGACACCTCCAGAGAGACAATCTTCATGCACAGGTGAGAGGCAGGACCACCAGCTGCTCTAAGGGGTCCTTTCCCTTCCAGGGAGAAGAAGCCCCAGGAACTGGGTTGGGTCAGAGATTCAGCGCTGGAGCTCTCATGGTCCTGGGGGCTGCTGGGGCCTGCAGGTGGGATAGAGCCTCTGCCTTCAGGAACCCACAGTCTGATGGAAGAGACAGAGCCATGCCCTCAGAGAGCTCCCAGCCTAATGAGGGAGACCCGGCCCCACGCTGGGGCAATGACCTATTTTCACAGAAGCAAATCTGAGCCTCTCATCTGAGAAGTCTGGTGAAATGCGAGAGACACGGTGGGGAAATAGGACCTTGAGGGGCCCAGAGGTGGGGTGGGTAAGATTCAGGGGGATCCTGTGGGAACAGGTGAAGCAAGGTGTCAGGAAGGGGCAGGGCTCACCCCAAGGATAAAAAATGCCTGCCCCATGCAAGGCGAAGGGGCTAGCACAGAGTCGGTGCTCAGTTAATGGCAGGAGGGCCCTTACCCCTTCCCGGTAGTGCCCAGCGCTTTCTCCTAAGCTGCTGAGAAGGGACAGGAGCATCAGCCATGCTGTGGCTGGGGCTGGGACAGTGTGTTGTGCTGACAAGAACATTTGCATCCAGAAACTGCCTGGGTTCGAACCCCAGCTTTGGCACATCCTAGCCTTGTGCACTTGAGCAGGTTGCCTGAGCCTCAGTTTCCCCCGGACAGCAATGGTTTCTATTGCACAAAGCTGTTGTGAGGCTTGAAGGAGCTAGCGGGCCCAGAGGGCTCCACACGGGCCCAGCGCACAGTAGGTGCTTGGCCAGTGTTATGCTCTTCCTAGTCCTGGGCTGCCCAGCTGCCTCCTTCCCCAGAAATGCATTGACTGGAACCGTAATGTGCTGAAGCGGGAGCTGGGCCTGGCAGAGAGTGACATCGTGGACATTCCCCAGCTCTTCTTCCTGAAAAACTTCTACGCGGAAGCCTTCTTCCCAGACATGGTGAGAGCCCTTGTGCAGGGTCCTGCTGGGGGGTCTGCGGGGCTCTGAGAAGAAGCACTCCCTGGCCCAGGGCAGGCTGGTGCAGAGGCTGGAGGGCCCTGCGGACCTCTCCAGTGTCTGTTTTTGTGAATATAGAGAACATTCCCATCAGTGGCTCTCAACCAGGGCAATTTTGCCCCCAGGGGATTTTTGTTGCCGCAGTGAGGTGCATGCCCCTGGCATCTGGTGGGTAGAAGCCAGGGATTTCACTAAACATCCTACAGAGCATAGGATGCCCCGCCACAAAGCACTTTTTTTTTTCTCACCCAGATGGAAAAAGAAAGCGTGGTTTGGTTCCAAGTGTTTCAGGCTTCTGTCTCTGGGTCTCAGCTGCCTGCTGTGTTCCCCACCACAGCCCCTCGCTTGCTGCTCCCCAGTGGGGGTCCTGTGTCAGGCGGTGCAGGTGGGGTGGGCGGTGGCCTCGCTGACTCTCATTAACAGGGCAGCTGACAAGGAGATGAGCAGATGTGATCTCAACTGGGAAGGGCCTGAGCGATGCTATCGGGGTGGGCCTGGCCCAAGTGCCCATTAACCTCTTGGGAAAGGATGTTGGGGTGTTGGCAGCTGGCAGGGATGGTCCCCCGGGATGGGGATAGACCCTCTTTCTTCAGACTGCGGTCTTTAGCTTGAATCCCTCTCTTGGGACAAGCCGAGGGTTGGAAGTGAATGTCGGAATCGGGATGGAATCAGGGTTGGAAGTGAAAGTCGGAATCGGGATGGAATCAGGGTTGGAAGTGAATGTCAGAATCGGGATGGAATCAGGGTTGGAAGTGAATGTCGGAATCGGGATGGAATCAGGGTTGGAAGTGAATGTCGGAATCGGGATGGAATCAGGGTTGGAAGTGAATGTCGGAATCGGGATGGAATCAGGGTTGGAAGTGAATGTCGGAATCGGGATGGAATCAGGGTTGGAAGTGAAAGTCGGAATCGGGATGGAATCAGGGTTGGAAGTGAATGTCGGAATCGGGATGGAATCAGGGTTGGAAGTGAATGTCGGAATCGGGATGGAATCAGGGTTGGAAGTGAATGTCGGAATCGGGATGGAATCAGGGTTGGAAGTGAATGTCGGAATCGGGATGGAATCAGGGTTGCAAGTGAATGTCGGAATCGGCATGGAATCAGGGTTGGAAGTGAATGTCGGAATCGGCATGGAATCAGGGTTGGAAGTGAATGTCGGAATCAGGATGCAGGTTGCAGGAGGTGGGGAGGGTCAGTGTGCTTTCCTGACTCCTCATGGGGAGATTCCAGCCTCTAGGTCCTGGCAGAGACCCCCAAGCAGGATTTCTCGACTCTGTAGCTCTACTTCTGTTTTAGGCTGGATAAGCCTTTGTTGTAGATGCTGTACAGTGCCTCGCAGGATGCTTAGCGGCCTCCCTGGTCTCTACCCACTAGATGCCAATAGCACTCTCCCAGATGTGACAACCAAAAATGCCCTAGTGGACAAAATGGACCCTGATTGAGAACCACGGCTTGAAGGCAGTGTTGTCTGTTAGAACATTCTGTGCTGATGAAAATGTTCCATATCGGTACAATACAGTCCAGTAGCCACTCAGCTACCACCTGAAATGTGGCTAGTGTCAATGAAGAACAGAAATTGTAACTTTATGTAAGTTTAATTTTAATTTAAACAACTGCATGTGGCCAGTGGCTACTGTGGTGGACAGCAAAGCTCTAAGGGACTGCTGAGCTCTGGTTCTGGCTGAAGGTGGCGGGGAGGGCCTAGGCTGGAGCGTGTGTGTCTGTGGTCTGGCCTCCATCTGCCGGAAGCCCCTGACTGTGGGTCATCCTGTGGGGATTCCCTAGCTTCGTTCCAGGCTCTGCTGAAGGATCCCAGCTTGTCTTCACTGGAGGGTCCCATAGGGAACACCCAGTTAACCCCTTGGTTTGTCATATGGGGAAACTGAGGCTTAGAAGGAGAGTGGGTCATGTGTCTGAGGTCACACAGTGAGCGAGTGGCGGAGTTGGGACCAGCCCCCAATCCCATGACTCCTCCTTTAGGAGGAAGCAGAGGCCTGGCTGGCTCTGGCCCTGGTCCTGGTCCTGGTCCTGGCTCTTTTCTCCTCTTTCTGCCCTTTGCCCCCTGCATGCCCCACCCCCACTCCCACCCCAGCATGTTCTGGCCCATTAGTGGGCAAAGAGGTAGTTCAGGGCCAAGGCCAGGGGACTGACCTCACGGGACCCTCCAGCTTTATGTTGGTCCCTGCCATGGATGAGGGTGGGGCAGACTTGAGGGTGGGGGGCAGAGCACGGAGAGTTTGAGGGCAGAGTCCAGGACAGGCTCACCTCAAACTCAAGACAGCCCAGAGCCGCCCTCTAGAGAGAAGGTCCGGAGTCCCCTTTGAACACCAAGGGTCACCCCTTATGACCTCTTGCCATCAACCTGGGCTGAGATTTCCTCTAAGAAACCCCCATAGCACAGCATGGGGGAGAATTCCCATCCCCAGATTAGGGCCCCAAGCCAGGTCCGCAACCAAGGGAAGGAGAGGTGCCCCCAGAGTTAAACTCAAGTGTCCCCAAAGGCTTTTTCAGCCCTTTCCCCCAACTCCTCAGTCCCACAGGTGGCCAGATAAAAAGCATGGATTTTGGCACCAGCCAGATCCAAGTCCAAATGTCAGTCTCATCATTCTCTGGCTGTATGATTATGTGACTTAACCTGTCTGAGCCACAGCTTCAGAGGGAGGCTGTGGCATTTAGTGATGATATATCTGGCACATAAAAGATGCTCAATAAATGCTAACAATGATCAGGGCTGCCAAAGACAGTTAAGCAAGCTGTGCACAGCAAAAGCACACCACACTTTGGAAGACATCCACACCACAGACCTTGTAGGTGTGTATATTTGTTGTACAAGTTTCTGGCAGATGACACGAAAATCTCTTGTTCTAACAAAGTTGCTATAATATGACAATTTTCTCATAGATGAAAGAAAGAGTGGGAGAAGTTTTTTTTTGTTTTTTGTTTTTGTTTTTTAATGTACAAAATTCCTGGTAGTCCTGGCTGTTATTCAACCTCATTTCCAACCCTGAATCTTTTTCTCCTCTGCTTTCATAGGCCCTAACTCTTGAGCAAACTCCAGTCCTAGAGCCCTTTCTAGGCTGTGGCTATGGCCAACCCATTCCCCAGGGCCTGTCTCATTCTGGCAAGGAAGGGGTGCCAGAAGCACAGCACTTATAGCCAGACAGCCTCCCTCTTGCCTTTTCTCTTTTGCAGGTTAACATGGTGGTCTTAGGCAAGTACCTGGGCATCCCCAAGCCCTACGGGCCCATCATCAATGGCCGCTGCTGCCTGGAGGAGAAGGTGCAGTCCCTGCTGGAGCCTCTGGGCCTGCACTGCATCTTCATTGATGACTACTTGTCCTACCACGAGCTGCAGGGGGAGATCCACTGTGGCACCAACGTGCGCAGGAAGCCCTTTCCCTTCAAATGGTGGAACATGGTGCCCTGAGCCTGCCCCCACCCGCCATCCTCTCTGCCCTCTTGCTAGGGAACCCTGCCAGGGTGAAGGCAAGGAACAACCACCTGGCCTCCATTCTCTTGGGGGAGTCTTGGCACTTTGCAAACATCCTGGCCACCATGGGCACCAGGACACAGGGATGGATACCACCTACCCTCGCCTCTGGAATGGCCTACCCAACCCGAGAAGAATGCACCTCATTCTTCCCTGGCCTCTTTCCCACCCACAGCCCCCAGAGGCTCTAGATCAACAATGTTAGCATGTTCCAGAATGGCTGTGGGAGGCCTAGGGAGATGGGCCCCACTTAGAATTGCTCCCCCTTCATTCTGATGCCTCCCTGGGGAACAAGGATAATGACTTTGCATCTGCACCTGGAACGGGGCCTGGGGGACCTGGGGTCTGGTGTGCCAGGCACCAGGCTGCCTCTGCTCTTGGAAAACTAGGAAAGGGGATCAGAAACATCCTCTCCCCGCTCTAGGTTTCTTCTCCCAAAGGGGACCCAAGGCTGTGACACTTACCTCCACCCCCATCCAGCACCCTTCAGCTGTGTGTGGACAAACAAGGACAGAAAAACCCAGTGTCCAAGGGCCAATTTAAATAGAAAAAAAGACAACAAAATTTTAATAGCTGACTCCGACCTCAGAAGAGTGATTGCTACCTTTCTGGAAAGACTTTAATTACCAGAGCTGGCTTCTCCCAGCTCAGAAATGCTGAGAAGCCAACGTGAGGCCTGAGGACACACAAAGGATGACGGGGCAGGAGGGGATGAGGTCAGGGTAGCAGAGTGTGTGACGACGGATTTGGGGGCCTAGAGGTGTCCGTGGTTCCTGGGCTGGGATTTTGGACTCTGGATTTGAAGGGAGCTGGAGCTTCCAGATGTAGCAGGGGTAGGGGGCCAGATGTTAGAAGAGGGTGTGTGTGTTGGGAGGAAATTAGGTTATCTCTGAAGGTGGAGTTTAATTTCCTTTAATAGTCTTTAATTATTCCCCTTCATTCTGCAGGCAGTGGGAGGGGAAGGCTTGCCCGGTCTCTCTCAGCAACCCAGGGACCCTGCACATAGCTTAGGTTTCATCCCTGAATAAACCGCTGTGCAGGCCCATGTCCCCTCCCACAGTAGGGAAGACAGCTGCCACGGGAGGTTAATAGCCCGGAGTGAGGTCACTGAGACATGCACAGGCAGGCTGGTTCAGCTGGGCTGCAGGGCACGGGCAGGAGGAAGCCAGCCTACCCTCTTCCCCCACTGCCAGTGAGGCCATTGTAGGGCAGTTGGCCCTAGGGCTTCGGTCCATCTAGGTTTTCAGTGGCCCCTGCTGAGACCTCACACTGAGCCAACTACTGTCACTGTTTTAACCAACAAAAGCTAGCCTGGAACTGCTATGGTTAAAGTGGGTGAGCGGGAACCTGAAAATCCCCTTCTGGAAGGTTCTACAGAACTCTATTTGCAAGCTCCTGCTTTAACCTGAGCGTCCTCTGCTCAGGATCATACCCCAGCCTGCACTGAGTCAAGAAGGAGAAGGAGGCTCTGAAGGGGCCGGGGGTGTGAGCTGGGGTTGGGACTCCCCTGAGAAAGAGCTGTGGGTAGGAAGGGAGTGAGCATTGCAGAGATAGGGCTGGGGGTCGGGGCCACACTGAGTGTGGGAAGCTCTGGAGTTGCTGCTGGGCCATCGAGGGGCCCTGGTGTTGGCTCTGAGAATGTTCTGGGTGACCAGTCACCTACTTTCTGATCAATAAAAATGTCGACATGCATTTCTTACAGGGCTGTCTACCCAGCCTGTTTGTTGGGTTGGGGAGGAGGGGAGGAAAGCGGAGAAGACTGCTTCCAGTTCCATCCACTATGAAGCTGCTTGGCTCAATTTCTGCTGCCACAGGCGGCCCCTGCTCAGCTAGGAGAGCCTCACAGTGCCACGGCCAGTGCCACGGCCAGTGCCAGGCAGGCTGATTCAGCAGGATGGCTGGCACATTGCCTCTTGCTCTGGGGCTGATGGCCCTGCTAAGATGGAGATCAGATCAGGGGAGGGATGGGTCCTGCCTCTTCATCTCTTCTCTCTTCCTTCAGCATCCCCTCCATCTCTCAGGGACAACAGGTCGGGGAGGCAGCCCGGGCCCTATTAACAGAGGTGAGAGTTCCCCAGCAGGGCTGGTTCCCAGGGCCACAGGCCACTACAGTTCCCTTTCTGGTTTTCGTTTTGTTTTGTTTTCTTTTCTTTTGTTTGAGACCGAGTCTTGCTCTGTCACCCAAGCTGGAGTGCAGTGGTGCTATCACAGCTCATTATAGCCTTGAATTCTTGTGCTCAAGCGATCCTCCCACCTCAGCCTCCTGAGTAGCTAGGAATACAGGCACAGGCCACCATGCCCAGCTAATTGCTAATTTATTTTTTACGGAGCTGGGGTTTTGCTATGTTACCCAGGCTGGTCTCAAACTCCTGGGCTCAAGCGATCCTCCCATCTTGGCCTCCCAAAGTGCTGGGATTACAGGTGTGAGCTACTGTGCCTGGCCCAATTCCCTTCCATTTTTGTGTCTGAAGCTTCTAAGTTACCTGGCTTCAGTGGTCTGATTTTGGATGCCTGAAATCATCACCCTCTCATCCTACACATTTGCTGCTGCCTCAAATTACACCGTTTGATACTCACTCACTTTATTTTAGCTTTTGTTGTGGAGTAAGAGGGCAAAAAGTTGCTGCCTATTAGTCATTGACACTTTAGTCTGAATTAACCACAAACCTGTTTCTAAAAGTTGGTATTAACAGAGGAGAAGTGAAGGCATGAGTCTCCTTCCAAAGACATATACAGTTCTCCGAGAAAGAGGCAGGTAGTGGGCCAGCACCCCAGGGAAAGCCCCTACTTTCTGCATCTATTCCCCATCTGTGCTCACAAGAAGGCTAGGGAGACTAAGGCTTCCTCCTGAGCTCGAACTCTTACCCAGGGCTCCCAAGGCTGACTCAGCCATCAAGCCATTCCACAGCTGAAAAAAGTGAAGCTGTCCCTTGACCCAGAAGCCCAGCAGTTCTCCTTGAAAAGAACATCTTTCCCAAAAACTGAGACATGGGAATGACAATCTCAGGGTCCTGTTGAGGCCCTTGAACTGGTGCAGATGTCCCAGCTGGAGATGCTGGGGAGCGGGTCCTGGTCCCCATCCTGTCTCAGGCTGTCAGCACTGCCAGGGAGAAGGGAGGAAACCTCTATTCAGCACCTCCTGAGCCTCCGCCAGGCAGGGTGCGTCTTCACTATTATCTCCGCCAGGGCCAGTGATTAGCTGCATTTTCTACAGATGAGGAAACCGAGTCTCCAAGAGGGGGGACACTGACACCCAAGGCCCTATAGTGGGTGCACGGTGGAGCCTGCCTCTGAACCCAAGACTTCTCTCCCCAGAGCCCTTGCTCCTGCTCTTCCAGGAGCCTGAATGCCCCTCTGACTTCGGTTTCCCACCTGACGACTGAGCTTTCCTACTCTGACATGCCAAGCTCCCCCTGGCTGGAGAGAGTTCTCACCCTCATCATTTACCGCTTTCAGAGGTTTTTGGGACCTAATAACAGCAACAATAGTAATACAATAACGCCAAGCTCCATACCAGAGCTCTACCAACGCTGGCCCCTGAGGCCTCACAGCAACCATTTTTCAGACGAGAAAAGTGAGGCACGAACAATTAAGAAAGTTGCCCGGCCGGGCATGGTGGCTCACGCCTGTAATCCCAGTACTTTGGGAGGCCAAGTCGGGTGGATCAAGAGGTCAGGAGATCGAGACCATCCTGACTAACACGGTGAAACCCCGCCTCTATTAAAAATACAAAAAATTAGCCGGGAGCCGTGGCAGGCGCCTGTAGTCCCAGCTACTCGGGAGGCTGAGGCAGGAGAATGGCGTGAACCCGGGAAGTGGAGCTTGCAGTGAGCCGAGATCACGCCACTGCACTCTAGCCTGGGTGACAGAGCGAAACTCTGTCTCAAAAAAAAAAAAAAAAAGAAACTTGCCCAAGGTCGCCCATCCAGGAAGCAGCTGAGGCAGGGCTGAAACCCAGGTCTGGCTCTAAAATCCATTAAAAAAAAAAAGTTGGTGTTTCTCAAAGGGCACCAAAATGCTTTGGGGGTGCTTATTAAAAAATCCAGAGGGCCGGGTGCTGTGGCTCATGCCTGTAATCCCAGCACTTTGGGAGGCCGAGGTAGGTGGATCACCTGAGGTCTGGAGTTCAAGACCAGCCTGACCAACATGGAAAAACCCCGTCTCTACTAAAAATACAAAATTAGCCGGAAGTGGTGGCACACGCCTATAATCCCAGCTACTCGGGAGGCTGAGGCAGGAGAATTGCTTGAACCTGGGAGGCGAAGGTTGCGGTGAGCCGAGATCGCACCATTGCATTCCAGCCTGGGCAACAAGAGTGAAACTCCGTCTCAAAAAAAAAAAAAAAAATCCAGAGGCCAGGCTGCACCCCTAACCTGCTGGATCAGAGTGGACAACAGACCTGGGAATCCGCATTTTCACCAGCTTCCCCAGCAGAGTAAGAAAGCTCCCCATTATAGTCTCTGAAAATGCAGAAAATGGAGGTGAGGAAGCAAGAAGCGTCCGAGATCAATATCATATATCTCTGCACCCCCTCAACAGCACCTGCCCCCAACAGTTCCTGGTGCCTAGCCAGGTACCTGTGGGGACTTGCTTCCCAAGAAATTAACTTCCTGGGTGCCGGGGTCGGGACAACAGGTTCGTATACAAATACTGGGTCCCTTCCAGCCAATCCTGAGCTCTCAGCTCTGGGAAGGGGCTGGGCTTTCATGACTGGAGCCAATGAATTGGCACCCTGGGCTGGAGGGGTGGGGCCAGGGGCTTTTAAACCTCATCCTAAGGGGCCTCAGGGGCAGTGTTGGGGTTGGCGGCCACAGCTAAGTCCAACACCAGCATGTCGCTGCAGAGAATCGTGCGTGTGTCCCTGGAGCATCCCACCAGCGCGGTGTGTGTGGCTGGCGTGGAGACCCTCGTGGACATTTATGGGTAAGAGTCAGAGGCCTAGTGGTTTGCAGGCCCTTGGTGCTGATGCCCTTGGACCTTCCTCCCTGCAGGCTGGGCAGGGCTTCTTCAGGGCCCACTCCCCAGCCTTGGCCTCGGAACAGCAGCCAATCAGGGAAGCTTGGGTCCTCCTCTTGCTCTACTGAGTTTCCTGAAGACCTTAGCCAGGGAATTTGAAGTTTGGGAGGCTGAGCCAGGTAGAAGAGGCTTCAGTGACTGAGCTCCAGACCGGGGGCTTGGAGGGGGCTGGTGCCGCGAAGAGATGGCACTTTTCTATGTCCAAGGGATGCTGCAGGTTGGGCTGAGGATCTGTCTGGGGCACACAAGAATAGGAACAGGCAGATATCCCCAGCCCCATCCTGAGCCTATGAGCCTAGAAACAGAGCATGAATCATTTTTAAAAAATAAGTTAATACATAGCACTTACCATGTGCCAGGCACTATTCTAAGAGCTTCACAAGTCTCTTGAGTTAAGTTTTGAACTTTAATCTTGAATTTAACCCTTACAACAACCCTGTGAGCTAGGCTTATTATTAGCATCATCTCATCAGACAAATGAGAAAACCGAGGCAGAGAGGGCAAGCCATTTGCTCAAGTCACACAGTTACTAAGTGGCAAAGCCAGGGTTTAAACCCGCTTGTGGTCTTACTCAGGAGTCTTATGGTTTTAGCTGCTCTGATACTTGGAAAATAAAGATTTCCAACCTGGTTTCCTCTAGACACTCAATGCCCATGCATTATGCTCCTACTGTGTGCCAGGTCATGCCTTTGAGGCCCATGGTAGAGGGAGGTAAGGCCTTATCTTCTCTCTCTTAGGAAGAAAAGAGGGTTAGGGTAGGGTTTTAAGAGCTGGGCTCTGGGGACCACCAGGGAGCTGGCTTCTTAGGCTTTTGGGGAGAATCCAGGGTCCTGGCTTGGAGGTAATCAGGATACTGGGAGGGGAGGGTGCAGAACTGTGGGACAGCTCTCACCTCTCAAGTCTCCCAGCCCTCTCCTCAGGCCAGGTTTCTCAACCTCAGCACTGCTGTCACGATACCTCTTTGTCATGGGGGCCACCCTGTGCACTGTAGGATGGAGAGCAGCATTCTGGGCCTCTCTTTGCTAGATACCAGCAGCACACTCCCGAGTTGTGACAACCAAAAATGTCCCCAGACATTGCCAAATGTGCCCTGGGGTGGGAAGAAAATAGCCCACCCATTGAGAACGAGTCTCCAAGACTAAGACTCGAAAAATCAGGGCGAACTTAGTCGGGAGCAGCGATGGGGTTGATCCAGGGCATTGGATGAGAGGGGGTGAGGAGCTGGTCATGGGAGGGAACCAAGTCGGGAGCAGAGCCAGCCCAGGAAATAAATCCTGGTATTGGTGGGTGGGCAGTAGGAGGAGGAAGGGGATTCAGTGGTTCTTGAAGGAAGGGGCAGCCACGGAGGCTGTGCCAAGGAGGTAATGAGGAAGGAGGGGTATCTGCCACTTGGCACCACTGCCTGCCTGCCATGGGGTGACTGGGCTGCGTGCCATGGGGTGACTCACCTGCCCCTGCTGCCTCGTGCCCGTTGGGCAGATGTGTCTCCGGTTTGACCTGTCCCAGGAAGCCTGGGCCTGGCTCCTCCCCCGCAGAGCTTCCTTAGAGGATAGAGGATGGATTGGGGCAATAAGAGATAAAGGCCATAGCTTCCTGGAGTCACCTGAGCCACACTGGAGGTTTGCAGAGAAGGCCATCGGTGGGACAGCCACAGGGTGGGGGATGGAAGCTCTGATACCTTCAAATGAGGGATTCTTGGGCCCTGGTGGCCAAACCCCCCAGGGGTGGGAGTGGAGAGCTCCTAGTTCGTTCATTCACATATTCTTCAAGTATTTCTTTTGGGTCTAGTGTGTGTACCATTCAGAGCCTTGAAGGATGAGCACAGGCTCTGGGGACACATACAGGGGAGAACAAGCAGCTCCTCCTCTCTGAGAAGCCAGCAGAGGCTGGACAACCTTCTTACAAGGGTGCCACAGAAAGGACTCCTTTCTGGGAAGGGGAGCAGGACTGAGTTAGTTCTGAGGTCCCTCCCGGCTTGGAGGTGCCATGATGTAACAATCCTGGGTCCTCAGCCTGCGGGCCAACAAGAGAAAGGGCAGTAGGTGTTGTGGCTCAGTCCTGGCTCTGCAACTTCCCAGCTCTCTGACCGTGGGAAACTCCTTTAACTTCTCTGAGTCTCTGTTTCCTCACCTGTTGCCTGGGGATGATAATAATATCAGCAATGGCACTGAATGCCACTCCCCAGCAGTGCCTGTAAGCGCTTTCCATATGTTAACTAATTCTCACAAAATTCTCAAGTGGGCACTGTCATCATCGTCATTTTATAGATAAGAAAACAAAGGCACAGAGAGGTTAAACAACTTGTCCAAGGTCACATGGCCAGTGAGTGGCAGAGCCAGGATGTAACCCAGTTTGGCCTTACTTCAAAGGGCAGTTAGGGGCATTGAATGAGATTGTGTGTGCAAAGCATGTAACTAATACTGATTTGTGGTGAACATTCAGTTATGTTAACTGTCACCATTATCATCATCATCAGTTTAAGGCTTTGTCCTGGGCCTGTGGACAGCCTCAAGCATCCCCAAACCTGCCATATGCAGGATGTCTGGGGAACAGTCTCTGGACCGTATTGGGAGAAGGAGTTGAGAAAAGAGAAATTTACATCTGACTCATGGCTGAGTCAGGGCAGTCTTCCTGGAGGAGGGGCACCAATCAGACCCTTGAAGGATGAGGACAAGCAAGTCTGTTGGGCCTCTCTATCTGTGGCAGTGGATTCAACTTTATCTTCTTGCCTTTCCATGAATTGGAGATGACCCAGGCATGGTATGGGGGCTTTTCTTTCTTGAGCAGTGAGTCTTAGGATGGGGAAAGGGAAGGAAGGGTACCCTGGTGCACTGAGCCATGCACTGGGCGTCTGGTGGCTGATTAACTCCTCCCTGCAACTGGAGGCAGGCTCAGCGGGATGGTGGTCTGACAAGTGCTATCCCACAGGGCTATAGGGCTTGAACCCAGATCCCATCAAGTTCCACAGCCCAGGTGGTTTGCTTGGTTCCACACAGCTCTTTCTCAAGGCTCAGGCATCAGCACAAACCTTAGCACAAAGTCTTGGTGCAGGAAGAAAGCTGCTTTCTTTTCTTCTTCTTTTTTTTTTTTTTTTGTTGAAGACAGGGTCTCACTCTGTTGCCCAGGCTGGAATACAGTGGTGCAATCTTGGCTTACTGCAGCCTGGACCTCCCCAGGATCAAGCTATCCTCCCGCCTCAGCCTCCCGAGTAGCTGGGACTACAGGCGTGCACCACCATCCCCGACTAAGTTTTGCATGTTTTGTAGAGATGGGGTTTTGCCATGTTGCCCGGGCTGGTCTTGAACTCCTGGGCTCAAGTGATCTGCCTGCCTGAGCCTCCCAAAGTGTTGGGATTACAGGTGAGAGCCACCGTGTCTGGCCCAGTTTCATTCTTAATGGGCAAAATCAAAATCCCAGGATGACCTCTGGTGGGGAGGGCCATCCTCAGGGCCTCTGTCATTGGCCCAGTGGTAAGAACAGACTGGACCCATTCCCACTGGGCTTTCCCATAACATGTGGAGATGCTTCCTGGAGTCTGTTGGGTTGTGGCTGCTCATGTGGCTGAGGGGCCCGCGAAGCTGGTCACCTTTGGGATTCATCACAGGTGGGCTTGGAGAGCAGTCCCCAGGCTGGTTCAGTGAGACATCTCTGGGGTCTTACACGCCACTTCATTTTTTAGTTGGGGAAACTGAGGCCTGGAGTGTGAAATGACTTGCTCAGGGTTACATAGTGAGTTAGGGACAGAGCTAAAACTAGAAACTAGGTCTTCCAATTCAAACGAAGGATCTCTGACTATTGGTGAAGAAGAAACTGAGTCACAGAGGTGCTGAGACTCGCCTGGATTGGAGGTCCTGGTGGGGCTTGTGGCGCCTCTGTGCTGGCAGACTTGGCTCTAAGGGCCCCAGAGCTCCAGGTGTTCTCAGATGCACGGCTGTGTAAGCCCTGCAGTCAGAAGGTCCTGGAAGGGTCAGGTCCCATCTGCATGGCTGCAGAGGGGCCCAGCGCACACAGCAGCCTAGAGGGCAGCTGAGTCTGTTCTCTAAGACACCTCGAAGAGGGGGCAACCTTGACCTGAGCGGGTGCACAGCTCTCGCACCTCAGAATGACCTCAAGTAACAGCACATGGAAAAGACAGAAGGCAGGGAGCCCATCACTAAGGTATCCCGGGCAGGTGTCTCCTAAGAGACCACACCTGGCAATGAGCCATGAAGCTCCTCTTTTCTCCAGCTCAGAGGTTCTCAACCCTGGAAGTGTGTTTCAATCACCTGGGGATCCATAAAAAAATTGATGCCCAGGCCCCACCTTGGGAAACCTGATTCAACTCATCTGTGAAAGGCCCCAGCACCCTAGGTTTTCAGGATCCGCTGGGGATGAATGTGCAGCTGGGGCTAAGAACCGCTGCCCTCACTGGGAAGACAAACAACTCATGTCACCCCTTTCTCTGCAGAGGCTGCCTAATGGAGCCAGGACTCCAAGTTTTGGTCCTAGTTCTGTGGTCACTCACTATGTCATCTTGAGCAACTTTCTACTCAACCCTGGGCCTCAGTTTCCCCATATGGACCCTGAAGGGGTTGGCATAGAACAGTGGGTTTCAATTTCCACTCATGGAGGCCTCTGAGTCCCCTCCCTGATTTGACAAAGCAGCTTCCATTCTGTCAACATCGGATTTTGTTTGATGCGAGAGCTCTGACCTGCCTGTGCAGAGAGCTGGGCCCTTGGGGGGATTGGTGCATTTCTGCTCTTTTAAATACGGGGGATTTGGAAAAAGGGTATACGGGGCTGCCACTTTCCAGTGGTGGGGTGGGGCAGGGCCACCCAGATTACAGTGGGACCATGATTTCCTGAACCTGATTCTATTGATGAGGCTGGCAGCGTCGGCGGATCTGGGATCCTCGCTGACTGGGGAGGGGCAGCTGGAACTGCCACCCAGAAACCCAGCTGCCTGGGTCTTGGTCTCCTCTGCCCCCACATCCCAGCTCGGTGGAGACCTCGTTGGTCATCTTGTCAACCTTTCGGTGTTCAGCCATGGGGAACTTTCCCATCAGTTTCTCAGCTCCTAAAATGTCTGATTTTGTTCTCCCAGAAGTCCAGGCCCTGAGTCCATGAAGGGAGAAGATGGGTTTGGGTTTGCAGGCGAGTGGGGACAGAGCTGGCCATGAGTCCTGGCTCTGTCACTTGCTAGCTGTGTGACTTTGGGCAAATCACCTGCCGTCTCCAAGGCTCAGTATTCTCATCTGTAAAGTGGGGATAATAGCACACAAGTTATGTGGCTGTGGGGGATACCTTCCTCACCAATGCCCCGTCTTCCTCCTCACCATTGAAGGGGGTGATACACGAGGGGGATGGGCTCACACTGAGTCAACTCTACACGGGCTGGAGGGACCAGGCTCCAGCATTTTTTTTTTTTTTTTTGAGATGGAGTTTTGCTCTTGTTGCCCAGGCTGGAGTGCAATGGGGCTATCTTGGCTCACTGCAACCTCCGCCTCCCAGGTTCAAGCAATTCCCTGCCTCAGCCTCCCTAGTAGCCGGGATTACAGGCATATGCCACCACGCCCGGCTAGTTTTGTATTTTTAGTGGAGACGTGGTTTCTCCATGTTGGTCAGGCTGGTCTCGAACTCCTGACCTCAGGTGATCCACCCTCCTCGGCCTCCCAAAGTGCTGGGATTATAGGCGTGAGCCACTGCGCCTGGCCCACCAGGCTCCAGCATTTCTAAGACAACCTACTCTAAGCCGTGATTCTCAGATGTCAGCAAATATCAGAATGGCTTAAAATGCGGTTCCAAGGCCCCACCTGGAGCACTTCTAAGAATCTGCATTTTCAATAAGGTGGGTCTGAGGTTGGCTACTTTTAGGGAGGCCAACTGTTCCTGTTTGTCTGGGACCTTGCAGGTTTTAGCACAGCAAATTCTGTATCCAGGAACAGCCTTAGTCCCAGCAAACTGATGCTGTTGGCCACCCTACCACATTTTACCCCCAACTCACCATCTTAGGCTGGCTGTGCCAGAGGAGCAGTTGAGTTCTCCGGCTGGCTTGGGGGGTGTGGGGCTGGGAGAGCCCTGGACAGGCCTGTGCATGGAAGCCTCAGCGGCGAGGGTCCAAGGCCCTGAGCCCAGGACTGGACCAGAAGCACTGCCTAGAAAGCCCAGAAGCCAGCATGTGACAGCTCAGCCATGCTGGCAGCTCGAGGTGGCCTGGAGAGGAAGGACTTTGTCCAGGTGAGGCTCCAGGTACTTCCCCTGTTCTCTAGGAAATGGGAAGCTAGATCCTCCCGTACCTGATGCAGGTTCTCCTCCCAGCAGCTGCCCCTCTCATTCTCCTAACACACAGCTTTCATGACAGGCATGAGCACTGGACTGGAAGTCAGCAGCCCTACCTTCTAGTCACTTATCTTCTGGGCCTCAGTTTCCCCATCAGTGAAATGAGGGCATGACTTTTGCTCATCCTGAGTGCTTTACCCACACTGGTTCCTTTCATCTTCTCCTCATCCCCACCAGATAGATGTCGATGCTGCGGCTGAGGGAGGCAGTCACTCGCTCAAAGTCACACACCTAATGAGTGGTGGGACTGGGATTTGAACCCAGTTGTCTGGCCCCAGGGACCACAGGCTCAAGTACCTTGCCACGGCTCCATCATGTTGCCCCTCCTGATCAAGAACCAGCGCTGGCTCCCCATTACATAGGGATGAAATGAAAACAAGCTCATTATAGCCTGAGTCTAAACTAGACCTCTTAAGGTTCCACGGTGAAAACACCTTCCCCTCACTTGTGTCTCCTCTTGGTGCCTTCCCTGGGGAACCTGCCCCAGCCACCCAGCCCACTGTCTCATCCTGCCTCCAGACCCGTTTCCTGCACCCTCATTTACTTTAATAACTCCTTCCCTGTCCTGGGCCAATGGTGTTGCAAGCCTTTCCTGTCTATTATCACACTTGAGTTTCATGATTGCCCATGAGGTTGGCCAAGTAGGTGTCATTATCCCACTTTAAGGTGAGGTTAATGGGCCCAGAGAGACTAAGTGATTTAGTCAAGCTCAGCTGGCCGATGTGTGACCCAGCCTGGTCTAAAACCTAATTCTTGACTCTGGTCCCAGCACCACCTGAGCCCTCGGCTTGCAGCCCCTCCCTTCCCCAACCTCAGATGTAGCTTGTTCACCTGTGCTAAGCCCTTGTTCAGACCGTGGTCCTGGGGACCCTCCTGGGCAGGGGTGCTTCAGTCTTCACTGGGGATCCCCCAGCATCTCACACAGAGCCTGGCACATGGAGAGGCAGGGGCGCTGGGCTGAAACACCCTACACCCAGGGGCTGGAGCCTGGGGACTGAGTGGGGTTTTCATACCAGAAGGACCATCAAGGGCGCTCAGCCCTTGCCCATGGACACTGGAGGCCCAAGGAACAGCTTTGGGGTTGAGGGAGTTCCATAAAAAGTGTACAGGCTTCAGCCAGGCGCGGTGGCTCGCGCCTGTAATCCCAGCTGGGAGGCTGAGGCAGGCGGATCACTTGAGGTCAGGAGTTCAAGACCAGTCTGGCCAATATGGTGAAACCCTGTTTCTACTGAAAATACAAAAATTAGCCGGACACGGTGGTGGGCTGTGTTGTCCCAGCTGCTTGGGAGGCTGAGGCATGAGAATTGCTTGAACCCGGGAGGTGGAGGTTGCAGTGAGCCAAGATTGCACCACTGCACTCCAGCCTGGGCGACAGAGCAAGACTCTGTCTCAAAAAAAAAAAAAAAAAAAAAAAAAAAAGGCTTCCTTGGGAGATGGAAGGCGAGTGCCTCAGGAGCGTGGCTGAGGGTGTTCCCGAGGGTATGAGAGGCTGCTCTTCCTACCTGGGTTTGTCTTCCTGTGTCTCTTTCCGACTCCCTGTCTCTGACTCTCCATCTCGCTGGGTCTCTCCAAGTCTCTCTGTCCCTATCTCTCTGTCTCTGTGTCTTCATGCCTCTCTCCCTGGTTCTGCCATTTCCCCTGTGGGGGGCTGCCCAGGGCCAAACAGGCCAGAGGGCTCCACCAGCCCTGGAAATTACAGGCTTTGGGAGTAGGGTTGCCAGATAAAATAAAAGATGCCTAGTTAAAATTGAATTTCAGGTAAATAATTAATAATTTTTTTAGTATAAGTGTATCCCAAATACTTCACGGGAGTACCAAACAATGATTGACTGTTCACTTGAAATTCAAGTCCAACTGAGCTTTCTGTATTTTTATTTGCTAAGTCTGGCAGCCCTGCTTAGGAGGAGAAACAGGTGTGTCTGTCCCTCCCAACTGGTGAGGACACCTGACAGGGGCCCAGACACCAGAGTGGGACCTGCCTGATGGAGAGAAGCTTGGGCTTGGTTTATTTCCCTTTTCATAAAAAAGCTGCTTTGAGATGTAAGAGAATCATGTTGGTGGAAGAGTGAAGAGGTTGTTTTGGGGGAGGTCTGCCTTACTCTGAGGGAAGATGGGAAGCGGGGGGAGTGGCCAGCTGTGGAAATTTGGGGTAGTCCCCTACGTATCCTGTGCCTCAGTTTCCCCATGTGTAAACAGGAGTAATTATCTCATCCTGGGGCTGCAGTGAGGATCAGATGAGCTAATGTACAAAAAGGCTTAGGCAGGCCTGCCGTGATAAGAGTGCAGAGGCTGGGGGCTTTTTATGTTATGGTATTGTTGTTATTATTACTCCTGGGGAGGTGGTGGGCAAGAGTGTGGACTGAGGAGCCACATGGCTGGGTTTGGATCCCAGCCCGGCCACAGACCTTGGGCAAGTTACTTAACCTCGGCTTTCTCATCTGTATAATGGGAGACAATAATAGATAGTGCCTCCCTTCTAGGGTTATTGAGAGGATTGCATGATGGGCTGGCACACAGCATGAGCTCAGTAAGTGTCAGTCACTGTTATCCCCCAGGGGCATGCATGCCGCTGCCTCCAGGAGGCCCTCCAACTCGCAGTGGCCTCTCCCTACATGGGTTCCCACTGAGCTGTGATCCTGTGGCCTTGAGCCCCATCTGGCTGCCCTGGACAATGTTGGTCCTCAGCTCCCCAGCGGGATCAACAGTGGGGAGAGCAGTGGGTGGATCTGCCCGCCAGGCAGTACCTGAGTGCACAGTGGGCACCCCACAGTCAAAGGATGCATAGTCTGGTTTCCAAGGAGGAACCCCAGGCTAGGTGGAATGAGGGAAATGCAATCTCAGGGCCAGATAACATCACAGATACTTTAAACCTGCAATTAATTTCTGGTTGTTTGACCAAATCCGGCCAAGTTTCCCGGGTGACACTGCAGAGCTGTGGAACAGCATGGGCTTGGAGTCAGACCTGTTGCACATCTGGCTCTGCCATGTGATGCAACCTCAGGCTTGTCACGAGGCCTCCTTGAGCCTCAGTTGCTAATATGCCAAATGGGGATGATATTGCTCACCTTACAGCTTGTAAGAGTGGAGGGAGCTGCGTGCGCCAGGTGCCTGGCATGCAGCGGGCACTCAACCAGATTGAATTCCCTTCCCAGGGAAGAATTCAAGGATATCTTCCCACCCACTAAGGAGACATGTGATGGGATCTGGGGTGAGAATTGCTCTTTTTAAAGCTCTCAGAACTGTAAGGGGCTCCACCCACCAATGGCTGGTGTTCACTGAGCTCTTCGTGCCCAGACCTGCACTGGGGATTTATCGAGCACATGGCTGGCTTCTGACTTCCGAAGAGCTCGCCATTCTGGTGAGTGGTAAAGAAACTCACAAGGGAAATGTTAATGAACACAGGGGCTTAGAACATCAGACTGTGTGTATGTTTTTTTGTTTTGTTTTGAAACAGGGTCTTGCTCTGTCGCCCAGGCTGGAGTGCAGTGGTGCAATCTTGGCTCACTGCAACCTCTGCCTCCTGGGTTCAAGCGATTCTCCTGCCTCAGCCTCCCCAGTAGCTGGGATTACAGGCATATGCTACCACGCCTGGCTATTTTCTTGTATTTTTAGTAGAGACAGGGTTTCACCATGTTGGCCAGGCTCGACCTCAAGTGATCCGCCCGCCTCGGCTTCCCAAAGTGCCTGACCTCAAGTGATCCATCCGCCTCGGCTTCCCAAAGTGCTGGGATTAAAGGAGTGAGTCACCACGCCCGGCCGACTGTGTATATGTTTGTGTGGGGTCCAGGCTTGACTCGCAGGAGCTTACTGTGAGGATCTGAGGGGACTGGGTGGCCAAGGAAAGCTTCCTGGAGGAAGCAGGGCTTGAGCCAAAGCTCAAACATCTGAGCAAAATATATCTCCTTCGGCACCGACCATGGCTCTCTGCCCTGCCCAGGTCAGTGCCTGAGGGCACAGAAATGTTTGAGGTCTATGGGACGCCTGGCGTGGACATCTACATCTCTCCCAACATGGAGAGGGGCCGGGAGCGTGCAGACACCAGGCGGTGGCGCTTTGACGCGACTTTGGAGATCATCGTGGTCATGAACTCCCCCAGCAATGACCTCAACGACAGCCATGTGAGCTGGTCCCTGGTGGGGTGGGGAGAGGTTTCGAGGGAGGCAGCTGTCTAGCTCTAGGAGGGCCCAACATTCTCTTTCTCCAGAGCGCAGGGCAACACAGTGGGTAAGTGCCTGGCCTTGGAGCCATACTGCTGATTTTGAATCCCAGCTCTGCAAGTTACAGACACATACCATGTGTCCTTGGAAAGCCTTATCATCCCCTTGGGGCCTCTGTCTGCCATCTGTAAAATGGGATAATCATAACCCCTGTCTCCTATCATTGCTGTGGAGTGCCATAGGAGCCAGTGTTGCTCCTTCTCTTGCTTCCCAAGACCCCCTGGAGAAGGAGTTGTCCCAGTTCTGCTGAGTTGGGTCTCAGTTTCCCCACATGTAGGCTGAGGGTTGACTAGGGGATCTCTGCCACTTTGAATGAAAGAGAGAAAGCAGGGACAGGGGAGGGACACCGGTGCCTGGGAAGACCCCCTTCCTAGGTGACAGCATTTCCCCAAGGCGCTTTGCTGTCCGTAATCCACTCTCTTCCTGACCCTATTTGCAGGGTAGGGGACATTTAACACATGGGAGAAATGGGTGGCCTTTAAGCTTGGCACAGGTGATGTTTGCTTCGAGGGCTGATAGGGACCAGGACTTGGAGTGTGGGAGTAGTGGGATCCACTCCATGTCAGGAGCGATGTTTCAGAAACTGGCCCTTTAAGGAGCACTGACCACGTGCCAGGTACTGGGCAGCCATGACCTCATCCAGCCCTCACAGCAGCCCAGAGAGGTGGGGGACTGATGCCCATTTCGCAGATGGGGCAACTGAGGTTCAGAGTAACTGTCCCGGGACCGCACACTAATGGTCAGGAGAGCTAGAATTCAGTGCAGACCCCTGGGGGCAGTCTCCCTCCATCACCCCCACCTCTGTTCCCAGCCATGCATCCATGAGGCACTTGGGGCAGGACCCAATGAACCCATTTAATAGGCAAGAAAACTAAGAAGGAGAAGGGGTGGCTTTCCTGAAGTCACATGATCTAGCGAGCGGCAGAGCTGGTGAGAGTCAGGACAGAGTCCCAGGGGTAGTGCAAGAGGACTGGCCAGCCTGTGAGGGGCCCCACCTTGGTGCCGGTTGAAGTGGCGATGGTGTGGGTACCCCCACCTTGAATTCCTTGGCCATGATGGCTGGTGGGATGGAGGAAGTTCAGAGTCTCTCCCACTCTTTCCCTCACCCGCCATATACCCCTGCTCCCTATCCTGCCTTTGGCCAGGATCCCAGTAATTGTATGTTTGAGGCAAGCATCACTGCTGGTGATTGACACATGGAGGTCAGTAATTGCAGGATTTAGGGGCTCCCAGGACTACAGAGGTGAGTGGCCCCTGCAAGATCCTCCCCTCTGGCTGAGATTCGGACATGAGAAGCAGAGAGTTGAGACACCCATGTCAGGAGGGAATACCCCAAGGGGAGGGTCATGCTTTAAAGGGAACTTGGATGCCTTGGATTCATCTGCCTCCAACTAAATATCATCCACGCCATCTTCATCCTCACCCTGTAACAGTTCTTGAGTGCTCGCTGTGGGCCGGGCACCGAGCTGCATGTGCCCCATACATGACTCCTTTCATCTTCACAGCCTCTAATTAGTCCTAAGGGGTAGGAACTATTATTATCCCCACTTTACAGTTGAGGAAATTGAGGCCCAGAGAAGATCAGTAACTTTTCCTGGGATATTCAAAAGTGGGGGATTCAGAATCTGGGCCCAGGCCATCTGACCTCAGAGCCCTGCATTTAACCAGCCCCCACCCCACAAGATGCCACCTGCCCACTGATAACAGTAGCTAGTATTTCTTGGGCACTTCCTATGGGCTCAGTCTTTTACATGTATTGTTTCCAAGCTGCATTACAAGCCTCTGAGGTAGAGACCTATAGAGGTAGAGGCCTTTTCCCATTTTGCAGAGGAGAAAACTGAGGTGGCTCAGGTAGGTGAGAGGCCTTGGCCAAGGTCATAGAGTACCCAGAGGTGCCGGGCTCAAGCCCGGGCCTGTCTGAGTCCCACAGACAAGAATGTTGGCTTGGAGAGTGTCCCCAAACCCTGCCCAGCCCAAACCCTTTATTTTACAAATGGCAAAACTGAGACCCAAAGGGGAGCAAGAGCTTGTCAAAAATCACAGAGTAGGTTATTGGAGGGACTGGGACCCAAGTCTCTTGAGAAGCTCTCACAAATAGCTCCCATTTTACAGATATGCCAACCAAGACACAGAAAAATAAATGGCACAGAGGAGGTTAAAGAAAGAGCAAGGTTCCTTGGGCCCCCTCCCCTCCTTACCAGATCCCCGAGAGCTATCTTTTGGGGCGGGAGCTCTTGGCTTCTGCTGGTATTACTCTGCGCCCAACTCTCCACAGGTTCAGATTTCCTACCACTCCAGCCATGAGCCTCTGCCCCTGGCCTATGCGGTGCTCTACCTCACCTGTGTTGGTAAGTTGGGGGCCATGTTGATGGTGTGGCCAAGGGCACATTTGAAAAATTCAAGCAGTACAAAAGAGTATACGTTGAAAATTAAACCTCCTTCCCTCCAACTCAAGACTTCTAGTTCCCCAAACCCAGCATTTTTCTAGAGATACGCTGTGCTTATATATGAAAGCACATACATACCTGTATATCCCCCCTCTTTTGTAAGCAAATTGAAGCATACTATAGACATGGAACTGGACCTTGCTTTTGCCAGCTTAAAGTTTTTCTGCTAAGCCTCCACAAATGGATACATAAACTCCGTGCAAGATGGCTCAGATGTTGGAGCTATCAGACAGGGCATGCAAAGTAATAGTGATTAATATGTTAAGGGTTCTAGTGGAAAAGGTAGACAATATGTATGAACAGATGGGGAATTTCAACAGAGAAGAAAATCAATAAGAAAGAGTCAAATGGAAATGCTAGACATAAAAACCATAGTAATAAGAGATTTTAAAAATGCTTTTGAAGGTTTCACCAGTAGACTTGACACAGCTGAGGAAAGAATCAGTGAACTTGAAGATAAGTGAATAAAAGTTACCCAAACTGAAACCCAAAGAGAAAAAAGAATAAAACAAACAAATGAAAAAACATAACAGATCTAAGAGCTCTGTGACAGTATCAAACAGTCTAAATTCAATGAAATTCCTATAGAAATTCCAACGTGGCTTTTTTGTTTGTTTGTTTGTTTGTTTTAAGGAGTTTTGCTCTTGTTGCCCAGGCTGGAGTGCAATGGCACAATCTCAGCTCACCGCAACCTCCGCCTCCTGGGTTCAAACGATTCTCCTACCTCAGCCTCCTGAGTAGCTGCAATTACAGACACATGCCTCCACGCCCAGCTACTTTTGTATTTTTAGTAGAGACAGGGTTTCTCCATGTTGGCCAGGCTGGTCTTGAACTCCTGACCTCAGATGATCTGCCTGCCTCGGCATCCCAAAGTGCTGGGATTACAGGCATGAGCCACTGTGCCCAGCCCCAACATGGCTTTTTAATATAACTTTACAGAGCTGATCCTAAAATTTGTATGGAAAAGCAAAGGTCAAGAATAGCTAAGACAATTTTGATGAAGAATAAGGTTGAGGGATTCACAATTCCAAATATCAAGACTTTTTTTTCAAGCTATAGTACTTGAGGCATTGTGAAATTGGTATAGAGCAATAGAGCAAATAGAGAACCCATAGACAGACCCATGCTTGTGTGGTTATCATGTGGCAATAAATGAACTTGGAGCCCTACCTCACACCATACTCAAAAATAAACTTCAAGTCAGTTAAAAATCTTAAGGTGAAAATCAAAATTGTAAAGCTTTTAGAAAAGAATATCTTTGTACCCTCAAAATAGTAAAGATTTTCTTTAACAAGGCAAAACAAAAGTGCAAAGACCATAAGGGGAAAGATTGCTAAATTAGACTGTATTAAAATTAAAAATTTATATGCAACAGACAACAAGTAAAAAGTCAAACTGTGAACTAGGAGAAGAAATCTGCAATGCATACGGCTGACTTGGTGCATATAGAATATGAAGAACTCCAATCAATAAGAAAAGGACAAAAATAATAGAAATGGGCAAAAACATGAATAAACAATTCACAGAAGAGAAAGTCCCAGTGATCAAAACCCAAATTAAAAGATGCCTAAATGAGCATTGCCAAGGTTGTGGAGCTGGGAAACTCCTTACAAAGGAGTGGGTGGGAGTTTGCTTTGGCTCACACACTTGAGAAGCAATTAGCAAAGAAGTTGAAAATGCTTTATCTGTAGGAGGCATTTTTTAGAAGCAGAACTTCTAGGTTATAGAGAATCTATATTTTTTAACTTGATAGATATTGCCAAACTGCTCTCCAAAAACACTGTATCAGTATACATGTCTGCCAACTGCATATATGCTTTGCCAACACTGCATTAGCAACTTTTTCCCTTTTTGCCAATCAGTTGGCATTGCACTGTGGTTTTACTTTGCCTTTCTTTAGTTAGGAGTGAGGTTGGGCATTCCCCATCTGCAGCCCAAATACATACACACATGATCATTGGAAAATAACATAGACAGAAAAGTACATAAAGCTTTATTTTACATACATATGTGCATAAAGCATATGTACACACACACACACACACACACACACACACACGAATAATTACAAAGCAAATCAAAGAATAGCTCAGAAAATAAACCCAAGAGTAGCCCAAGAAATGAAACACTACCAGAACCCCAAAGTCCCCCTCAATGTCCGTCTCTGATCATAACTCCCTCCTTCTCCTACAGGTAACCACTATCTTGTGATAAGTATTTTCTTGCTTCTCCTCATGGTTTTATCTCTTGAACGCAATACCCAAATAACATGGTCTCATTTTATCATCTGATTTTCTGTGGATGCAGTCATATCATGTATGTTCTTTTGCGTTGGGCGTCTTTTGCCCTATGCTATGTTTGTGAGATTTATCCACTTGTTGCATGGTGGTTGAGTATCTTTTCACATGTTTAAAAATCATTTCAGGCCACGCGTGGTGGCTCATGCTTGTAATCCCAGCACTTTGGGAGGCTGGGGTGGGTGGATCACTTGAGCCCAGTAGTTCAAGACCAGCCTAGGCAACATGGTGAAATCCTGCCTCTATGAAAGATACAAAAATTAGTTGGGCATGGTGGCATGCACCAGTAGTCCCAGCCTCAGGAGGCTGAAGTGGGAGGATTACTTGAGCCCAGGAGGCAGAGGTTGCAGTGAGCCATGATCATGCCACTGCACTCCAGCCTGGGCGACAGAGACCCTGTCTTGTCTCAAAAAAAAAAAAAAATCCTATCTAATGTATTCTTTCTTCTCTCCCTCCCTGCCCCTCACTGCTTCTTCTTTAAGAACTAAGAAGACTGCTTTTTTTTCAGAGCAGAAAGATTGATTCTGACCTCCTGAATGCTCCATTTGCATTATGAAATCTCACCCAGTGTCTAGGGCTAAATGTTAAGAAGGTGGGATGGGGGTGGGATTTGGGGACTGCGAGTAGCTCAGAAAGGACACACAGCCAGGAGGCGGCAGAACCTGGGTTTGTGTTCACATCTGTTTGACACCAAAGTCCAGGCTTGCTACCCCATTCCAAGGAGATGAGGCAGCTTTATATAGACAAGAATGTTCCTGGAGACCTGGGCTCAGTTCAGGGCATGCCTGGGACTGCAAGGGCTGCAGGGATGCAGATAGGAAGTGGTCAGGGAAGTCTCCCTAGAGGGGGCAGCATTTGTCCTGGGCCTTTGCTGTGACCCTGCTTCTTGCCTCAGGCCTCTTTCCCCAGCCCAGAGGGTGCAGATGCCCTCACCTCTTGGATGGTGTCTCCTTAGAAATGACTTGCCTTTGCTCAGCCCCAGACAAGCCCTGAGATCAAGGCCTGCCCTGGGCTCCTGGGAACCTTGTAGTGACTTACCCTCTGCCTCCTCTTGCAGACATCTCTCTGGATTGCGACCTGAACTGTGAGGGAAGGCAGGACAGGAACTTTGTAGACAAGGTAAGCATCTCTGCCTGGGCCCAGGAAGCAGGAGTGCAGTTGGAGCTTGCTCTAGGTTGGGTTAAGAAGGATGAGGCCATTACAGATATCCCCCTGCCTCCCAGCTGATGCCGAGACCAAGGGCCAAAAACAGAAACCAGGCATGGCTGGGGATCTTCTTTCACCAGGAGAAAAATCATCGCCAGGAATTATCAGGCATGGAGGTACCCAGCCCTGAGCTAGGCCTTGGTTTGTGGGATCAAGACCTTCTGGACTCATAAACTAGGTCAGGAGTGGGCAAACTTTTTCCGTGAAAAGTCACATAGCAAGTATTTTAGGCTTTGTGGGACATATGGTCTCAATTCTGCCACTATAGTGTGAAAGCAGCCACAGTTAATACAGAAATGGATGGATGTGACTGTGTGCTAATAAAACTTTATTTATACAAACAGGCAGTAGGCCAGATTTGGCCCACAGTTCATAATGTGCTGATCCTGACCTAGGCGAGAAGAGAAACCAAATATGAAACTGTTGAAGAACTTGGGACTGAATTATGTTGGAACTTGGTGCCCTGGGAGTTAAGAGGAGAAGGTCGAGGTGGGCTGGGTGGGTGAGGAAGGCTTCCTGGAGGGACGTACCCTTGAGCTGAGCTCTGAAGGGGTGCAGGAGGGAGGACGTTCCAGGTGCAGGGAATGGCAGGAGCAAAACCAAGGAGGGTTTAATGGAGGAATGAGCACAGAGTGAGGCGTGTGGTCCTATAATCAGGTTGCCTATTGAGAAAGAGGATGTTGGCTGAAGGCCCATCACAGATAGCCATGAAAGACAGCTCTGTGCTTTGGACTGGATGGTGTGGGCAACAGAGAGCCATTGCCATTGACATGTCTTGAGAAGGAGGTGCTTCGAGAACGTGGACCTAGCCTCACAGGGTTGGGTGGTTACAGGCCAGGCTCGGGTTCCTGGGTAGGGAGGCACAGGTCTCATCTGAGCCCTCATCACTGGCTATGTTTTGTCATTGGCAGCGGCAGTGGGTCTGGGGGCCCAGTGGGTATGGCGGCATCTTGCTGGTGAACTGTGACCGTGATGATCCGAGCTGTGATGTCCAGGACAATTGTGACCAGCACGTGCACTGCCTGCAAGGTGAGGCCGGGGCAGCCTGAGTCCCTGGGTGTCCAGGGTCACTGCTCAGTTACCCCATGGGAGTTCCAACCCACAGGCGAGACTCTGAGGCCAGAGTCCAGGGGAGAGCGCCAGCCTCCAGACACACCTCGATGCTCCTCAAAACCCATCTCAGGCTGGCAGCTGCCCCTCCCTAGTGTCTCTAGGGCCAGTGAGCACTCACATGCCAGGGCAGAAGCTCTGGAAATGAGCCACCTCGCCATTCTCTTCCTCCAGGGGAGCAGAGGATGCTAGCATTATTTGAGCACCTACTGTGTGCCAGGCCTTTTCCCCAAATTCTCATTGAATCATCCAAGTGGGACAATATCATCACCCCAATTTAGAGATGAGGATGCTGAGACTCAGAAGCCAGGAGACTCCCTGAAGACTGTGTCTGATCTGGGGCCTCCCCTCTCAACCCCAAATCTGGGCCTCCTCCTTCAGCACCTCTGGCCTACATTTCTGTGACTCCCCCACCTCTTGCTAAGTCCATCTGTCCTGAATTCCAGCCCCATGGAGAATGAGCTGCAATATTCCAGGGTATGCTAGGTGCTGTCCACGGGAGATGCCCACGGTTGCCTTCTGAAGTGGGCACCATTGGACATGGGGATGCTGGGGCTCCAGAAGGGAGGGGCTTGTCCAGGGTCACAGGGAGTGATGCTGGGATGGAGGCCAGAACCCTTACCTGCACGACGCCCACATGGCCTTACCCTCCTTGCTTCTCTGGAGCACCTGTTGTGTGTCAGACACCAGCTGGCTATGCCACACTTCATGTTTCTCTGGGCAATTGAGGAAACATGAGTCCAGGAGAGCATAGATGTCTTCATGGTTTGTTCTTGATGGCTTCCAGGGTTTTCACAAAGCTAGGGCTGGGAGACCCAGGTCTTGATACCCACTGACCTGGGGAGGGAGCTGGGCAGCAGAGGAAGGGGCCAGGGGCCAGGACTCCCTTGAGTCACTACCACTCTGTCTGGCTTCACAGACCTGGAAGACATGTCTGTCATGGTCCTGCGGACGCAGGGCCCTGCAGCCCTCTTTGATGACCACAAACTTGTCCTCCATACCTCCAGCTATGATGCCAAACGGGCACAGGTCTTCCACATCTGCGGTGAGTTTGTGCCACTGCCCCTTGCCATCTGTGCCCTGTTGCCAGGTTGCCTACCAGGGAACCTCCTGTTCCTGCCTTGGGCCATGGGCAGGTCCTGCTTACACTCCGGGAGATGCCCTGGTGGGTGGCGGGTCGCAGTAAGAACAGTCAGAAGTGGGGGCTTTGGAACTGATGAACTGGTGCCCCCAGCACAACACCTGGCCTGAGGTCATTTTATTTGATGAATGACCTTTTCAAATACATTTTAAGCATGTGTAGAAATTCTTATCAAAAATTTCAAACATACACAAAAAGCAGTGCTGTGAATCCCCATGTGCCTGTCACTCAGATTAAACAATTATCACTGTTTTGTCTGTCTCGCTGAAGTTTTGTAAAACCAACCCCAAACACCATAGATTTCACCCAATTAATTCAGTTTGTATTCCCCCCAAATATAGATGGCTGTTGTTTTACATAGTCTGCCAAAATCACAAGAAATACAAGTAAAAATCTAAATGCCTTTGAGAAACTAAAAATGTATACAAGTAATAAGATGCTTTTTTTTTTTTTTTTTTTTTTTTTTTGAGACAGAGTCTCGCTCTGTTGCTCAGGCTGGAGTACAGTGGCGTGACCTCGGGTCACTGCAACCTCCACCTCCTGGGTTCTGGCGATTCTCCTGCCTCAGCCTCCCAAGTAGCTGTGACTGCAGGCATGTGCCACCACACCCAGCTAATTTTTTGTATTTTTAGTAGAGACAGGGTTTCATTGTCTTAGCCAGGATGGTCTCAATCTCCTGACCTTGTGATCTGCCCGCCTCGGCCTCCCAAAGTGCTGGGATTATAGGCGTGAGCCACCGTGCCTGGCCGCTTATTTTTTAAATAATCAGACAATATGGAAGTATAGAAAATGAAACCTGAGAGTTCTCTACCCGTCTCTAAATCTGACTTTTTTTTTTTTTTTTTGAGTCAAGGTCTTGCTCTGTTGCCCGGGCTGGAGTGCAGTGGCATGATCTCAGCTCACTGCAGCCTCCACCTTTCAGGCTCAAGCAATCCTTCCACCTTAGCCTCACGAGTAGCTGGGACTACAGGCATGTACCACCACACCCTGCTAATTTTTTTTTTTTTGTAAAGACAGGGTTTCACCATGCTGCCCAGGCTGGTCGTGAACTCCTGGGCTCAAGCAATCCACCCGCTTTGGCCTCTCAAAGTACTAGGATTATAGGCGTGAGACGCCGCACCTGGCCTGAATCTGATTGTCACTGTTAACGAGTTGGGATGTGTGCTTCCCAACTTTATTCTACATGTTCTCCAGCGTGTGTCCATATGCTGCTTTCCAACCGGCTTCTTTCATTAAGTAATAATCCCACACACCTTTTCTGGTATTTATTGAGCTCTACTTCATTCTTTTCCACTGCTGTATAATATTCCTAAGCATAGAGGTGCTGTGACTTACACAGTTCTCTGAACATCATAGTGGTTTGCAGTGTTTTGATTTTATAACAATGCAGGTTGCTTGAGGTCAGGGGCTTTGTTCAAGTCCAGAACCGTGCCCCATGGGTGCACTGTAGTTGCACAGTAAATATTTGATGAATTAATGAATATCGAGCACTCTTGTACAGAAATATTATGTGACTTTGTACCTATTATTGTTTGTTTGTTGTTGTTGTTTTGTTTTTTGTTGGTTTTGGTTTTTTTTGAGATGGATTCTCGCTCCATGCCCAGGCTGGAGTGCAGTGGTGTGATCTTGGCTCACTGCAACCTCCGCCTCCTGGGTTCAAGCAATCCTCCTGCCTAAGCCTCCTGAGTAGCTGGGATTATAGGTGTGCACCACCACCGCCCGGCTAATTTTTGTATTTTTAGTAGAGACAGGGTTTCACTATGTTAGCCAGGCTGGTCTTGAACTCCTAACTTCAGGTGATCCACCGCCTTCGGTCTCCCAAAGTGCTGTGATTACAGACATGAGCCACCGTGCCCAGCCTGTAGATGTATTTTTGTAGGAAAGATACCTAGCAGTGGAATTGCTGGGCTTGGGGTAAACATTACTTTGTTGGATGCTGCCAAATTGTGCTCCAAAAAGGTATGAGCGCCAGTCTTAGAAAGGAAGACCCTTTCCCCCAGCCGTGGCCCCCACTGTGTATTACCTGTCCTCTCCTTTGCCAGTGGAGGTGAAAGGAGGGAGTTGTTGGAGGACTTGGAATTTTTGGTGAGGCTGCAGACCTCTTCCTGTGTCCCTCATACTCATGCTCCCTGGGCCCACAGGGAGTCACAGCCACCCCGTCCCTCCCCTTCCAGGTCCTGAGGATGTGTGTGAGGCCTATAGGCATGTGCTGGGCCAAGATAAGGTGTCCTATGAGGTACCCCGCTTGCATGGGGATGAGGAGCGCTTCTTCGTGGAAGGCCTGTCCTTCCCTGATGCCGGCTTCACAGGACTCATCTCCTTCCATGTCACTCTGCTGGACGACTCCAACGAGGTAGGGACAGAGGGGGTTCAAGAGGAGCTCCACTCGGGACCAGCCTGGGCAACATGGTGAAACCCCATCTCTACAAAAAAAAAAAAAATAGCGAGGTATAGTGGTGTACACCTATAGTCCCAGTTACTTGGGAGGCTGAGGTGGGAGGATCACCTGAACCCCAGGGAGGTTGAGGTTGCAGTGAGCCATGATCACCCCACTGCACTCCACAGCCTGGGCAACAAAGTAAGACCCTGTCTCCAAAAAATAATAATAATAAAGGGCAGTGGGGAGGACTCCATTCCTGGTAAGTCTACCAGGCACCACTGGTGTGAAAGACCCCAGACTTCTTGACCACCCCTCTGGTTCATTTCCATCTTGCAGAGAAGCAAGGGGTTTTCTTATGGACCACAGTGGTGGAATCAGAGTCCCCCCAGGCCTCTGGACTCCAAGTCCAGTGCTCTTTCTCCCCTGGTCTGCCCCTGCAGGATTTCTCGGCATCCCCTATCTTCACTGACACTGTGGTGTTCCGAGTGGCACCCTGGATCATGACGCCCAGCACTCTGCCACCCCTAGAGGTGTATGTGTGCCGGTGAGTCTTGGGGCAGTGGGTGGTCCCTCTGGCCCCCAGGCCCCGGCTCCATCCTGAGCCCCTCTTCCCTGGGCTTGTCCGTAGTGTGAGGAACAACACGTGTTTTGTGGATGCGGTGGCAGAGCTGGCCAGGAAGGCCGGCTGCAAGCTGACCATCTGCCCACAGGCCGAGAACCGCAACGACCGCTGGATCCAGGTAACCACAGCCACTGGGCAGGGCCCAGCAAGGACGCCATCCTGGAGAGAGAGGCCTTCATTTGGGGGCCACCGAGAAACATCCAGGAGGACCTGGGTGCTCCCCAGGGAACTTGCTGCCGTTTCTAATGTGAGACCTAGAGGCTTCTCTCCAGAACCTTCTGGAGACCCACGCTGATCCTGGATTCAACACCCATTCACCCACCGGATCTGGGCTAGGCACTAGGCTAGGCCCACAGGGGTGGCACAGGTGTGAGACACACACTCCCTGCCCTCAACAGCTGAGACCAGTGGTTCTCATCAAGAGGCGATGTGTCCCCAGGAGACGTTTTGCAGTATCTGCAGACAGTGCGCAGGACAAGCCCCCACAATAACATATCATCCAGTCCCACGCCTCAGTAGTGTCGAGGCTGAGAAACCTTGATGTGCAGAATGATTGCTACAAAAATACCTACTCCTACTATCTAGTGTGTAGCTGGGGCAACATGGTGAAACCCTGTCTCTGCAAAAAAGTTAAAAAATTAGCAGGGCATGGTGGCGTGTGTCTGTAGTCCCAGCTACTCTGGAGGCTGAGGTCAGAGGATCACCTGAGTTTAGGAAGGTCAAGGCTGCAGAGAGCTGTGATTGTGCCACTGCACTCCAGCCTCAGCAACAACAACAAAAAAAAAAAAAAAAAAAGAGAGAGAGAGAGAGAGAAAAAGAAATATCTAGGGTGCAGAGGCTATACCAGCAAAGCACCAGTAGGGTTTGGGGGATGCAGCATCACCTCTGCCCAGGGAATCAGTGAAGACCTCCAGGAGGGAGAGCATCTGAGCTGGACCAGATTTGGCAGATGAGGGCACATGACTTCTGCCATTTATGCCCCATTTTCTGCAGGCCAGGCATAGCATCATTTCATCTTCTTGATAACCCCCTGTAAGTCCCCCATAATTCAGGAGCTCTTAGGGGAGCATGACTGGGCCACAGAGCTGGTAAAGGCAGTGCTAGGACTCAGGCTGCCAAGCACCAGGCTGTACAGGTTGGTGGTCCTGGCAGAGACCGAGCATGCGCAAAGGCCCGGGGGTGGGAGGCAGGAGAGAGAACCTTGTGTGTTCTCCTCTGTCAGGGCACTGGTTCTGAGAAAGGCAAGGGTTGAGGTCGGAGACCTTGAATTCCAAGTTAAGGAGCTTTCCTCTTGGCCGGAGGTCAGTCCAGTGAGAGGGTTTGGGGCAGGACTCTGGGGCACGATGGGCTGGGTTTAGAGCCTGGCTGTGCCACCAACTAACTAGCTGTGAGCTTTGGGACAAATATTTTTTAATTTTTATTTATTTTTTTAAATTAATATATTTTGAATTTATTTTTCTTTTTGGAGACAGTGTCTCTCTGTCACCCTGGTTGGAGTGCCATGGCATGATCACAGCTCACTGGCAGCCTGGAACTCCTGGGTTCAAGTGATCCTTCTGCCTCAGTCTCCCGAGTAGCTGAGACCACAGGTGCAGCCACCAGGCTCAGCTAATTTTTTGTAGAGATGGGGTCTTGCCATGTTGCCCAGGGTTGTCTCAAACTCCTGGCCTCAAGCAATCCTCCCGCCTCACCCTCCCAAAGTGCTGGGATTATAGGTGTGAGCCACCGTGCCCGGACTGGATAAATAATTAGACCTCTTAGTTCCTCATTTTCCTCATCTGTCACATGGGATAATTATGGTGCCCACGCCCAGGCATGTCATGAGGATGAATGGAGTTAATGTTTATAAAGAGTTTAGGGCAGGACCTGGATGTGAAGTTCATTCACACTGGGCCATCTTTTCCTCCAGAACCAGAGGGGTCAGGACTGACCTGGGCACATTTATGGATCCAACTCAGGCCACTGTGAGTGCTTCTCTGTGTCCACCTGCCTTGGCCCAGTACTCACAGGGACACCCCCAAGGTCATGTCCATGTTCTCGTTCACCTCCGGCCTCTGTCTTGCTGTGTGACCTTAGACAAGTGCACCCCCTCCTTGAGCCTCCAGCCCCTCCTCCAGTCAGCAGGCACCCTGACCTCGGTCCTGTCCGCCTCCAAGCACAAAACATGCTTGGGCCAGGGGACTTGGTGAGCAGTCTGCCCCACAGGGCTCAGAGCCGAGCCAGCAGGGGCAGCTGTTGACTGTCACAGCTGTGCGTCTCTCGCCTCTCCTCACTTGCAGGATGAGATGGAGCTGGGCTACGTTCAGGCGCCGCACAAGACCCTCCCGGTGGTCTTTGACTCCCCAAGGAATGGGGAACTGCAGGATTTCCCTTACAAAAGAATCCTGGTGAGTGGTCCCGGCCGCAGCCCACCCCTGAGAGCTGAGAGGCCTTACCCCAGGGGCCACACCGGGGTGTGGGGTACAGAGGGCAGCAGTGGGAACCGTGCTCTTTAGGGATGAGGGTAGGGTTGCCAGATAAAATGCAGGGATGCCCAGTCAAATGTGAATTTCAGACAAGCAACAGGTTAACTTTTTGGTGTAAGTACGTCCCAAATATTGCATGGGATATACTTACACTAAAAAAGTTGTCGTTTATCTAAAATTCAAAGTTAATTGGGCATCCTGTATTTTTATTTACTGAATCTGGCAGCCCTAAATAGGGGAGGCAGGATGGTGCACCTGTTCAGAGCACAAGCTTTAGGGTCAGACCAACCCTGTTCCGTTACTTACATGCTGTGTGATGTTGCGTGAGTTACTACCGCTCTCTGAGCCTCAGTTTCCTCATCAGTAAAAATGACATTTTGGCCCTGGCCTCACAGGGGTTTGTGAAGCATCTCATCATCACAGTACCTGCATGGAGGGAGTGTGTGTGCGCGCACCACTATTAGCTAGTATCATTATTTTAAGAAAAAGGATAACAGGGAAGGTGATGATTGCTAACGAGGACCTCTTGAGAAAACAAGAGTGACTTGCCTGGTGCCGTAAAGAACAAGAGACCCCTCCAACCCCCTCACTGATCACACAGATGCTAGGAGCTCTCTCTCCTGACCCTTGATGTTGTCGAAGTTGCTTCTGAGAGATAGCCCTGGGGAGGTCTCCCCTTCTCTAGAGTTCAAAGACAGAGGCCCAGAGGGCCATCAGCAGCCTCTTGGTTCCCACAATTGGCCACTTGAGCTGCTACTTGCCCTTGGGCTGAACTTGCAGGAAGGCTGTGTAGGTAAGGGGATGGAGTGGCCATGGCCTCAGGCTCCATGTCCGATGGGGAGTGCAGGAGCAACCGGAGCGCCCCCTGCTGTCTTGCCGTGATAAGGCAGCAGGGCCAGAGAGTCCGAGCACTTCCCGACTTTGCCTGCTATGCGTGCATGAAATATTGACTGGGTCAGATCCCCCACCCACCGCCAATGACTCTGTATTTCCACCTGAAGAATGGATGGCCTTTCCCACCCTGTCTTGAAGGAGCTCAAAGCCCAGCAAGTTGGTTCAGGCCCTTCCTGGTACCCTCCACCCCCGCCTGACTTGGTTTCCCTCTCCAGGGTCCAGATTTTGGTTACGTGACTCGGGAACCACGCGACAGGTCTGTGAGTGGCCTGGACTCCTTTGGGAACCTGGAGGTCAGCCCTCCAGTGGTGGCCAATGGGAAAGAGTACCCCCTGGGGAGGATCCTCATTGGGGGCAACCTGCCTGGGTGAGAGAGAGACAGGGAATGGAGTTCCTGGGGTGGAGGCTGAGGGTTGGGGGTGGTGATGATGGTGGAGCAGGGGCCATTGCACTCCTTGAAGAGAGCCAGAAGCAAGGAATGATGAAATTATACTCCCGGATGTGCTGGGGTTGGTGGGTGTTCACCAGACACAGTCCACACTTACCTCGGGGACTCTGAAACCAGAGAGAGCAGAGACCTAAGAGATCATTCAGTCCAACACTTTCATTTTACAAGTGGGCCCAGAGAGGGTAAGTGAGTCACATAGAAAGCAAAGTTATAACTAGACTCAAGTTTTCTGATTCTGAAAATAAATAGATGATACTAGTAACAGTCAATTAATAGTAACAGAAGAAGAGTGGGCATGGTGGTTCATGCCGTAATCCCAGCACTTTGGGAGGCCAAGGCAGGCGGATCATGAGATCAGGAGATCGAGACCATCCTGGCTAACATGGTGAAACTCCGTCTCTACTAAAAAAAAAAAAAAAATTAGCCAGGCGTGGTGGCAGGCGCCTGTAGTCCCAGCTACTCAGGAGGCTGAGGCAGGAGAATGGCATGAACCCAGGAGGTGGAGCTTGCAGTGAGCTGAGATCATGCCACTGCACTCCAGCCTGGGCGACAGAGCGAGACTCCGTCTCAAAAAAAAAAAAAAAAAAAAAAAGTAACAAAGAAAAAGTTTCCATTCCCAACAGTCCTGGGAGAAAATGCATTTAGGTCAAAGCTTGTTCATACTACCATGTAAATGACTAATATAAGATCTTTTCCTGAGAGCAAGAGAAGTGAGGTACAAGACATGCTAAGTGAAATGACAATAACATACAGAGAGAGTAACAAATGATGTGTTGTTCAGTAGTGACACAGGGGTGCTGATGGAAAAGGAATCCTATCATATTGGTTACTTGCTGTGGACTAGACCAAGACATTGAGCTAACCAAATGCAACAAAGCTGTTAGAACAGACTTGGGATCAAATAATGAATGAATCCAGAGTCAAGCTTTGGAAGGGACTACTGCCCTCAAATACATAATCCCATTGAAAGAGGAAGCTGGACCATGCCCTTAGATACATTTTCGTAAAAATTGAACATGGGGGTGAAATCTGTCTCTTGGAGAATAAGAACCTGGTGTGAGGGTGGTTCTGAAGATTTTCCTGGATGGTGGGACCTGGTAGGTCATTGCCCTGGTGTGACTGACCTGTCCTGAGTCTGCCTCATGCAGAACTCACCCTAAGTGGAATTTTAAAATATACGTATCTGGCTGGGTGCAGTGGCTCATCCCTGTAATCCCAGCACTTTGTGAGGCTGAGGCGGGCAGATCACTTGAGGTCAGGAGTTCGAGACCAGCCTGGCCAACATGGTGAAACCCCATCTCTAGTAAAAATACAGAAAAATTAGCCTGGCCTGGTGGTGCACGCCTGTAATCCCAGTTGCTTGGGAGGCTGAGGCAGGAGAATCCCTTGAACCTGGGAGGCGGAAGTTGCAATGAGGCGAGATCACGCCACTGCACTCCAGCCTGAGTGACAGAGTGAGATTCCATCTCAAAAATAAATAAATAAATAAAATGAAATATACATATTTATTACTTTCCTGTTTATAAAAGTAATGCATGTTTTTTTGTTTTTTAAAAATCAGATATTGCAGGAATGCTAAACTCTTGTCATTTTATTTCTGCATGGAGTCTTTTTAGTTAAGCAACTTTTTTTTTAACCTCGTGGGTCCCAGGTCAAGTGGCCGCAGGGTCACCCAGGTGGTGCGGGACTTCCTCCATGCCCAGAAGGTGCAGCCCCCCGTGGAGCTCTTTGTGGACTGGTTGGCCGTGGGCCATGTGGATGAGTTTCTGAGCTTTGTCCCTGCCCCCGATGGGAAGGTAAGAACTTCGTGCATGACGTGTCTTTCCCTGGCATCTGGGGCAAGAACTGAGCTCCAGGGCGCCATGCCAAGGCAGGAGGCTCAGCTGAATCTGTTCTCTGCACGCAGGGCTTCCGGATGCTCCTGGCCAGCCCTGGGGCCTGCTTCAAGCTCTTCCAGGAAAAGCAGAAGTGTGGCCACGGGAGGGCCCTCCTGTTCCAGGGGGTTGTTGGTGGGTAACAGTGCCGTGTCCCTCCTTGCGGCTTGCCTGCCCCTTACCCAAATTAAGACACATCATGGCTTGAGAGGGGGAGGGCAAGTTTTAAAGCAGGGGTGTGTCCCCAAATTCAGGGCTTCTCACTCCTGCCCCTGCACACCTTGCTTCACCAGACACCACTGCCCACAGCTGGGGCCGAGCTGAGGTGGGAAGCGGGGTGATAGAAGGTGGACATGGACTGAGCGGGGACATAGTGGCTTCCCAGGCAGGTGACCAGTGCAGTCACGGCGTGGAGCTTTAATGTTCTGCAGTCACTATCCTGAAATCTCCCTTTTTTTTTTTTCCTTTTTGAGACGGAGTTTCACTCTTGTTGCCCAGGCTGGAGTGCAATGGCGTGATCTCCACTCACCGCAACCTCCGCCTCCCAAGTTCAAGCGATTCTCCTGCCTCAGCCTCCTGAGTAGCTGGGATTACAGGCATGCGCCACCACGCCCGGCTAATTTTGTGTTTTTAGTAGAGACGGGGGTTTCTCCATGTTGGTCAGGCTGGTCTCGAACTCCTGACCTCAGGTGATCAGCCCGCCTCGGCCTCTCAAAGTGCTGGGATTACAGGCGTGAGCCACCACACCTGGCTGCCCTGAAATCTTAATTCTGTTTTGTGAGGTCTGATGGATCAGTGGAGCATCTACGGGGCTTGGAGCCTCTGCTCAGGCACAGTCCTGTCTCCCAGCCTCCCTGCCTCCCTGGCACAGATTCTCTGCTGCCTACTTCTGTGCTCCCTGGAGCCTCAGTGCAAGGCCTCCCCCATCTCTGTCACTGTCCTGAGATGCTGCAGCACTCTGCCCCCAGCAGGAGCCTGGGCATGGGGAGGGCTGGGGTTGGGCACATGTGCCACTCAGCATCTTCATGGCATCAGTCGTCCCTGCCCTGCAAGGGCATTTGGTGGGCAACTTGGGAGGGGTAAGTGTCTCACCCAGGCTTGCTCAGGTACCCAGCACATACCCAGAGGCCACAATACTCTGGAGGTCGCCCATTTGCCTTGGCTTGGGGTGGCAGTCCTGTGGGAATGAGAGATGCCAAACTGGACCTGCCAGCCCCGTTCCAGGGCACAGCATGTGGGTCTCATAGCAGAGGCATGCCCAAGCACAGCCCCCTGGGAGCTAGGCCTCCGCTGTGAGGCCCACAGGGTGGGCCCTGACACCAGCAAGGGACTGTCCAGCCCCATGCAAGTCCCCGGCAAAGCGCAATGTGAAATAGCAAATAAAAACCACCCTGACAAGTCAGGAGAGAGACTCGGGGACAAAGAAACAACTTTATACTGTAGCACTTTTAATGGTACTCTTTTGTCTGCTCTTTAAACAAGGAGCTGGCATTTTCTTTTCTTCTTTTTTGAGACAGGGTCTATCAGCCAGGCTGGAGTGCAGTGACATGATCTCAGCTCACTGCAGCCTCGACCTCCCAGACTTAAGCGAGTCTCCCACCGCAGCCTTGCGAGTAGCTAGGACCACAGGCATGCACCACCACGCCTGGCTAATTTTTTGTATTTTTTGTAGAGATGGAGTCTCACCGTGTTGCCCAGGCTGGTCTTGAACTCCTGAGCTCAAGTGATCTGTCTGTCTTGGCCTCCCAAAGTATGGGATTACAGGTGTGAACTACTGTGTCTGGCCAGGGCCCACTTTTTTTTGTTTTGTTTTTTGTTTTGCACTGGAAGAATTTTGAGAGAGAGAGAGCTGGCTGGACTGGAGTCATCTGGCAAGCTTGCTGGAAGCGTTCTCAAATTCACTCCCTTTCCAGCCCCACTGAGACTGCATGAATCCCAGAGGATCCTCCCTTTCTCAGTGACCCCAGAGGTCCCAGGGCAAAGACCCTTTGACACGCAGGATCATAGATTTTCTTGGTCCCATGGCCTCAGGGAAGGCAGATAGCATCCTAGACCAAACACAGCTCAGAGAGAAAAAAAGCTCCTGTAGAACTTAGACGCCCCCAAGTATAATAATTTCCAAAGTCCCCTTGCTCTCTGTTTGCTAGCGTTAACTTCTTCCAACACAACCCTGGAGCCTTAGCAATAAAATGGAAGAGAAATAGTCTTTCTTGACCCTGTTGCTCCCAAACGCACCCTAACTAGACTCCGGTGAACCTAGAGTAAGTCTTAGAAATCCTTAAATCCAAATTATGTACCAGGCAGGGAGAAATGCCACCTTCATCTTTCCTGGGAGAACTTATGGTGAGCAAGACCCAGGAATGGGTTGAGCAGAGTTATTCCAACCTGCCCAGCTGGGAGGGAGCGTGGGAGAATTCACAGATGGCAGGCCACAAGCAGCCACCCCACCCTCGAGGGCTGACACTCAGGCAGTGACTGTGGCGATTAATTACATAGACACAGAGGCCAGACACAGAGGCCAGAGCACTGATTAGACACCTCAGTGCGCCAGGCCTCACGCTGTGTGCATCACACGTGTTATCTCATTTGATCTCACGAGAGATCAAATGGGATGACTCTCACCCACCTTTATTCCCAAGAATGTGAGGCTCAGAGAGGGGATGTCACTGGCCCAGAGGCCTCAGCAAGATTGCAGTGGAGCTGGGACTGGACCCCAGCTTCCTGCCTTAAACTGGGGTGAAGCGGGCGTTAGACCTGCAGATGGGTCAGGGGAGCCCTCTCCTTTCCCTTGGTCAAGGCTTGAGGCCCTGTGCGAGCCCTGGGCTTGGGTTTGAATCACAAGCCCCCACATATCCTACCTGTGTGACCTTTGGCAAGTCTTCTGACCTCTCTGAGCCTCAGTTTTCTCATCTGTAAAGTGGGGATCATAATGCATACCTTGTGGGGGTCACCGTGAGGGTTAAATGAGATGCTGAACCTGGGCACTCCCCTCGGGGCCTGCTCATGGTAAGCGCTTACTAAGTAGCAGCCATGAGGATTGTGTGCCATTGACTCTAGCCTCCGCTTCCCTGTCCAGTCTCATCTGCATGGGCACACCATCAGGCTGAGAAAATCTGGACCCCTGGGAGGTCCCCATTTCACGCAGTCACCCCCTGAAGGGCAGGATTGGGGCTGGATGGTGTCTGAATCCCAGGACTGGCTGGTTCGCTGCTCAGTGAACCTATAAAACCTGACTGATGGTGGGTGGGTGGGCAGCAACTGACCCAGCTCCCCGCTAAGCCAAAGCAAGAGGATTCCTCATCCAGTGCCCTCGGGCAGTTGTACATTTCCAGTGACAGGCGTTACCACTTCCAGTGAACTCAAATAAAGGTCTCAGTTCATTCCACTGTGGCAACCAGACCCTCCCACTCCTTATACCCCAAGATGTGCACAGTGGCCAAGGCAAGCTCAGACAGGTGGAACCCACCCAAGGCCTGGGAAAGTCAGAGGCTGCTGACTCGGCAAGACCATTAGCTGTGAACTTGGCTCCTGCCTGTCTGCTTCCCTAAGCAGGTGGTCCTCACGTTGGTGCTGTCCCTGTCCTTCTCTTTCATCTCTCTCCTTCACAGATGATGAGCAGGTCAAGACCATCTCCATCAACCAGGTGCTCTCCAATAAAGACCTCATCAACTACAATAAGTTTGTGCAGGTACAAGGGCTGTGGTGTACCTGTGGGCTGTGATTTGGGAGTAGGCGGGGCTGGAGGCAAGGATGGGATACAGACATCTGAGGCTAACTGTTCATGAAAGCTCAGGTTAGAACAGGCCCAGACAGAGGGGTCCCAACACCCTCTTTTGACCCAGAAGAAGTGAGGGGAGCGACAGGATGCCTTGGTGCCCCCAAAACACACTGGCAAGGTGTCCCCAACTCTGGCCCTCCCCTGCCCCCAGAGCTGCATCGACTGGAACCGTGAGGTGCTGAAGCGGGAGCTGGGCCTGGCAGAGTGTGACATCATTGACATCCCACAGCTCTTCAAGACCGAGAGGAAAAAAGCAACGGCCTTCTTCCCTGACTTGGTGAGGGCACTACCCATGACTCCTTTGCCAAATCAGGCTGCAAACCTCTAAGCTCGAGAGAGGAAAAATGTCTGGTCACAGTCATATTTAGGATTGTGGTGGCCAGTGGGGGTGGCAGGGAGAATCAGGGGTCCTATGGTGCTCCTCAGAAGGGCTTCTAGCTGGCTGACCACCATGGTCCCTGTGGAATGCTTGCTGGCCAAGCCCTGGCCCAAGGGGCATCAGGGAAGGGGTCCACTTGACATTTGTGGAGTGAATGAATGATTGCATGAGGTCACGTGTGCAAAGCACATGGCATCAGCTGGGAACCCAGATGCTCATTCTGCTCTCTTCCTCCCAGCTTGTGGCTCTTCATCCATCCCACATGTATTTAGGGTGTCCTGTGGCAGATGCAGAGATGATTAAGAATGCCCCCTGCTCTCAAGGGACTTTCAGTCTAATCGGTTGAGAGGGAAACTCTTCCCTTCTCTGAGGACATGTCCCAGTGATCTATTTTGTAGGATAAGGCGATGTGGCAGTTTGGAGGTGAGACAAAGCACTTCCAGCCTAAGAGGTAGAACTGGAGATCCAGGAAGTCTTCATGGAAGAAGTGGCTTTTGACTGAGCCTTGAGGGCTTTGCCTCTGATGCTTGTAAATCTTTTTTTCTTTTTTTCTTTTTTTTTTTTTGAGACGGAGTCTCACTCTGTTGCCCAGGCTGGAGGGCAGTGGCACAATCTCACTCACTGCAACCTCAGCCTCCAGGGTTCAAGCGATTCTCCTGCCTCAGCCTCCTGAGTAGCTGGGATTGTGGGATTGCAGGCGTGCACCACCACGCCCGGCTAATTTCTGTATTTTTAGTAGAGATGGAGTTTTGCCATGTTGGCCAGGCTGGTCTTGAGCTCCTGACCTCCGGTGATCCACCAGCCTCGGCCTCCCAAAGTGCTGGGATTACAGGCGGAAGCCACCGTGCTTGGCCTGCTTCTAAATCTTGAGCTTGCCTTTGAAACACCTGGACAGGTGGGGCCCCACCCCAGCGGTCCTGATTCAGCAGGTCTAAAGCACGGCCCGAGGCACTGCTGCCGCGCTAACAAACACCCAGGTGGTGCTGATGCTGCCTTTTAGAGGAACACAGTTTGAGTAGCACTGCTATAGGTCACCCAGCTCCCCTCTCCACTCCTCCCCACCTCATCCCCTAAAAGAACTCAATTTGCCCATTGTCAGAGCCTTGTGGGGAACCTGTCCACACCACCATTGCTTCATGCCCCGCTTTTTCCTTCCTCTTTTCAGGCAACATTTTGCCCTCCGCTTGCAAAGCCTCTTTTCACTCCCCTTCCTTCCTGTTCGAGGCTATCTTGTAATTATATATGTGCCCCAAGAAGTTTGTGCAATGATTCAGGTTCTTGTGTTCGCAAGAGACAGAGTCCTACTGAAGCCAGCTTCAGCCAGAGGGAGTCTTAATATAAGGACACCAGAAACCTGAGGGCAGGATAGCTGCAGCAGAGCCTGGAACCCTCTCTGTTTCTGTGTCTACATCATTCATTCTCTCTCTTTCTCTCACCCTCTCCACCTCCTACTTCTTCTCCCTCTTCTTCCAGCTTGGCTTCCTTTGCTTCTCTGTTCCTGGGGACAAAGATGAGTATGGCCATGCACAGAGACACTGACACGGGCAGAGACCAACTAGACGCTCCCATTGTCAGTTTCAAATTCCTGGGAGAGGGACTCTGATTGGTCCATCTTGGACCAGCTGTTCTCCCTGGCCCAATCAGTTATGGCCTAGAAGGTTGGGATTCTGCAGCACAAACATGGCAGCTGCCACAATCCACAATTCCAAATTCACATTAGGGCAGTTTCCAGAGCACGTTGCCAGAGTGAGTTCTGCGGATGCTCCCAAAGGCACCTGGCTAACCGGTTCTTCCCAGCCCCTTTAGCCAGTTACCTTCTCATTGCACAGGAAAGGGTGAGTAGCTATTGACAAGGCTGTCTAAAACACAAACCTAGGTCCTGCAGGTAGAGTAGAGGTGTGGGGTGGGAGCCCAGTGATGAAGTGCTGCTTCCCCTTTGGACTGCAGGTGAACATGCTGGTGCTGGGGAAGCACCTGGGCATCCCCAAGCCCTTTGGGCCCATCATCAATGGCTGCTGCTGCCTGGAGGAGAAGGTGCGGTCCCTGCTGGAGCCGCTGGGCCTCCACTGCACCTTCATTGATGACTTCACTCCATACCACATGCTGCATGGGGAGGTGCACTGTGGCACCAATGTGTGCAGAAAGCCCTTCTCTTTCAAGTGGTGGAACATGGTGCCCTGAGACAGCTCCCACCCACCATCCTGTCCCCCTGGGGCGGGCATTGGCCCAGGTGGTGGAGACAGAGACAGGCCCCTGAACGATAAGCACCAAGAGACCCCAAGGCTCCAGATGGAACACTGAGGGTGACCGTCCCTCTCAGAAGCCTTTTCCCTGGAAGTGTCCATGCCTCACCTGCAACCCATGTGGTTCTCAGACTTGAATCTTCTCGGCCCCCCAAAAAGAAGGACCTCATTTCTTATAGCCTCTCCTGTGATTCAACACAACCCATGGAGATGTCCCCTTCTCACTCTGAAATCATCCATTTGGGGACAAATCCACATTGGGGTCTAGAAACATCCACGTATCTCATCAGCCATCTTGTCCTGTGCATCCTAACAGAGGAAGGATCCATGATTCTGCTTTGGTCCAATTGCTTCCTCTCTGCAGAGGAACAACCCTAAAACCAGACCACTCCACGCAGGACAGGCAGGAGAGATTCTTCCTAAAGCCTCCCCCATAAAAAGGGAGCTGTGGATCCACTTAGATCAGGGCGGAACCATCTTTCACCCGGCCAAGCTCCTGCCCAGATGTTGACCCTCACCCAGCGTGAGCTGTCACATAGTAGGAGCTTCTAGATGCATGTGGAAGCAATGAGAGTTGTCCCTTAGCCTTATAAACTCCCCATGATCTGACATGCAGAAATCCAGCCTTGTCCAGAATCCTCCTGGAATTTCTTGGAGACGAAAGTATCTGGGGGATTGTTGGGTACTAGGGAGACTGGGTACAAGGGTGAAAAGTAGTTCCCATAATACACATGGTTGACTATGGTGATCCACCTTGTGATGGTTAATATTAGGTGTCTGGAGAAGGTTGCTTCATTGGCCCTGGGACTTCTCTCTGCAGGAGGAGAGAACGCTGCCTCTCCTCTGGATTGGTCTCAGGCTCTCTGTTGGCCTTTGGTCAGCGTTTCCACATCCTGCTCTGCTGCAGGAGAGGGGGCTAAGGGGCTGGATCCACCAAGGCAGCTCACAGCGGGAAAACTCTGGGAATGAACCACTGAATTCAGGGGATGGGGGTGGGGGGGCGGTTCTCGAGGTGTGTGCCAGCTACACGTGTGTTCTGTATGGGTCCAGCTGCGTTTCCATCACTCGCTAATAAATCAACAGAAACACAAATGGCTTGGCTCTCATGTTGACCCTTCTTTGAGCTTAGAATGAGACAGCAAAGAGAGAGGACTTTCTTGCAGCTGAAGCATTTGCTTTCTTGACCCCCAAGAATTTGGGGCTGACATCCCAAATTTTGATAAGACTGAGATTGCCTTGTCTTGGCCAGAGGATGGGTTAGGACTGCCATGGACACCTGTAATGATATGGACACATAAAAGCAAGCCTGGGGGTAAAATGCCAGGCTACCAGGACAAGTGAGCATGGCAAGGCTAGGGGCCGGGCTGTGGCTGGAGGTTGCACTGTGGAAGGATGGGCAATGGGGAGCATGTGGAGGCCTTTTGTGTGTCCTTAGCAGCATCCTCCTTCCGCCTGCAAGAGGCTGCGGGAAGCCTTACTTCAGAGCACTCGGGCACTGTCCCTCTGCCCTCCACCCTCCCAACCCCTTTATTTTCCCTCAAGGCGCAAAACACAGAAACACACTCAAGCTCACCCCGGGCTGGGTGGCTAGAGCTGTGTAGGTTTCTCCAGTGCTGCCTCCTTGCCGTGGCTTACTTAGGTTCTCTGAACAGATTCCCGGTGTCCCCTCACATACCCATATTTTGACAAAATAAGCTCCCTCCCTCATTTCTCCCAGCAGGGGAAGCTGAGACAGATGAAGACGCTGAGAACATCCTATTTTCTGAAAGGGTTTGGGGAGGGAAATGTGACTCTCTAGAAGGCAAGTGCCTAAAATTCGGAGAACAGGGATGAGTTTCCAACAGGCTTTTCTCACCCCCAAGACTGGCCACAGGGCTCTGGGTGGACCCAGCATAAAGCCCTGGAAACAGAATGCCTCTCAAAGTTGCTCCCTGTGCTCTAGGTTGGTGTGGGTGGGGCAACTGAGCAGTGAAAAACCTAACCCCAAGGCGGACGAGAAGCAAAACACAGTTGAACACGGCATCCACCTGTCCACACAGCAAAGGACAGGGTCAGTGCATTACTTTTTGAAGGCTACTATAACAAATTACCATAAACGAAGTGGCTTAAAACAACACAAATGTATTATCTTATGGTTCTGGAGGTCAGAAGTCTGACATGGTGTCATGCTGGACCTCTACTGACTTCAGTAGTAGCTGGGCATGGTGGTACAGGCCTGTAGTCCTAGCTATTCGGGAGGCTGAGGCAGGAAAATTGCTTGAGACTAGGAGTTTGAGGTTACAGTGAGCAAAGATCACACCACTGCACTCCAACCTGGGTGACAGAGTGAGACCCTGTCTCAAAAAAAAGGATAGGGATGGCACCATGTTTGAGAGACCAAAGAAGAGACCAGGAGCCAGTGACCGAGACATAAGGTTTATTGAGGGGACTCATATACGGGGCAGTGCAGTGGTGGTGGGCTGGACAGGGGAACCACCTCTGCTCGTAAAAAGCATGCAGTTAGCCAGGTGCAGTGGCTCACGCCTGTAATGCCAGCACTTTGGGAGGCCAAGGCGGGTGGATCACAAGGTCAGGAATTCGACACCAGCCTGGCCAAGATGGTGAAACCCCGTCTCTACTAAAAATACAAAAATTATCCAGGCGCAGTGACGGGCACCTGTAATCCCAGCTACCCGGGAGGCTGAGGCAGGAGAATTGCTTGAACCCGGGAGGCAGATGTTGCAGTGAGCCAAGATGATGCCACTGCACTCCAGCCTGGGCAACAGAGCAAGACTCCGTCTCAAAAAAAAAAAAAAAAAAAAAGCATGCAGTTTATATAGCATTTTGACTTAGCACTCTCACCCTAATAACCTCCTCCTGGCAATCTTCATTTCACCCATAACAAAGGGCCTCAATCCCCTGTACAGCCTGCATTCTACGAGATAAGTGGTGGGTCCCAATGTTCCTCATAGATAAGAAATGAATCTCCGGGTTGGCACTTTCCATAGCTGGGAATCCCAAATGCACATTCATCAGAGACTGTAAGGTCATTCTCAGGGTATGCTCCAGTTTAGCTATTGCTGGCGGTGCGTCTGCCACACACATGGGTCTCACTGAGCTAAAGTCAACATCTTGGAAGGGCTGGTTCCTTCTGGGCTCTAGGGAAGAATCCTTTTTCTTGCCTTTGCCAGCTCCTAGAGGCTGCCTACACCCCTTGGCTTCTGGGCTTTTCCTCCATCTTCAAGGCCAGCAGCATAGTAACATTTTTGTATCTTCCTCTGATGGATTCTTCTGCTTCCTTCTTCCACTTGTAAGGACCCTTGCGATGACACTGGGCTCATCTGGATAAGCAAGGCTCACCCACCCTCTCTAGGTCAGCTGATGAGTGAACTTCATTCAATCTGCAACCTTCATTCCCTTTTACTAAGAAGGTCATATACTCACGAGTTCTGCAGACTCGAACGTGGAAATCTTTGGAGGACCATTTTTCTGCTGACTACAAGCAACCAGGCCCTGACTGCCGTTTCTGGCCTCCAAGAGTGAGACCATACCCGGTCCCCTCTGAAATCCACAGAGGCAGCAGCAGAAAGATGCAGTCAATGAACCCTCACTCTGGGACTGGTGTTCAGTTCTGGACCCTCCGCTGGGCTGAGATCTGGGATCCCATGGATGCAGGCTGGGTGGCTCCAAAAAGCACTGGAAGCTGCCTCCATCAGGCCTGGGGTCAGGGGTCACCTCCGCTGGCCACTGCCTTCCCAGACAGCTGCCCATGCCACACTGCCTGGTCCCTTCCGGGGCCTGGCTCTCAGGCCTGGAAAGCCCAGGGAGACTAGGATGAGGCTTGGGTTCTCGTAGGGAAATTTCCCTTCACCCTATTGTGGTTCCCCTAACACAGTGGGCAACCTTGACCAGGCCTGAGGATAAGGGAAGATACCCAACCGACTCACCTACTCCCAGCTGGCTGCCTGAAACCCCTCGGAGTTGGACCATCAGATGCTGAACTCGTACTCTCTAGCTGAGCACATAACTTGGGTGAGCCTCAGTTTCCCCCTCCATAAAATGGGCAAAATAACTGCCGCTTCATAGAGCTTGCATGGGGATGAAGTAGGGTAACTCACAAGATATACTTAGTGTCAATAGCACAGTGCATGGTGCATAGTAAGTGCTCAGTAAATGATGACTGCTGTTACATAACATCCCCCAGCCCTTCCTCAAGCATCTGCTGTGTAGAACACTCCTAATCTCCGCGCTTTAATAGATGACAAAGACCCTTTGAGACCCAGAGGTGAAATGAGGGAGGTAGGGACAGGACAGCTGTCTTGGCTACTCTCAGATCATACCCTGCTTGTCTCAGCTGTGTAGGACTGGCCCAGGTGGAGGCTCCTGCCTGGACAAGAAGCTGACAAGAAAGCCTGTCTTTTTTGTGGGGATTTGCAGCTCTGGGTGGCCCTGACTCATGCTTTATTCAGAATTTGGAATAAGTAGCTGCAGGGCTTCCGCAGGCATTGCCCAACTCTGTGGCCTCCTGCGGCTTCCAGCAGCCCAGGAAGGAGGGCCCTGGGTGAGGATGGCTGGAAAGGAATTCTGGATGGCTGGACAGAGTCCATGGGACCTATCACTTCCTACAAAGTCACTGTCATCCCAAGTCCCCTCCAGCATAATGACGGCAAGTGCAAGCATTGTGCCAGCAGGTACTGAATGCTTCCTGAGCACCATCTGATATAGCCCTCACAGCATGCCAGCAGGCAGCTATTACTATTGTTCTCACTTTATAGACAGGGAAACTGAGGCACAGCCACATGAAAGCGCTTGCCCTGGTCACAGAGCTATTAAGTGGGGGAAACAAATTTGAGCCTAGACACGTGACCTCTGTACCCAGTCACACCAGTGGTTCTCAACCCATCTACACATTAGAATCACCTGGAAGGCTCTCATGAAAACCTAGCAGGGCCAGGCCCCCACCATCAGAGATTCTGTCTGGACATTGGGATGTTACACAAAGCAACTCGGTGACTCAGGTGTGTAGCCAGGACACAGCAACACTTTGGAAGGCCAGGCGGGCAGACCACCTGAGGTCAGGAGTTCAAGACCAGCCTGGCCAACATGCTGAAACCCCGTCTTTACTAAAAATACAAAAATTTGGCTGGGCGTGGTGGCTCACGCCTGTAATCCCAGCACTTTGGGAGGCCGAGGTGGGCGGATCACGAGATCAGGAGATCAACACCATCCTGGCTAACATGGTGAAACCCCATCTCTACTAAAAATACAAAAAATTAGCTGGGCGTGGTTGCACGTGCCTGTGGTCCCAGCTACTCTGGAGGCTGAGGCAGGAGAATTGCTTGAACCTGGGAGGCAGAGGTTGCAGTGAGCTGAGATCGTGCCACTGCACTCCAGCCTGGTGATGAAGCGAGATTCCGTCTCAAAAAAAAAAATTAGCTGGGTGTGGTGGCTCGCACCTGTAATCCCAGCTAGTTGGGAGACTGAAGCAGGAGAATCTCTTGAACCAGGGAGGCAGAGGTTGCAGTGAGCCGAGATCGCACCACTGTACTCCAGCTTGGGTGAGACAGAGCAAGATTCCATCTCAAAATAATAATAATAAAGAAAGCTCTGCATGGGGAAAAGCTTAGCATGAAATTTTGGGGTGAGGGATGGGAGCAGGGAGACAAGTCAGAAGGTGGCAGCTAGTTCAGCCGAAGAGAAGCCACCACATTCAATTCACTCTTTGTGGGGAAACCGGAAGGGATGGGCTTACTGGACAGGACGTGGGGAACAGGGAAAAGGCAGGGACAAGAGTCCCTCCCAGAGTTTGAGATTTATTTACTCATTGATTTATTATGAAGTAAATCATTAATACAAGACAAGTTTTTTATAATGTTTCTGAATGACTAAAAGAATAATTATGGAATGAAAACCTGTATACTCTGGCTGGGCGTGGTGGCTCACACCTGTAATCCCAGCACTTTGGGAGGCCAAGGCGGGTGGATCACAAGGTCAGGAGATCGAGATCATCCTGGCTAACGCGGTGAAATCCCATTTCTACTAAAAACACAAAAAATTAGTCGGGCGTGGTGGCTCATGCCTGTAGTCCCAGCTACTCAGGAGGCTGAGGCAGGAGAATGGTGTGAACCCAGGAGGCGGAGCTTGCAGCGAGCTGAGATCGCGCCACTGCACTCCAGCCTGGGTGACAGAGTGAGACTCCATCTCAAAAAAGAAAAAGAAAAAGAAAACGTGTGTACTCAGCATCTTCTCTTTAAGAAAGGGAACATTCCAAACTCCTCTGCAACCCTATGGGGGACACTTCCCACTCCCCCCATACCCAGGATTCGCGCTCATCTGAAATTTGCGTTTATCATTCCTTCGCTCCTCTTTATAATTTCCCCATGTGAGTATCCCTGAACTGCATACTGTTTAGTTTTGCCTGTTAGAAATTTTTTCACAGGGCCATGTTAATGGTGGTGTTCTGTGACTCTCTTCTTTCATTCAGCACCGTATTGGTGAGTTTCATTCACGTTGTATGTCACCATAATTCATTCCTTCTTATTGCTACAAAGCATTCCATTTTATGAATGGAATTTATTATATTATTATTTTGAGACAAGGTCTGGGTCTGTCACCTAGGCTGGAGTGCAGTGGCACGATCTCAACTCACTACAACCTCCGCCTCCTGAGCTTAAGTCATCCCCCTACCTCAGCTTCCCGAGTAGCTGGGATTAGAGGCGTGCACCACCACACATGACTAATTTTTGTATTTTTTGTGGAGATGGGGTTTCACTATGTTGCCCAAGCTGGTCTCGAACTCCTGAGCTCAAGCAATCCACCTGCCTTGGCCTCCCAAAGTGCTGGGATTACAGGTGTGAGCCACTGCCTGGCCAGATGAATGGAATTTATTATATACAATTTATTCATACTCTTTTGTCAACAGACACTTGGGTCGTTTCCATTTTTTTTTTTTTTTTTTTTTTTTTTTTTGCTGTAACAGTCAATGCTGCTGTCAACATTCTTAGGGATGTTCCTGGTGTGCACATTCACAAGTCTCTCTAGAATATATATCTAGATGCTTTCTGGCTTCATGAACAAGGAGAATGGTGGTGCCATGGAGAAAAAAGGCAAAGGATCAGTCTGGAGGAAACACTCAGGTAGGCTAGCTGCTCTAACAAATAGACTAAAACATGTATAATGGCTCAGCCACAGTATATGTTTATTTCTTGCTCGTATTGACACTTTAAGGTTGGTCAGGTCTGAATGGTAAGTATGCATGTGTGTCAGGGTGGGGTGGGGGATCTCTGCTCCGCACAGGCACTCAGGGACCCAGGCTAATAGAGGCTCTGCTGTTTTCCAAATGTGACTTCCCAGATCACCCTGGATGTTGACTTCAAGCCAGCAGAAAGGAGAAGAGAGAAGACGGAGAAAGCAAACCTGCTTCTTAATCACCTCGGGCCAGAAGAGACACAGGTGCCTTCCACTTACAGTCCATCAGCAAGAACAACTCAGTGGCCGTATCTGGATGCAAGGGGCTCTGGGTAACGTGGTCCTCGGCTGGGCAGCCGCCTCCCAGAGTCAAATCCATGCCGTAGAAGAGGAAGAAGGAGTTCTTTGCTGACTCAGAAGAGAAAAAGAATGGGCCAGGGAAAAAAAAATCTCTCCCCAAGGGAGGCATCCCAGGTCTGAGCCTTCAGTTTGTAGCTCCAGTTTGATTGCTGCTCACTTTGTGGTATCTTATCCTTAGGGATTGAGAGTCAGCCTTCCTCTCCTAGCTGTGGCCATACTGAGCTGGGCTTAGCCCCTGTAGGTTCCTCTCTGCCTGCCCTCTCATCCCACTCCCAGCGCATTCATCCTGCAGTCCTGTGTCTCAACCGCTTATCAACAGCCACAGCGAGTAGTTTCCTGGAGAGACATGAATGAGTCAGTATAAGCAGAAAAAAAGGGCCCATCAAGGGTGACTGATGAAGCTGTTTGGAGAAATGTCTCTTTCCATATTTCCCGCTTCCCTGTCAGTGGTGATGAAGCAATGGAGATGCCAATGTGGAAGCAGGGTGAGGCTGATTGCCAGCCTGTACCTGCCCAATGCCCACAAATAAGAGCTTCGCAGATGGGAGGTGGAACCAGGAGCCAACTCTCGAGTACACTCCTATTAATTCATTAGATGTTTATTGAGCACGTAGTGTTTCCCCAGACAGTAAGTGGCAATGGCTGCAGCATAGTTGAAAGCATGGATTCTGAGGCCAGACTACCAGGGTGTGCTTCTTGGCTTTGCCACTTGTCAGCTGTGTGACGTTAGGGAGGTTACTTAACCTCTCTGAACTTTGCTTTCCTTGTCGGTAAGATGGGGCTAGTAATGGTACCTATCTCAGGGAGCCACTGTGAACAGCGTTAAGAGGTGGTCCAGGGAGGAGCTCAGCCTCATGTCTGGCAGTCAACAAACAGCAGGTATCTGTCAGGGAAGGACATAACTTGAAGCAGCTTGCCCAGGTAAACGAAAAAGACAGGTGTGCTTGGCTCTGAAGGCTCGGTTTTTCTGCACTGCCACCCAAGGAGTCTCTTACCCACTTTTTCCTGGTAAGAAATATGTTTTTAGAAAGTTACAACTGGACACTTAGAAAGTCTGGCTGTAGTCCGGGTGTGGTGGCTCATGCCTGTAATCCCAGCACTTTGGGAGGTCAAGGCAGGCAGATCATGACGTCAAGAGATCCACACCATCCTGGCCGACATGGTGAAACCCCATCTCTACTAAAAACACAAAAATTGGCTGATAGTGGTGGCGGGCACCTGTAGTCCCAGCTACTCGGAAGGCTGAGGCAAGAAAATCGCTTGAACCTGGGAGGCGGAGGTTGCAGTGAGCCGAGGTCGTGCCACTGCACTCCAGCCTGGGCGACAGAGTGAGACTCCATCTAAAAAAACAAAACCAAACAAAAGCCTGGCTACAGCAAAGCTTTGATAACAAAGCAGGTACGTGTATCCCCCATTTGCCCACCATGATGGGCCAGTGGCCACTCCCCCAGGACTCACAGATGAGTCAAAGCAGTGGGCAAGTTTTTTCGAGGCTTCGGGCAAGAAAAGGGCTGGGATCCCTCTTCCCCCAAGTGCTTCCCCCCAGTTCTGGGCCCCACGCCTGGGTCTCCTGGTTCACAGCATTTTATTGTTATGTTGGTGGTGAGGATTTGAGATGGTTCCTGATAGGATGTCAGGGGGCAAGGGTCTCCTTCCGAGTTCCTGGAAAGGAATGCACACTCAGAAACCCAGGCTGAACGTTGCCGGTGTGGGTGCTCGGTGGATGTGTCTGTCCTGGACCAGCAGATGGAAACTAACTACCGCTCAGCTGGCTCTCTGAAGCAATGCTGTCTTTCAAGAGCTGGAAGCCAGCACCAAAGCTAGCTCCATAGTTTCTTTTTTGAACTCTTCTTGGGTCTTTAAATAAGTCTTGGCATTCTGAGAAACTGCATCTCAATGCCAATTATCTTAACTCAAAACATCTCAATCACAGAAATTATAGCTGCCTTGGGCAGTTTCCAGTGCTCCAGCAAGCAGGGACCTGAGCAGGGCTGGGCAGGGCATCATTCAGAAGTGTTTATGTGACTAACGCTCCCCAGGAGTCTACTGGACAGCTCAATCAGCACATTTACTTACTGGTGTTTTTTTTTTTTTTTAATTCCTTTGCCAAATTCCTCTAGGGATTTGAGGCAACATATATTAAGAGTACATTCAACAAACTGATGATTTAAAAAAATTTTTTACATTAAGACACCAAGGCCAGACACGGTGGCTCATGCCTGTAAGCCCAGCACCTTGGGAGGCTAAGGCAGGTGGATCAGTTAAGGTCAGGAGTTTGAGACGGGCCTGGCAAACATGGTGAAACCCCATTCTACTAAAAATACAAAAATTAGCCGGGTGTGGTGGCGGGCGCCTGTAATCCCAGCTATTCAGGAGGCTGAGGCAGGAGAATCGCTTAAACCCAGGATAGGTTATCTTGAAATAATAATAATAATAATAATACACCAAAACAGAAAAAAAAATCCAGAAAATAAAACCCATGGAAAAGGACAAACAAATATATGACCATGAGAACCAAACTATCATTAGGATTGGAGCTTCCCAGTAGCCCTTGCAAGAAGGGAACCAGAGTCAACCACCTAATTCTCATTATCAGAAGGAAGGCAGCATGCCAAAATGATTCCCGTCATACATGGACCTTTATAAAGGGACGTGGAGTGGTCAGTGTGCTCAACCACCTTGCAAGAGCAAATTCTACATTTGCTCTTAGCCAAAAGGCCAAGAAGCAGTTGCAAGACCAAATTTAATGGGAGATTTCCTATGGTTGAGCCTCCATTTGCTCATCTGTAAAATGGGAATAATGCTTACCTTCACGGGTTGTTTGAGGACTACAGCAGTACCTGGCAGACAGCAAGAACCTAACAAGTGTTTATTTCTTCATTTTCTATCCCCAGCAAGCTTAGGGCCTTCTTCATCCTCTCCAGGGTAGCTACTTAATCCTCACACCTATTTTACATGGGCACAATTTTCCCTACTATGTGTCCAGCTCAGCAGCAGATTCTGGGGATACAGCAGTGGGTGAGCAGATATGGAATCTGCCTTTAGGAAGCTCATAGGTTAGTAGAGAAGCAGGGCAAACGGAGAGTAGCAACAATGTATGGTAAGTACAATTGTAAAGCCATAATAATAACTGTAAGAGCTTCTGTTTTGTAGCACGTAACCTGAGTTTGCTAGCTGTGCTTGACAAGAACAGAATGAGAAAGAAAACCTACGAACATAACAATAAACCCATAAATGCAAAAATTCTAAACAAAACTATTAGCAAACTCAATTCAAAAATGATACAATATCAGATTATACAATATCAGATCAGAATAAATTGATCCCAGGAATGCATGTTTCATCTTAGAAAATCAATTCAACAGGTTAATAGATCAAAGAAAAAATTTACATGATCATCTCAATAAATCAGAAAAAAGTTAATAAAATCATCATTTATGATTTTTAAGCAAAACTTAAGAATAAAAAGAAACTTCTTTAACCCCATAAAGAATAGCTATAGGCTGGGTGTGGTAGCTCACTCCTGTAATCCCAGCAATTTGGGAGGCTGAGGTGGGTGGATCGTTTGAGGTCAGGAGTTTAAGACCAGCCTGGGCAACATGGTGAAACCTTGTCTCTACTAAAAATACAAAAATCAGTGGGGCATGATGGCACGTGCCTGCAATCCCAGCTACTCAGGAGGCTGAGACAGGAGGATTGCTTGAACTCAAGAGGCGGAGGTTGCAGTGAGCCAAGATCACGCCACTGCACTGCAGCCTGGGTGACAGAGCAAGATTCTGTCTCAGAAAAAAAAAGGTACAATAGTGATTCTCAAAGTGTGGTCCCCAGACCAGCATTAGCATTATCAGCATTACCAGGGAGCGTGTCCAAAATGGAAGTCCTCAGGCCCACCCACACCTTCTGAATCAGAAACTCTGGAGGCTGGGGGAGCAGCAGTCTGTGTTTCAATAAGCCCTTCAGGTAATTCTAGTGCCACTGAAGTTTGAGAACTACTGATCTATAAGAAACTCACATCAAAAATTATTCTTAATGATAAAGTATTGAAACCATTCCTTCTAGGATCAGAATAAGAATACCCATTATCATAACTGTTAATCAGCATTGAACAGAAGGTTCTTGCCATTGAGGTATAAGATTAGAAAGGAATTATTATATATACAGAAAATCCAAAAGAATCTACAAAGTAAAAGAATTCATAAGAGGGTTTAGCGAGGCTGTCACTATAAAACCAATATACAAAAATCAATTGTATTTTTTTTTCTTGTGGGACAGGGTCTTGCTCTGTCACCTAGGCTGGAATGTAATGGCTCAGTCACAATGTACTGTAGCCTCGACCTCCTGGGCTCGAGTGATTCCCCCACCTAAGTCTCCCAAGTAGCTGGGACTACAGGTGTGTGCCACCATGCCTGGCTATTTTTTTTTTTTTTTTTTTTTTTTTTGTAGAGACAGGATATCGCATGTTGCCCCAGCTGATTGCAAACTCCTGGCCTCAAGCAATCCTCCCGCCTTGGTCTCCCAGAGTGCTGGGATTACAGGTATGAGTCACCACACCTGGCCCAACTACATTTCTATATACTAAAAAGAAATAGAAAATGGCAAATTTGAAATGTGCCATTTATAAGAGCATCAAAAAGTAAAAAACAAAGCATATCTAACAAAAGATGTGCAAAAACCTTATGGAGCATACTATACAACTGTATTGAAAAAACATTAGAGGAGATCTAATTAATGGAGAGATACGCCATATTCATAGATTGAAAGGCTCAATATTAAAAAGATTTCAGTTCTCTGCAAGACCTATGAATCAGTGTAAATCCAGTCAGAATCTCCACAGGGTGCGTGTATGTGTGTGTGCACATGTGAGAGCATGCACTTGAGAGGGGAGGGGAGGGGAGGGAAATGTGGGAGGGGAGGGGAGGGAGGGGAATGGGGAAGGGGAGGGAAGGGAAGGGAAGGGAAGGACATTTATAAGGTGATTCTAAAATTTATATAGAAGTGCAAAGAGCCAAGAATAGCTAAGTCACCCTTGAAGATGAAAGATAAGAGAACTTGCTCTACCAGATATCAAGACTTATTATAAAGCCACAGTAATTAAGACAATATAGAACTTATGCAGAGACAAATAGACCAACTACACAAAACAGAAGGCAAGACATTTTATTATTGAATGATAGAAGTTATTTATTAATCCTATATACTGATCATTCGTCGTTTGCATGTGTTACAAACATATTTTCTCCCAGTTTGTGGTTTATATTTCTACTCTGTTAACCACAGTTATTTCTACTCTTTTAAAAACCAGAAGCTCTTACTTTTAATATATTAATTATATTACATATATTTAATATATTAAAATAGTTACATTTATCATTCTTTCCTTTTTATCATTTTGTTCTTTGTGAACCAGTATCTAAGATGTACAAATAACTCCTACCATTCAATAAACATAAGAAAAAGAAGTAGATAAACAATCCAACAGAAAAGGTATTCAACCTAATTAGTTATCGGGGAAATTCAAATTAAAACCTCAGTGGTATACTATTACATGCTCACCACTTAGGAAAAAAATAAATATACAAAATAGAACCGGGAGCAAGGATGTGGAAGAGCTAGACCCCTCACAATTGCTGATGGGAAGGAAATTGGCATTAGCCCTGAAAAACAGTTTGTGCTATTCAGTGAAGTTGAAAATGCCTATACCCAATGCTAGAAATTCGACTCCTAGGTAATACCTAGAGAAACCCTTGCAGTTCTGCCCCAGGAGACATGAATATCCATAGCAACATTGGTCATGTTATCCAAAAACTAGAAACAGTGCCCATCACCAGTAGAACAAATAACTAAATTGTTGTCTATTCATACAATGGAATATTAGAGAGTGATGAACAATTTATGACTCACACATCTGTGGCTGACCGCCACTGCTACTGCTTGAGACCATCACTACAGCAGCTACTACTGTTACTGCTTGAGACCGTCATTACGAGACTGAACGAAGGGATGAACGTAGAAATGAAAACCTAAGACAAAAGAAACTATTATAAAGGAAGGGGAACCAGGGAAGAAGAAGAGAGCTCCCTGCTTCTCGTGAGCAAAGGCAATCCCCGAGCTTCCACAGCCCTTCTCATTTATTGGGTAGAAAGAGCAGGGAGGAGGAGGCAACGACTGGTCAGCTGCTTAATTGATCACAGGTTCACATCATTACTAGCAGGCTTCAATTACACCTAATCACAGGAAACACTTGTGCCTGGGTTGTGACCGCCCTTGGCGGTCCTTCTGGGTGACAGACGCAGTTTGTCAGTTTGCCAGCATCCTGCTTTCATGAGCACAGCTTGCTCTTTACTCACACAGCCTCCAGTGGTATACTGAGTTGATCATGACCCTCACTCCTTTGGCCTCCAACATACATCAACATGGATAAATTTCACAAACACAATGGTGAGCGAAAGAAGCAAGTCACAAAGGAATAAAGTGTGCTTTCGTTCACATAAAGACAAAAACAGGCAAAACTAAACAGTAACCACTGCACTTGACCCTTAATCTCAGCGCTTTGGGAGGCCAACGTGGGAGGATCACTTGAAGCCGGGAGTTTGAGGCCAGAGTGGGCAACATAGTGGGACCCTGTCTCTACAAAGAATAAAATAAAATAAATTAGCGATCATGATGGTGTGTGCCTGTACTCCCAGCTACTCAGGAGGCTGAGTTGGGAGGATGAGTCCAGGAGTGCAAGGCTGGAGTGAGCTGTGATTGCACTACTACTGCCCTCCAGCCTGGGCGACAGAGCAAGACCCTGTCTCTAAAACAACAACAACAACAATAAAGTACAAACCATAAATGCAAGGGAATGATGATCACAAAAGTTCGCGTAACTGTTAGTCCTGGGGGCGGGGGGATGTAGTCAGGGAGATGTCCCCAAAGGTGGCTCACGCCTGTAATCCCAGCACTTTGGGAGGCCCAGGCGGGCGGATCACGAGGTCAGGAGATCGAGACCATCCTGGCTAACACGGTGAAATCCCATCTCTACTAAGAAATACAAAAAAATTAGCCGGGTGTGGTGGTGGGAGCCTGTAGTCCCAGCTACGCAGGAGGCTGAGGCAGAAGAATGGTGTGAACCTGGGAGGCAGAGCTTGCAGTGAGCCGAGATCGTGCCACTGCACTCCAGCCTGGGCGATAGAGCAAGACTCCGTCTCAAAAAAAAAAAAAAAAAAAAAAGAGTACTAAAGACTTTCTATTTCTTAACCTGGGTGGTGTTTACACGGTATTTAGTATTATCCCATATATGCACGTATGTTTACACACTCCTCCAGATGTGTATTTTGCAATTTTAAAAGATGCACACTTTTAAAAGATACAAAGGCAATCATGAATGCATATGTATGTGAATTAATCCAGTTACTCCACACTGTTCACACTGACAGGACAAAGAGGAGGTCTGGCCTCCAGTGGGCAGATTGCAGAGGACTGAGCAACCCACGGTGGGGGCGCTGCGGGTGGGTTGGCAGGGGGCCAGCTGCTGGAAGCTTGGGGAAGAGCAGGTTGTTGCACAGTGGGGACCACACCAGGATGCCATCACTGAGCCGCCTCTCTCTGGAAAAGTCCCTGGGCACATGTGGGTGGGTGGCAGCTGTGTCAATGAAGTCTTGCCCATTTCCCAGGGAGCACAGGTGCATGGGCATGGGGGAAAGAGGAAGGACCAGTCACCAGAGGAAGATTCAAGCCAAGAATCTTAAACTTGGGTCCCCAGGTGGGGTCCAGGGGTCCATAAATCCATCCAACTGTACACAGAAAATTCCATGTGCATGTTTCAGGCGATTGTGTTCCCAGCTGTCTTCTGCTTCTTGAAGGAGTGTTAAGCCTCCCCTAGCCTGTAGAAGATGCCATGTGTGCCCACCCACTCCTCCTACAATCCCTCCTTCAGCTCAAAGAGACCCGGCCTCCAAGTGCCGGCACCTGTACTGTTTGCCTGAGGCCTTCTCTGACCACCAGAGCCTGCTGACCAAATGGCCAGGGAACTAATACCACCCAGAGCAGCCCTCAGCAAATGACAAAAGGAAGTGGGAGTATAAATGCCCCAGTTCCCTTGCTCCTTGGGCTAACTCTGAGGCATGGGCTTCACACTACTTTCTAGCACTCCTCAGGGGGGTGATCTTCAGTTACTCACAGGTGGTAACTAGGTCATTCACAGACCCTTTACTCGCTTCTTTCCTTCCCTGACTCACTTTCCCACTGTCTACCAGTGTATCCTGCACCTCCCAAATAAACCTCTTGCACACAAATCCTTGTCTCAGAGTTGCCTTCTGGGGTTGCCCAAACTAAGAAATTCCCAGAAGATGAAGAACGCTAACCGAAGTCAGAAGAGGAAGTCCCTGCCTTCGTTCTGCATCCACTTGCCTGTAGCTTTAGGAAAGTTACAGCTTCTACCCGAGCCTCATTTTCCCCACATGCAAGAAAAGAAAAGCTAAGGGCATCTTGATTGCTTCCTTTAAATGTTCAAAAGACTAAATGACCCCATAGGATTAGGAACCCTGCCTTAAACTATGTGTTTGGTGCTGGTTAATTTTTTTGTGTCAACTTGGCCAGGCCACCAGTTCCCAGATATTTGGTCAAACACCCGTCTGGATGTTGCTGTGAAGGTGTGTTTTAGTTGAGATTTACATTTAAATCAATAGACTTCTAGTAAAGCAGATGACTTCCGTATTGTGGTGGGCCTCATCCAACTGGCTGAAAGCCTCCAGAGAAAAAAGACTGACACCCCCGCAAGGAAGAGGGAGTTGGAGTTCTACGCCTGTTGTCTTGAGCTGCAGTATCAGCTCTTCCCTGGTCTCCAGCCTGCTGGCCTACTTAACAGATTTTGGATTTGCCAGCCTCCACAATCATGTGAGCTGAGCCAATTCCTTGAATTCTGTCTCTCCCTCACTCCATATATATGAACATATATAGATGTAGATATCTATCTATCTATCTATCTATCTATCTATCTATCTATCTATCTATCTATCTGTACATCTATATGTTCTATTGGTTCTGTTTCTGTGTGTCCCTGATGCCTAGGACAGAGGGGTGCTCAGCAGAGGGGTGCTCAGCAGGTGTCTGTTGAATGAATCTAAATCAGAAGATCAGAGGGTCTGGGATCTTTTATCTCCCCCTGTATTTGGCCAGCAAAACCTTGTGGTTAACGCTTTGCAATCAGCTAAATCTGGGTTCAAGTCCTGATTTATTTTACTAACAGTTGTGTGATCTTGGTTGAGTCATTCCACTTCTCTGAGCCTATTTCCTTGCCTACAAAATGGGGTCAATAATGCCTTCCTCATGGGGTTGAGATAAGAATTATGTGAGGCCAGGTGCGGTGGCTCATGCCTGTAATCCCAGCACTCTGGGAGGCCAAGGCGGGCGGATCACCTGAGGTCAGGAGTTCGAGACCAGCTGGCCAACATGATGAAACCCCATCTTTACTAAAAATACAAAAGTTAGCCAGGTGTGGTGGCACGTGCCTGTAATCCTAGCTACCCAGGAGGCTGAGGCAGAAGAATCGCTGGAACCCAGGAGGCGGAGGCTGCAGTGAGCCGAGATCGTGCCACTGCACTCCAGCTTGGGTGACAGAGCGAGACTCCGTCTCTTAAAAAAGAAAAAGTAATTACGTGAGGTGGTACATGTCAGCAGCTCAGCCTGGAGCCTGCAGAGGGCTCAGCACACCATAGTCAATGTCACTGGCTGGGAACACGAACATCAGGACCTACCATTCTCTGCACGAAGGTACCTGAGGAAATATTATTTGGGGGCAGCATATTTGAAATCAGAACATTCCAGAAAAATTGAGGCCTGAATTTCTTGAGACCTGGAAAGAGGCCCTGACACATGAGCGTTGAAGAAATTGAATGGAGGTGGGGTGCACAAATAGTATGTTACAGCCATTTGAGGCCCTGATTAGTGAAAAATAGGATGAGAGCACTGAAGTAAGAGGAGATATAGCATCCCCATGCCTAACTCTTCTCCATCATGGCTTCTGGGCCCCGGAGTATAGGGCCAAAAGACACGTTCATTCTAAACCCACAGGCAGCTGAAGACGCCTGGGCAACCCTGCTTAGCAAGAAGGAAAGCTTGGGGAAGTCCAAGGCACCTGGGAAGAGAAGAACCAACCACCAACCGAACAGGCAGCTCTGCCAACACCCTTGGGACAGCATGATCCAGCCCCGCCTCATGACTTCTGCTGGGTGTGAATCACGGAACAAATAAATTTTGGAAAAGAGAATCACTCAAGCCTGACAGAGGAGAATGTGAGGTGTCAGAGTTATTTTAAACCAACCTGAGGTACAAGTTTTATGGCAGTGTTACATGAACATAGCTCCAGGTTCAACCTTCAATTTGCGGTTGGAAGGACGCAATCACAGTCCTAACCAGAAAAAGTAAAGTGATGAATCTGTGAGGTTGCAAACTGCCTGCAGCGCTCCAGTTTCCCGGCTTTGGCACTAACCGTCTCCCACTTCTAGCCCCTCACCTCTACCCCAGCCCTGCCAACATCTCTCCTGACCAATATTGCTCTAACATAATAACAAGAACAATTACAACGTCAACAACTTGATGACAAATACCGGGAACATTTGTTAATCTCATTAGGCACTAAATGAACATAAAATGCCACCATCAAAATAGCAGAAACAGAAACAAAAAAGAAAGTTTCTGGACAGGCCAGGGTGAAGTGAACAGCCTCGTGTGTTAAATACAGAGGTGGGTTTTGATATCATCCTTTGGAAAACAGTTTCAAATATCAGGAGTTCAATCTCTAGGAAAATAAACAAAGAAGTAACTCTAATCAGACACAAATCTTTATTAGGGATTCATAATAGCAAAAAATCAGAATCAAGCTGGTCAAAATGTTAGAAACCTATGGGAATGAGTAGGATGCTCATATATTGCTCCATTTGATGCAATATATGAAACCTCTGAGGTCTTTATGGTAATGCGACAGATACCTTTCATGTTAAGTGAAAAAATATGGCTACAGAAGAAAATGATCCATGAAATGACAAAGAGCTAAACAAGAAAGTAGAAGTGGTCTAAGTGACGGTGGTTGTAGTAATCATTACCTATGGAACAATTTCCATAGGTAATTAGGAATGATTTGCTTAAATTAGGCATGATTTGCTTTGACTGCATCTTTTAAGTTTTTAAAGTATGGAAAAAGAGGGAAGATCAGGTGTGGTGGCTCATGCCTGTAATCCCAGCACTTTGGGAGGCCCAAGCAAGCAGATCACTTGAGGTTAGGATTTCGAGACCATCCTGGCCAACATAGTGAAACCCCATCTCTACTAAAAATACAAAAATTAGACAGGTGTGGAGGTGGAGGTTGCAGTGAGCCGAGATCTCACCATTGCACTCCAGCCAGGGCGACAGTGTGAGACCCCATCTCAAAAAACAACAACAACAACAAAAACAAACAAACAAACAAAAAACAGTAGCCAAGACATGGAAATAACCTAAGTGTCCATCAACAGATGATTGGATAAAGAAAATGTGATACACACACACACGACACACACACACACAGAGGAATATTATTCAACCTTTGAAAACAGGAGAAAACCCTGCCATTTGAGACAACATGGATGAACCTGGAAGGACATTATCCAGGTGAAATAAACTAGGCACATAAAAACAAATGCTGCATATTCTCACTTATAACTGGCATCTTTAAAAAGTTGAACTCACAGCAACAGAGACAAGAATGGTGGTTACCGGGGATGGGGGTAGGAGAAGATGGGAGATGTTGGTCAAAAGGTAAAACTGTCCATTGCAAGATGAATAAATTCTGGAAAGCTAATGTACAGCATGGTGACTATGGTTAATAATAATATATCTTATACTTGAAATTTGTTAAGAGATTAGATCTCAGGTGTTCACATACACACACACTCACACACATAACTGTGTGAGGTGATGGATATGTCAGCTCGATTGTAATAACTGTGTGTGTATAACAAAACATACACTTTTTTTTATTTATTCATTTTTTCTGAGGTGGAGTCTCACTCTGTCTCCCAGGCTGGAGTGCAGTGGTGTGATCTCTGCTCACTGCAACCTCTGCTTCCCAGGTTCCAGCAATTCTCCTGCCTCAGCCTCCCGAGTAGCTGGGATTACAAGTGCGTGCCACCACACTGGGCTAATTTTTGTATTTTTAGTAGAGATGGGGTTTCACTATGTTGGCTAGGCTGGTCTCAAACTCCTGATCTCAGTTGATCCACCCACTTCAGCCTCCCAAAGTGCTGAGACTACAGGTATGAGCCACCTTGCACGGCCTCATACTCTTTAAATGTATATAATTTTTATTTGTCAATGATACCTCAAGAAAGCTGGAAAAAATAAATCAGTATTGCTACTATTAATAATAGTTTTGAAACAGTAATTGGAAAAAGTTAAAACAAAAACTATATAAAAGGCTGGGCGTGGTGGCTTGCACCTGTAATCCCAACACTTTGGGAGGCCAAGGTGGGTGGATCACCTTAGGTCAGGAGTTCGAGACCAGCCTGGCCGACGTGGTAAAGCCCCATCTCTACTAAAAATACAAAAATTAGCCAGGCGTGGTGATGGGTGCCTGTAATCCCAGCTACTTGGGAGGCTGAGGCAGTAGAATAGCTTGAACCCAAGAGGCAGAGGTTGCAGTGAGCCGAGATCATGCCACTGCACTCCAGCCTGGGCGACAGAGCAAGACTCCGTCTCCAAAAAAATAAATAAATAAATAAAAAACCTGTAAGATATGAAATCTAAAATTCTGTTAAAAATGGGAGGAAATAAAATTGTGTGCTGGAAATGACTATCTGATTGAAACCAGGTGATATTTTTATTTTGTATTTCCTTCAACTCATATCCCCCTCCACCACCATTTTTCTTATCATCCATTTATAGTAAGGAGGGGGAAATGGTTTCTAAACTTTTTAAAAGGAAACTATGGAACTCACTAATTCTACCATGCAAAATATGAGGTCTCCTTTGTGGAGTTTCCATCACCAGAAAGCAAAGTTCCAAAACTGGTGGCATTTTGAGTCTCCTCCAGTGGGTAGGGTAAGAACTTTGAACATTGTCAGGGAGAGGTGTCTTCTTCAAACTCCCAAATAATGAGCTGGTTGTTTCCCCCCAAAATAGAAGAAATTTATCTTTTAACTTAGTCTCTGCCAAGCTGGGGAAGCCTCCTTTCCCCAGGGAGGAAAGCAGATTCTGAGCCTATTCTCCACTGGCTGGGCCAGATACCAGTTGTCACCAGCACCAAGAAAGCCTCTCTCACATGGTTGCTATGGGCCCTTCACATCCAACTGTCCAGTGGTGGAGGAAAAGTCTTGGACATTGAGCCAGCTTGGGTCTAAATTCCTATTAAAATCCCTGGCGGCCAACATGGTGAAACCCCGTCTCTACTAAAAATACAAAAATTAGCCATGCATGGTGGCAGGTGTCTATAGTCCCAGCTACTTGGGAGGCTAAGGCAGGAGAATCGCTTGAACCCGGGAGGTGGAGGTTGCAGTGAGCCGAGATCGTGCCATTGCAATCCAGCCTGGGCAACAAGAGTGAAACTCCGTCTCAAAAAAAAAAAAAAAAAAAAAATTAGCTGGGCGTGGTGGCAAGTGCCTGTAATCCCAGCTACTCAGGAGGCTGAGGCAGGAGAATTGCTTGAACCCGGGAGGCAGAGGTTGCAGTGAGCCGAGACCATGCCACTGCACTCCAGCCTGGGAGTGCCCCCCCAAAAAAGGGAAGGGGGGCATGTTTGGAGAAAAGCTGTGTGTTGGGAGAGAAGCTGAGGCAGGGCTTGCATGTCTGCTAGACTTGCTGGCTGCTTGCTTCTAGCACTCCCGTTATCTCAAGCAGCCATATGTTTTTCATTCACTTGATACACTGTTTCCTTTCAACCCCCACATCCTCACCACCTGTTTGTTTGCAGCCTCACCACCTGTTAGTTTGTTTGAGCACCAATAAACAGTGTGGGCTCCCAGAGCTCAGGGCCTTCTCAGTCTTCACACTCGCAATGGCCCCCTGGTCCCACTTGCTCTCTCAAAAGGTCTTTTTCTCATTCCTTTGACTCTGCCAGACTTTGTCGCCCCCACGACCTGGTTTTGGGTCTGATCACCCCAACATATGGTTTGGTGCTGTCTTTGTGATAGCGAGTGAGTTCTTGTGAGATCTGGTCATTTAAAAGTGTGTGGCACTTCCCCAGGCTCGCTCTCTCTCTTGCTCCTGCTTTCGTCCTGTGAAGTGTCTGCATTCTGCTTCACCTTCCACCATGACTGAAAGCTCCCTGAGGCTTCACTAGAAGCCAAGCGGATGCCAGCACCATGCTTCCTGTAAAGCCTGCATGAGCCAATGAAACCTCTTTCCTTTATAAATTACCCAGTCTCAGGTATTTCTTTATAGCAAGGCAGGAAGAGCCTAATATACTACCCAATTTTAAGATTTATCATATAGCTACAGTAATCAAAATTGTGTTGTATTATTGGAGGAACAGACACAGATCAATGGAACTGCATATAGAACCTGGAAATAGCCCCACACATGTATGCCCAATATGTACAATTTTTGACAAAGATGCAAAAGCAATTCAATTTTAATTTGTTGAAAGAGAGTCTTTTCAACAGACGATGCTAGAGGAAGGAATGTATCTTAAAATAAATAGTGTCATAAATTCAGTAAAATACAGTATTTCTTGTGCACCTACTCTGTGCTAGGCCCTGTCCTAAGCACTAGGGAGATAACAGTGAGCAAAGCAAAGTCCATGCTTTCATGTCACTCACATTCTCATGGTCTTGGTCCCCAGGAGAAATCCTGGGTGCCAGAGAAGAAATGTAAGCACCTGGTGTCAAGGGTTGGGTAGGAGCCAGTTCCAGAAAGGGAATGCAGAGACATTTGCCTTCATCTGACTGGTCCCCTTCCTTTTCTCAAAGGTGGCAGAGGGGAAGGTTGCAGGCTTTTGATGCAGATAGATTTGGGCTCCATCTCCTGTCTCTGCCCCTAATGTGCTACTCATCTGTCAATGACTGACATTCACTGGGTTAGTGTATTGTTCACATGAATGGGCTCCAGTGCAGGGCAGGGCCTGGCACATGTTAGAGTCATGATTATGCCCTTGTGTGCCCATGAATCCTTCCAAAACCTAGAAGGATTCTGCAAGGGAGAGAAAGGAGAGATGCTGGGGGCAGGGAAGAGCTGTGTGAACAGAGAGGAGAAAAGACTGCCCCTGCAATACACACAGCAGGCAGGGGGCTCCGGGATGAACACTTTGCAGGAGGAAGGATTTTCTTTTTTTTCTTTTTTTTTTTTTTTGAGACGGAGTCTTGCTCTGTCACCCAGGCTGGAGTGCAATGGCATGATCTCGGCTCACTGCAACTTCTGCCTCCTGGGCTCAAGTGATTCTTCTGCCTCAGCCTCCCGAGTAGCTGGGATTACAGGTGCCTGCCACCACGCCCAGCTAATTTTTATGTTTTTAATAGAGACAGGGTTTCACCATGTTGGTCAGGCTGATCTTGATCTCCTGACCTCAGGTGATCCACAGGAGGAGGGATTTTCTAGTTTCAGCCAGCCTGGATGATCTAGACATGCTCCAGTGTTCTGCTAGAAGTCATGAATTCAGAGAGGCTGAGAGACCAGGGTTCTTTGTGCTGGAAGGGTCTTCAGAACTCATTGGCCAAGTGACCTGGCCTGGGGGCAGCTGCATAGCCCTAGAGTGGACGAGGATGCAGGGGCTTGGGAGTTAGGCCACGCAAAATTAAACGCAAGTGTCACCACTTCCTTCTGCGTAACCTTGAGTGGTTACCTAACTCCTCTGAGTCCTCTGAGACTCGGTTTCCTCATCTGGAAAACGGGGAGAGATGTTAATGTTGCTGTGAGGATTAGAGATGATGCATGTTAGGACCTGGCATAGGTCAGGGCTACACCAGGGCATAGCATGTTGGATGAAGCCAAATTTGAAACCCCCCTAGAGGCCGTGTGACCTTGAGCCTGGTGCTTCACTCTTCTGTAGAAATGAGATTGTACCTGTTGCCCCACTTAATGGTGAGAATTAGAAATAATAGAGCCCAAGGACCTAGTGACAGGTAAACACATAGCAGGCGTTAATAGATGGTGGTCTCTATTATCACCCTGGGTGCTTCTACATTTATGTTAAACAAAGCCTAGTTTAGCTTCTAAGCGAGGGCCAGGCACTTAGGAGGCATTCGGTGAATATTTGTTGAATGAACAGCTCAGTGTTGGGAATGAACTGTACTTATGCATGAATAATGCTGAAGCAAGAGCTAGGCCATCTGCTGTAAGAACAGCACTGCACTATACCCAGACACAGAGCCACTGGGAGAGTCCTCTGACCCTAATTCCTTTCCCCCAAATGATGTCATTGCAATCAACTGGAGCAGGCTAGCCAGCCAGTCTCTGAGACAGGAGCTCAGGTGGCCTTAGCCCTCTGGGCCCCAAATGCCTAGAGGGTATTTGGCAACACTCAGAACACCCTTGCTTCCTCTACGTGAGCTGGGCTGGTGATTCTGCCTTTCAGCAGGAAGAGAGGCCTCTTCCTCCAGGGTTTCTGGCCTGGATCCTGAGACGCTCACCATGTATAAGAGAGTTCACTCCCCAACCCCAAAGGTCCCCTTTGGGCTCTGAAAGGGTTAATGCCATCAGCAAAAGAAACAGCCAGGCCGGGTTCTCAGGGATCTTCACAGGATCCTGTCTGGGTCAAGTACTGGGCTGGGTGCTGGGAACACAAACAGCCACGGCGTTAAGCCACCAGTGTTGAGTGACAAGTCTAGGCACTGGCCTTGCTCTCAGGCTAGCTGGGGGATGGGCATTTAAACACAAGGTGTGGCAAATCTCAGGAAAAGAATGAAGCGCTCTGCCAAAAAACTAAAGAGGGGCAAAGATGAATCTACAACATCCCTGCAAATAACCACAGACACGGGCACAAGTGATGCATCGCTGCATGGTTTATGACACTGAAAACTTGCAGACAGCCCCCATGTCCAACAGCAGGGGAGCAGCCATGTCAGGATGCAGCTGGAGCTGCAGGCACAGGTGGGGCACGCGCCAGCCCCAAGTCTGTTGGCCTCTCATTCCACTGCCCTTGGCTCCTGCCCTCAGCCCTGCCCATCACAGAGCCCGTGGCCCTTGTTCCACTGTGAGTGACCAAGTGTGTTTCTACAAAGAGGCTTTGCTTCCAAAGTGCAGCCGTTTTCCCTCAGTGTGAGTGTGTGTGTGTGTGTGTGTGTGTGTTACAAACCTAGTTTTGCATTGCTCCCTGTGTAATTGCAAATAGCATGCATTCTCTTTTGCATCTCCTCTCCCTCATCACTCCCCTGGGTCTCTGGTGGAGGACCCCAGGGCTCATCCCTCAGCCTATCTCTCTTCCCTATCCTCACTCATTCCCTAGGGGAGCTGGAGATGTTGACATCTCACTGTTTTATCCTTTTCAGCCTGGTCCTGTCTCTTAAGCTCCGGAATCATGTGTTCAAACGTCCTACAGGGCATCATCACACCAAATGACACTTGGCAAAGCCAGGACCAAACTCCTGATCTCCACCATGCCCACCCCCCGCCCTTCCCTCAGCCTTCCCTGCCCAGCTGCGGGCAGCCCCATCCCTCCAGGGCCTCAGGCTCCAAACTGCGGTGTCCTCCTCCATCCCTCTGTCTTTCTTAACACCCCTCATCCAGTCCCTCTGCAACTCCTATTGGCTGTATTGCATCACAAAATGTCCAGAACCTGACCCATCCTCCCCTCCTCCACTGCCACCACCCTAGCCTGAGCCCCACCGTCTGTCACCGGCCTGTGTGCAGCGGCCACCTCACAGGTCTTCTGGCCTCCTCCCGGGTCCCCTACAGTCTGTTCTCACATCACAGCCAGAGTGATCACGTTCAAGCAAGTTGGTTCGCGGTCCTTCTCTGCTCAAAATGACTCCAGGCTCCCCACGTTACTTGGAGCAGAGGCCAAAGCTCTTAGGATGCCCGAAAGGCCCTATATGATCGCACCCCGCCCTGGGCTGCTCTCCCCCTCCCTCACTGCATTTCAGCCACACTGGCCTCTTTGCTCTTTCTTGAACCCGCCAGGCATGTCCCTGCCTCAGGGCCTTTGTACCGATTGCACTGGCTGTTCTCTTGACTTGGAACCTTCTCCCTGTGTTCCTGGTGGCCTTTACCCTGTCCTTTTTCCTTTTTCTACCCCACTAACATACGATAGAATCCACTTACTGCATTTATTGCTTACTGGCTGTCTCTCTCCCAACAAAAACAAACAAACAAAAAGGCTCTATGAAGGCAGGATTTTTGTCCACTTTGTTCACAGCGTATCCACGGTGCCTGGAACAGTGCCTGGCCATCAATAGGCACTCAGTCAGTATTTGTTGAATTAACAAAACTGCTTTGGGGCTCGTCCTCTTTGTGGCTCGTTCACAGCAAATTTAAACCCCAAACTGCTGAAGAAAATAAGAAAGAAAAGAAGGAACAGAAGAAAACAACCTCAAGAGACCTAAGACTTGGGGTAGAGGCCAGCCCTCCCTCTGATTTGCTGTGTGACCGTGGGCAGGTCCCACTCCCTTTCTGTGCTTCAGTCTCCCCTTCTGCAAAACGAGGACTGGATTGGGTGTTCTCTAAGGGCCCTCCCAACTCTAACAATGGACAGCTCCCTCCTGCCACTTCCCAGTAGAAGCTCAAACTAGTTCTAATCATGCGGTCAGCCAGAGAAATTGGGTTTATTAACACTGTGTGCAGGCAGTCATGTAGATGCGTCAGAACGTCGGACCTGGCCACATCATCATCTGCTGGTACAGAAGATAAATTTTGAGCCCAGAGAAGGTGGTCTGAATCCAGATCCCCACTGTAGGGCTTATGAGACCTTGGGGGTCTCACTCAATCTCTCTAAGTCTTTGTGGTCTCATCTACACATGGGCATCCTGATAGGACGCACTCCATAGGGATGTTGAGATGAGGCAGGATTTGAACTAAAGCCTGTTTGATCCCACAGCCTGACTCTGAATTAATGAGGCAAATTCTTTGCTTCAAAGCCAAAGCAAGCAAACAAAAAACAAACACAAGATATCCAACCCACGAAACACTCTATGTTCACGCCAGACTCCCATGCATGCACCCTTTGAGTGCTCCTTTTTGGGACCCATCCACCACCCCCCAGTTGCCTCATTAAAGGCAGAGCCTGGCACCAATGGCCCAGGTGCAACCACAGCTCTGAGGCCACATGGGCATCCCCCTGGCAGGCGTGGCCCACACCTGCACTGTCTGGTCTGACACCCAGAGGCCCTGGCAAGAGGCAGGTATCCTGGAGCATGCAGAGAACATCAACTTCCATGCCAGGAAGCTCATCTTCTCTTCCCAGCTCTGCCGCATTCTAGCTCTGGCACCTTGGGCAAGAGCTAGTCACTTTTACTCTCTGAGCCTCAATTTTCCTTCTGTAAAATGGGTTGTAATACTAAGCCCATATACACCTTGTATTGTAGCGAGATGTAGCTGTGATACAGTCTGGAAAGCACGTGTCATATAGACAGGCAGCTAATGAATCTCACACTCTGGAACTGGACACCTTTGGTTCCAATTCTGGCCCTACCACTCTCGAGCTGTGGAAGAACTGCACCTCCGTTTTCTCCTCTGTAAAATGGGTATAATAATGGCACCAACCTCAGAGGGCTGCTGTGAGGGTGAAATAAGGGGATAATGGTATGATCTAGTTCACGGGTTTGTCGTAATGAGCTATTCTATGTGAAGTGCAGGAAAACGTGCCTGGCATAGAGAATGTGAGCTGTCATGTGGGTGGCCCAGGTGGAGAGACTTGTCCCAAGCCTGGTTGGTCTTTGAACGTGTAGCCTGGCCTGTGACTGCTTACCTAAAATCTCCCCGCTTTTCCCACCTTCTCCTCTCTGATATGCCTGTTTGACATAGGTGAGATTGGATAGATCAAGGTGTTCAGGGCCTCTAGGCAGGGATGGGACTGTGGGCATGAGGACCAGGACCCAACCCCTCAGCCCCACTCTCCACCCCAGGCTTTCTGAGCCATCCATCCTTCCCAAGAAACTGACAGAGCCACCCTGCCACTGGTACCAGCATTGACACCCATCTAGAGGTCCGAGGGGCAGCCCCAGGGCAGAGGAGATTTTGAGAGCCCACACCCCTGACCTGAGTGGGGAGGGGTTGAGCCTCTGGGCCACAGACCGCAGGTGCTGACTCATGGCCTCTGCTGGGCGATATAAAGGAACCAGCCCAGGGGCTTCCTACAGCCAGAGGGACGAGCTAGCCCGACGATGGCCCAGGGGACATTGATCCGTGTGACCCCAGAGCAGCCCACCCATGCCGTGTGTGTGCTGGGCACCTTGACTCAGCTTGACATCTGCAGGTAAGAGGGGGGCCTTCTGGGGTTTTGGAGGCAGGTCAGGAGATGCTGGATGACCCAGTTCTACTGACACAGGAGCATGTGTTTGGCCCAGGCTCTAGGCTCCAGCCTCTGCAGCCACTGCCAGGGGAGTAGCTGGAGAGAGAAGACCCCAGCAGCCCTGGGAAGTGCCAGTCTCATGGCTGTGGGTTCTTTGCCATGTACAAGTGCAAATTCCCCAGGAACACACCACAGATAAATTATTATGGGGCAAACCAGGCCATCCGTCTCCCTGTCTTCATCGAGGCAACAGAAGCTTACAGAGAGTCTGTGACTTGCTCAAGGTCACACAGCAAGTGTGCCCTGGAAGTAAGGTTAGCCCCTGGGCCTCCTGGTTCACAGCACAGTTTGTTACCCCACATCTCTTAGCTAAGCCTCCCTCAGTGGGTGCGTAATAGCGTGGGTGGGGATGGCGAAACGGGGCTCTGTGGCGTGGCAGAGACTGAGGTAGGAAGCCTGGACCTGCTGCTGGCTAGCAAGGAGGCCTTGGGCAACTGAGCCTCAGTTGCCTCATCTGTGAAATGGGGATAATACTCACATCATGGGCTGGTTGTAGGAATTCAATGTGAAAAAATGTGCAGATGTTGGCTGAGTACTTAGCACAGTGGTGGGCCCATCCTTGGTAGTTTTTATTTACTCATTTAACAAATGCTGAGTGCCATGCTCTGTGGCAGGGTCTGGGTTAAACAAGAGAGTTGAGGAATGCTCTCGGGGAGTGTGCAGGGTCATTGTTGTTATTGTAGAACAGGAATTAAAAGAAATTTTAAAACGTGTAAGCAAAAACTCAGTTCTATGTTAAAAAAAAAAAACAATTTTCCCTGGGGAAAAAAAAAAAAAGAGCTGGAGTCCCTTAAAAATTAACTGCCTGTTTTTTTGTGGCTAGTGAGCCTTATTGCTCCTCTTTTTCCAGGCATTGTAAAGACCCTGTTTCTCCAGCTGTGCAGCTGCAAGGTCACTAGACAGATAAACTCAAGCTGTAAAAATTTTTTTCCTTAAAAAGTAAAAAATAATATAATGCATGTCTCAATTAAATAACTGTCTTTGTTTCTTGCCTCTATAATATGCTTCCCCCTGCACAGATCTACCCCCGCCCCATGAAATGCTTAAAAGATAACTTAACTCTTTGTTCAGGGCTCAGTCTTTTGAAATGTTAGCCTGACTGAGCCAGTGAATCTAAATAATAAATCCTCCTCAACCCCTCGGTCTCTCTGATTCCTAAATTATCCTGCAACAATTGCTGTTGTCAGGAATAGGAGTGGTTGCCCCTGGCTTCCCCATCCCAGTCTGGGCATCGGTGGCCCTAGAATGGTGCCCACAGGAGTGCCGGGGACATTTCTTTGCTACTGCCTGAGCCCCAGCAGCCAGAGAACAGCAGGAAATGTCGGGATGGTCTCCCAGGGCCACATGGTGGAGGCAGGAGACCAAGAAGTTGGGGAGAAAAGGAAAAAGAAAATCACCTGACATCATCTGAGGCACCCCCAACTCCTCTGAGAATGGGTGTGAAGGAAATGACAGGGGCTGAAGCTAGCCCAGGGCCTCTCCCAGCATGCCCAGGCTAGCCCTCTACCCAGCGTCCATGAGTAGTAATCAAGATCACAAGTGCTTCCTCTGGCCCTAGAGAGGTGGGTGGACAGCTGGTCAGTGTTGGGCAGAGAGGAAGGCACTGCCCATTTCTCCCAGAAAGGATGGGGACTCCGGAGTTCACAGGGGCCTCTAAATCCTTCTTTTCTCCTCCTTCAGCCACACGTTGAGCCTGTCACTCTATCCCCTGAACATCTCACGTAACAATGGCTAATATTTACATCACACTTCCTACATTCAACTCATTCAATGGCCTTGGGAGGCAGGTAATGTTGTTATTCCCATTTTACAGAAGAGGAAACAGAGGCTCCAAGAAGTTAAGTAACCCACCTCAAGCCACACAGCTAATAAGTAGGGGAGCCAGGACTCAACCCAGGCAGCCTGACTCTAGGACCCTCCATTCTCCCCATGGGTCTCCGTTCCAGACCTTCCTGTCACTTCTTATCTGTTCTTAACATAGCCCCAGACAGCGCCTCCCTCCCATCTCCTGAGCAGCCATCGGCCTCTTCCTGAACCACACAGGTGGGAGGGCCACTCCCTCCTCACCTCCGCCCCTCATATTCATGCCTCCATAACTTTGCTCAAGCCATTCTCTCTGTCCCCAAAGTCAGGAACCCGGGAGGCAGAGGTTGCAGTGAGCCAAGATTGGGCTAGTGCACTCCAGCCTGGGTGACAGAGTAAGACTCTGTCTCAAAAAAAAAGAGGCAAAAACACCTAACCGAGGGTCACATAAATTAAAGGTGGCAAGCTGGGCACGGTGGCTTATGCCTGTAATCCCAGCACTTTGAGAGGCCAAGATGGGCAAATCACTTGTGGTCAGAATTTCGAGACCAGCCTGGCCAACATGGGGAAACCCCGTCTCTACTAAAAATACAAAAAAATTAGACGGGGCGCAATGGCTCACATCTGTAATCCCAGCACTTTGGGAGGCCGAGGCAGGCGGATCACAAGGTCAGGAGATCGAGACCATCCTGGCTAACATGGTGAAACACCGTCTCTACTAAAAATACAAAAATTAGCCGGGCGTGGTAGCACGCAGCTATAGTCCCAGCTACTTGGGAGGCTGAGGCAGGAGAATCGCTTGAACCCAGGAGGCGGACGCTGCAGTGAACCGAGATTGTGCCACTGAACTCCAGCCTGGGCAACACAGTGAGTCTCCGTCTCAAAAAAAAAAAAAAAAATTAGATGGGAGTAGTGGCACATGCCTGTAATCTCAACTACTCAGGAGGCTGAGGCACAAGAGTTGCTTGAACCTGGGAGGTGGAGGTTGCAGTGAGGCAAGATTGCACCACTGCACTCCAGCAAGGGCAACAGAGTGAGACTCTGTCTCAAAAAAAAAAAAGTTAAAGGTGGCAAAGCCAGGACTGTCTGACCCTAAACCCACCCTGCTTCGCAGCCCACCCTGCCTCCAAATGCTGGGGAGTGGACTCCCCTGGGCACTGCTCCCTGTGGGCAGAGCTCATTCAACTTCCAAAGGATTTGGTAAAGGCCTAGAAGGGGTGGGGGTCCAGGAGGTGCCAACTGCAAAGGGCAGTGTGCATTCAGAAGCTGCCATCTATGGTCTCTCTTCTTCCTCCCAAAGTCTCCTTCTTCTTTTTTTTTTTTTTAAAAACGGAGTCTCGCTCTGTCCAGCCCAGGCTGGAGTGCAGTGGCAAGATCTTGGCTCACCGCAAGCTCCACCTCCCGGGTTCACGCAATTCTCCTGCCTCAGCCTCCCCAGTAGCTGGGACTACAGGCGCCTGCCACCATGCCTGGCTAATTTTTTTGTATTTTCAGTAGAGACGGTGTTTCACCGTGTTAGCCAGGATGGTCTCGATCTCCTGACCTCGTGATCCACCCGCCTCGGCCTCCCAAAGTGCTGGGATTACAGGCTTGAGCCACCGCGCCCAGCCGGGTTTCCTTCTGAATAGACCAGTTGGCATGACAGTGGGGAGCCTGGACAAGTCTGTTTGTCTCTCTGAGCCTCGGTTTACCCATCTGTAAAATGGGAAAATTAACACCCCTTCCTGGGTTACGGCGAAGATTGAATTATATAATGCACACAAAGTGTCTGGCAGAGGGGTCCCCTTTCCAATGCAAATCAAAGAAAATGACTAAAGTGAGTGTCAATCATTTTCAGAGGTTTATTTCCAAGGTTAAGGACGTGCCCAGGAAAAGAATACAGAAACAGGAAAAATCTGTAGTCCGTGCTTTTTCCTAAATGGGTCTGGGACTTCAATATTTAAAGGGAAAAGAGTGGGAATTGGGCCGGATGTGGTGGCTCACGCCTGTAATCCCAGCACTTTAGGAGACCAAGGAGGGTGGATCACCTGAGGTCAGGAGTTCGAAACCAGCCTGGACAACATGGTGAAACCCCATCTCTACTAAAAATACAAAAATTAGCCGGGCGTGGTGGCAGACGCTTGTAATCCCAGCTACTCAGGAAGCTGAGGCAAGAGAATCACTTGAACCCAGGAGGCGGAGGTTGCAGTGAGCTGAGATTGCACCATTGCACTCCAACCTGGGCAACAAGAGTGAAACTCCGCCTCAAAAAAAAAAAAAAAAAAAAGTGGGTATTGGGGCAAAGAGGAAGAAAGAAAAAAAAGATGGGTAGATAAGAGGTAAGTGGTTGCATTGAGTCTTTGATCAGCTTTCACTGAATACATTTTCCGTGTGAGGTGGGGAGAGGAATAGTCACTTATGCCTTGAGCTCAGGGAATCTATATTGTCACAAATGATAAACATAGAGCAAGGGAAGAAATCAGATATGCATTTGTTGCAGGCAAGCAGAGGGATAACTTTGATTTCTGTCCTTTGTTCCATGCCTGTGAAGATAAGCTATTAACTTACATTGTCAGGGTGAAATTCAACAGAACTGGTTCACGGGAAAGATCTTAGGGCTCACAAGGAATTTCCTTGTCGGCAAATTGTGAGGGAGATATGTAGCTTTTTTTTTTTTTTTTTAATCTTTGTAGCTATCTTATTTAGAAACAAAATGGGGCTGGGCATGGTGGCTCACGCCTGTAATCCCAACACTTTAGGAGGCTGAGGCGGGCAGACCATGAGGTCAAGGGATGGAGACCATCCTGGCCAACATGGTGAAACCCTGTCTCTACTAAAAATACAAAAATTAGCTGAGCATGGTGGCGTGCGCCTGTAGTCCCAGCTACTCGCGAGGGTGAGGCAAGAGAATCGCTTGAACCTGGGAGGCGGAGGTTGCAGTGAGCAGAGATGGCACCACTGCCCTCCAGCCTAGGCGACAGAGCGAGACTCTGCCTCAAAAAAAATAGAAAGAAAGAAACAATGGGGCCAGGCGTGGTAGCTCATGCCTGTAATCCCAACACTTTGGGAGGCTGAAGTGGGCGGATCACTTGAGGTTAGGAGTTCAAGACCAGCCTAGCCAACATGGTGAAACCCCATCTCTACTAAAAATACAAAAACTTAGCCAGGCGTGGTGGTGCATGCCTGTAATCCCAGCTACTCGGGAGGCTGAGGCACGAGAATTGCTTGAACCTGGGAGGCGGAGGCTGCAGTGAGCCAAGATCATGCCACGGTACTCCAGCCTGGGCGACAGTGCAAGACCTTGTCAAAAAAAAAAAAAAAAAAAAAAGGAAAGGAAGGAAAGAAGGAAAGAAGGAAAGAAAGAAAGAAAATGGGAGGCAGATTTGCATGACCCAGTTCCTAGCTTGACTTTCCCTTTGGCTTAGTGAGTTTGGGGTCCTGAGATTTATTTTCCTTTGACAGCAGCGAGGACTGCATGAGCCTCTGTGTGTGAGAGTGGCAGACACTGAATGCCACCCTCATGGGGGTGGTTGATCAGGAGATGGCGGATGCTGGAGTTGGAGGAATGATGTCACTGTCTGGGGCTCAAGCTCCCAGTGCTGGCTGTATGGAGGGTGTTGGAAGTTACAAGAAGATTCAGCTCTGGATGGTCTTATGATAACACATGTGGGTCACACGCTTGAGGGCATGCACACACCTGGTGTGAACCCCCAGATGTTTATGAAAGTTCCTTGTTTAGGAGCTGAGAACATCTGGAACACAGCCAGAGGAAGCACACTCATCTTAGAATCGAATCCCAGTGGCCCAGTTCCCAGCTGGCCCTTACCTCTCTGAGCCTCAGTTTCCCCATCTAGCAGAGAGAGTGGCTATAAAGGTGCCAGACCCACCCGTTTGTGCCCTTCTCCCTTCCCCTCTTGAGGAAGCCACATGGGACAGAGGGGGCTGAGGCGGACCTAGCCCCTCGGTCCACCTGCTGTGTGCCCCTCGGCCTCCATTGTCTTTTGAGCCCCTTATTCATCTTCTTGGTGGACCAGACACAGGGCGTGTCCCTCTCCTGTCCCCATCCTCTGACCACAGTGCCCAGGCAGTTGGAAGTCCTGGCTTATCACTGAGGCTTTGAGAGAATGAAGGAAAACAACAGCACACAGAACCAAGAGAATGAGCCTCCAGGCTTTGGCAGAGAAACAAGAGCCTTGGTTAAGTTTTGGTTCGGCCAGGTAGGTGTATCATAAATGGAGGCACCTGAGCAGAAATGCACCAGAGCCACTGGGGCATCTCCTGGCCGGGAACTGCCCCCTGGGCTGAGCTGTCTGCTGCTTCATTTATTGTTATTATTAGTAGCCGTCCCATACTGAGCAGTTACCACATGCCGGGCCCTCCAAACCTTGCAACCACCCAGGAAGCAGGTCGACGTGATTCCCATTTTACAGAGAAGGAAGCTGAGGCCCAGGAGAGGTCAGTGGCTAGGCCAAGGTCACAGAGCCTGTCAGAAGCAGCCCAAGGTCATTGCCTCTCTCACTCCCTTCGAGGCTGCCTGCTGCTCCTGGCCTGGCCTGGGAGACGTTTCCCCTGGGCAGCTGAACCACTCCACCCCAGCTGGTCTGCAGGAGAGTATCTGATCCCAAACTGCTCCAACCAGCTGGTGATGGCTGAGTGCAAAACCACAAGCACATGCTGTGCCCTGGCTGGCTGGTGTAGACAGACTGGCCTGCTGTGGTATGTGGTGTGTTGGGAATTCGTATGTTCCGTTCACACTGACCCTGGCAATCTCCCCGAGGCCCAGGTCAGTGCCACCCGGGGTGATGACAACCCAGCCATCCTGCTCCCCACCCCCGTCAGCATGGGAACCAGGCTGGGAGCAGGTGGGAAAGCCACCACCTGAGCTGAGGGGACAGGCAGGGACAGCCATGGCTTGAGTTTAGCAGATGTAGAATGACGTCCTTGTCAAGGAGGACTGGGGGGAGTCCACAAGGGAACCCCAGATTTTCCACCTTGCCCCATCCACCTTTGTCCTCAGCACAAGGTCTGGTACACAGTGAGGGGTGAGTGAGTGTGTGGTGATTGATTGATTGATTGAATGAACGAATGAAGGAATGAGTGTGTGTTTTAAGGGAAACTATGCCTGTCACACAGGAGGTGCTATTTAAGTGTTTGTTGAGTGAATGAAAGAAAGTTGAGAGCAGGAAGGGTGTCATTCCTCTTTGCATCCCCTATAATGTGTGGGACGTACTTGGCACTCAGCTATCATGAAATCTTTTTGCAACAAGAGCAGGCGGAGGATAAAAGGGAAAGAGAGAAAAATTGAGAGGGATATGGAGAGAAAGAGAACATACTCAAAAACATTCCACCATCCTGACATCAGCCACCACCATCCCTTACAGCGCAGGAGCCCCTACATCCCAGGCCACTGGGACATGGTTTTTTGCTTCCATGGCCCTTCGGGAAGGACCCCCAACACTGGCTCCTTTGGTCAAAGACTGCAGTGTGAGTTCAACAGGAGAGAGAGAAGGGGAGGAGCAAGTAAAAGAAAACTTTCTAAAAATCGGTGCCTGCTGTGACCCACACCCTTTTCTCATACCTTCCCTTGTAGCCCTGGGAAAGAGGAATTCTTCCTTTCCATTTTTGGAGAAAATTCTGGGATCCTACACTGGGTTCCCATTCAGGGGCTGCTCTCTCAACCCCCAGTCCCCACCCACGGTGACCTCACAGCCCCCAGGGCTACACCTGTCACTTGAACCTGGCTGCCTCCCTGATGACCCACAGCTCTGCCCTGACCCCTCCTCTCTCGGCCCCTATCCACAGGGTGCCTCCACCCAGATGGCCCGGCAAAAACAAAACCAGCCTGGCTCCCTGCCTTTTCCTCCTCCTGATGAGGAGGCTGCCACCCCCATCTTCCCATTTATGTCGATAACACTCCTGGCTGGATGCAGTGGCTCACGCCTATAATCCCAACACTTTGGGAGGCCAAGGTGGGCTGATCACATGAGGCCAGAAGTTTGAGACCAGCCTGGTCAACATGGCGAAACCCCGTCTCTACTAAAAATACAAAAATTAGCTGGGCATGGTGGTACACGTCTGTAGTCTCAGCTACTAAGGAGGCTGAGGCGGGAGAATCATTTGAACCTGTGAGGTGGAGGTTGCTGTGAGCCGAGATCACACCACTGCACTCCAGCCTGGGTGACAGAGCAAGACTCTGTCTCAAAAATAAATAAATAGCCAGGCGCGGTGGCTCACGCCTGTAATCCCAGCACTTTGGGAGGCTGAGGTGGGCAGATCACGAGGTCAGGAGATCGAGACCATCCTGGCTAACACAGTGAAACCCCGTCTCTACTAAAAATACAAAAAAATTAGCCAGGCCTGGTGGCGGGCGCCTGTAGTCCCAGCTACTTGGGAGGCTGAGGCAGGAGAATGGCATGAACCTGGGAGGTGGAGCTTGCAGTGAGCCAAGATCGCACCACTGCACTCGAGCCTGGGCGACAGAGTGAGACTCCGTCTCAAAATAAATAAATAAATAAATAAATAAATTAATTAATTAATTAAAATAAATAAATAAATAAAATAACACCCCTGCCCAAAAACAACCCCCCCACCCGTCTCCCCTGCCCCGCGCCCAGCTTCTATCTGTAGCTGCATTTCAGCCGGGCATTCAGTAGAAGCTGTGGGACTGCATGACTGGGGCAGAGCCTCAGTGTGCTCATCTGTAAAATGGGAAGAGGGATGCCTGCCTCACAGTAGCAAGACCTCATAGTGCTGCCGTGAATGTTCAGCCGATGAGACAGTGTGTGTAGAACGCCAGGCTCACAGTAGCTCTCAACAGATACCAGTGTATGCATTCTCTCCAGCCTCAGTTTCTTCATTTGTAGAAGGGGAACTCCAATAGTACGTATGTCGCAGAGTTGTCATGGAGATGCCTGTAGAGATGGGGTTTAGCCATGTTGCCCAGGCTGGTCTCAAACTTATGGACTCAAGCAATCCACTTGCCTCAGCTTCCCAAAGTGCTAGGGTTACAGGCATGAGCCACCATGCCTGGCTGTGTGTATGGCTTTTCTGCATAAGAAAATAGCAATAACAATGCACGCCACAGACATAATGCCGACGGAGTCTCGCTCTTGTCGCCTAGGCTGGAGTGCAATGGTGAGATCTTGGCTCACTGCAATCTCCACCTCCCAGGTTCAAGCAATTCTCCTGCCTCAGCCTCCTGAGTAGCTGGGATTACAGACACCCACCACCACACCTGGCTAATTTTTTTGTATTTTTAGTACAGACGGGGTTTCACCATGTTGGCCAGGCTGGTCTCGAACTCCTGACCTCGTGATCCGCCCGTCTCGGCCTCCCAAAGTGCTGGGATTACAGGCTTGAGCCACCATGCCTGGCCATCATAATGCTTTATTTATTCTGTCCTGTGCATCATGGCATGGTTCCCTCAGATTCCACTCAAAAATCAGGGTAATTCAGCAAACTCGTATTAGCATCTTCTTTGGCAGTGGTTCTCACACTTGAGTGTGTATCAAAAGCATCTGGAGAGCGTGTTAAAACACAGATTGCTGCCGGGCACTGTGGCTTGCGCCTGTAATCCCAGCACTTTGGGAGGCCAAGGCAGGAGGATCACTTGAGGCCAGGAGTTCGAGACCAGCCTGGGAAACATACTGAGACTCTCATCTCTATAAAAATGTTTTTTAAATTAGCTGGATGTGGTAGTGTGTGCCTGTAGTCCCAGCTACTCAGGAGGCTGAGGCCGGAGGATTGCTTGAGCCCAGGAGTTCAAGTCTGCCGTGAGCCATGATTGTGCCTCTGCATTCCAGCAAGACCTCCTCTCAGAAAAACCAAAACAAACAAAAAACACACACTTCTGGGCCCCACTCCTAGAGTTTCCAACTCAGTAAGTCTGAGTGGAGCCCCAGAATCTGCATTTTTAACAAATTCCCCAGTGAGGCAGATGCTGCTGTTCCGAAGACCACACTTTGGGAAGCATTGGTCTTTAGGAAGTGCTGGATGCTGGGCACAGCAGAGTGGCACCAATGCAGAGAAGGAGGTAGTCGTGATGTGGCAGGAATGGCACCAGGCTGGGCTGCAAGAGGACCCAGACCTGCCATTATCAGCCAGCACCCAGAAACGTCACTTTGCCTCTCTGAACCTGTTTTCTCATCTGTAAAAGAATAACAATGGCTCACTCATAGGATGATTGTGAAAACAAAGGTTAATGGCCACACAGAGAAAGGTGACTAGCTTGTCATCTGCTGCAGGCATGTGAACACCAACTCAGGCAACAGTGTCAGGACGGGAGAAGGTGCCAAGACCGAAATGTCACTGAGGATGACAGAAATTCTAAATGTCAAACTCCCAAACGGAGGCGGGAAGAATAACCTGACTGCTGAGTGTGTCTTAATGTCTTGATCAGACTTCCTGTGACTTTGAGCTCTGAATAAACATTTTTATATTTTCACCTTTTGCCGTTCATATGCACACAAGGCGAAAATTGGCATGCTGATTTTTTTTCTTTTTTTTTTTTTGAGATGGAGTCTCGCTCTATCACCCAGGCTGGAGTGCAGTGGCGCGATCTTGGCTCACTGCAAACTCCGCCTCCCGGGTTCATGCCATTCTCTTGCCTCAGCCTCCCGAGTAGCTGGGACTACAGGCACCCGCCACAACTCCCGGCTAATTTTTTTTTGTATTTTTAATAGAGATGGGGTTTCACCATGTTAGCCAGGATGGTCTCGATCTCCTGACCTTGTGATCCACCCGCCTCGGCCTCCCAAAGTGCTGGGATTACAGGCGGGAGCCACTGCGCCCAGCCTTTTTTTTTCCTTTTTGTGGAGACAGGGTCTAGCTATTTTGCCCAGGCTGGTAGAAAGCAGTCCTCCCACCTCAGCCTCCCAAAATGCTGGGATTACAGGCGGGAGCCATCGTGCCTGGCCAGTATACTAACTTTTAAAAAAATCTACTACCACATGCCCCTTGCTTCTTCCTTTTTCTTAGGAAGATGCTGATTTTGGTTCAAGTGTTTTTTTGATTGTCTGCCACTTTTCCAGACCTCGGCCATCATATCACTCAAGAGTACAGGGTTTTACCTAGGATCAAGAGAGAGACAGAGGCATGGCGTGGTGGCTCATGTCTGTAATCCCAGCACTTTGGAAGGCCAAGATGGGAGGATCCCTTGAGCCCAGGAGTTCAAGACCAGTCTGGAGATAAGGAGACTCCATCTCTACAAACAATAATTATTTTAAAATTAGCCAGGGGTGATGGCATGTACCTGTGGTCCCAGCTACTCAGGAGGCTGAGGTGGAAGGGTCACTTCAGCCTGGGAGGTTGAGTTGCAGTGCACTGTGCTTAAAAAAAGAGAGAGAGAGACATTCAAAGACAGAGGGTGTATTAGTTTCCTATTTGTTAAAAGAAACACAAGACAAATTAAATTTAATAGCTTAGTGGAGCAAAGAACCATTAGTGAATCAGGCAGCCCCTTTTACCCAAACCAGAATAGGTTCAGAAAGACTCAGGAGCTGCCACATGGTTGAACAATATTTACGGACAGAAAAACGAAAGTGACCCACAGAGCACGGAAGCGAGGCTCAGAAACAGCTGGATTGACTACAGCTCGGCATCGGCCTCATTTGAACATGGTTTGAACAGTTGGCTGCCTGAGATCAGCCAAAACAGTGCTTGGTATAAAAGTAGGTCACGGGCTGTTTACACCTCCAGTTAGGTTACAGTTTACTATGTACGAAAAAACCTTTCAGCCGAACTTAAAATACCTAAGGAGGCAGCTGTGGGGTAAACTTAATATAACACATTGCTGCTGTAACAAATCACTACAAACTTAGTGACTTCAAACAGCACAAACTTATTACTTACCAGTTTGCAAGATCAGAAGTCCAAAATATGAATCTTACTTGGCTAAAATCAAGGTGTCGGCAAGGCTGTATTCCTTCTGGAAGCTCCAGGGGCAAACCCATTCCTTGCAGCTTCTAGAGGTGCCCGCATTCCTTGGCTTGTGGCCCCTTCCAGCAACAGCATCACTCTGATCTCTGCTGCCATCACCACAGTTTCCCTGACTCAGACCCTCCTGCCTCCCTCTTATAAAGACCTTTGTATTACTGGAAAGTGGTCCCAATCCAGACCCCAAAAGAGGGTTCTTGAATTTTGCCTGAGAAAGAATTCAAGGTGAATCCATAAAGTGAAAGCAAGTTTATTAAGAACGCAAAGGAATAAAAGAATGGCTACTCCATAGACAGAGCAGTCCCAAAGGCTGCTGGTTGCCCATTTTTATGGTTATTTCTTGATTATATGCTAAACAAGGGGTGGATTATTCATGAGTTTTCAGGGTAAAGGGTGGGCAATTCCCTGAACTGAGGGTTCCTCCACTTTTTAGACCATATAGGGTAACTTCCAAGCGTTGCCATAGTATCCGTAAACTGTCATGACGCTGGTGGGAGTGTCTTTTAGCATGCTAATGTATTATAATTAGTGTATAACGAGCAGTGAGGACGACCAGAAGTCACTCTCGTCATCGTCTTGGTTTTGGTGGGGTTTGGCCAGCTTCTTTACTGTCACCTGTTTTATCAGCAAGGTCTTTATGACCTGTGTCTTGTGCTGACCTCCTATCTCATCCTGTGACTTAGAATGCCTAACTTACTGGGAATGCAGCCCAGCAGATCTCAGCCTTATTTTATGCAACCCCTATTCAAGATGGAGTTGCTCTGGTTCAAATGCCTCTGACACTTGTGGTTACATTGGGCCCATCTGGCTAATCTAGGATAATCTCCCCATCTCAAGATCGTTAACTTAATCACATTTGCAAGTTTCCTTTTCTGTGTAAGGTAACATCTTCACAGGTTTGGGGGACTAGGGTGTGGTCATCTTTGGGAGACCATTGTTCTGCCTACCACAGAGGGCTGATCTCATTTTGAGGAAGAAATCCCTTTTGGTTGGAGTGATAAAGGGAGGATTCGATGGCAGAGAACCCACTGAGATGGGCCTTTGGGGCTGGATTGGATTCTGCAAGAAGGATGTGGGAAGGGAGAGCCCTCCAGATGAGGGGCAGGTGAGAAGCAAAGCCCGGGAGATGGGAAAGTGGGGGGCAGGTGCAGGGAACTGTGGGCCATTCAGTCTGACCATAGCACAGGGAGAGCAGCACGGGGGACCACTGGGGGCCAGGCCAGGGCCCACCCTCACTCTCTTTATGAAGCAGAGATCCAATATACCTAACTCTTGAGTTTGGGAAAGTGACTTCACCTCTCTGTGCCTCAGTTTACTCATCTGTAAAATGAACAGTACCCGCCTTACAGGCTAGTGGTGAGAACCGAATTAATTAACGTGTGGAAAGAATGTGAACAGTGCCTGGAGCAGAGTAAATTGCCTGTAAGTAATTGCTGTCATTTAAGAATGTGAAATTGACTTCGTGAGGGTAGAATGAGAGCCCAAGCCAGGGTGGGCAGGAGATGGAATGAAATCTCCTCTTCTGTCTACTTCAGACCTCTTAGGTTCTTCAAAGGCTATGTCAAATTCCATCTCCTGAAGGATCAACATCAGAATGTTAGTGATTGTCTTGTAAATCAATGAAAATGACCAAGATGAGTGTCAATCATTTTAGAAGGTTTATTTGCCAAAGTTAAGGACCCGTGTCTGGGAGGCAGGTCCATGCCCTTCTCTGAAGATGATTTTGAGGCCTTGGATATTTAAAGGAGAAAGGGCGGATAATGGAAGAAGATGAAGAAATTTTTTTAATGTGTGGGTGGATAAGAGACAAACAGTTGCATCCTTTTGAGTCTTTGATCAGCCTTTTACTGAAAACACCATTTTCGTGTGAGGCAAGGTAGAGGAGTAGTCACTTATGCATTCATCTAGCTCAGTGAATCTGCATTTTTACATGAGATTACATAAATATAGCGGAGAGGAAGCAATTACATATGCATTTGTCTCAGGGGAGCAGAGGGATGACTTTGAGTTCTGTCCTTTGTCCTGTACCTGTAAAGATAAGCTCTGTCCTTTGCCCTGTACCTGTAAAGATAAGCTATCAGCTGGGCGTGGTGGCTCATGCCTGTAATCCCAACACTTTGGGAGGCCAAGGCGGGTGGATCACCTGAGGTCAGGAGTTTGAGACCAGCCTGACCAATATGGTGAAACCCTATCTCTACTAAAAATACAAAAAATTAGCCGGGAGTGGTGGCATGCACCTGTAGTCCCAGCTACTTGGGAGGCTGAGACAGGAGAATTGCTTGAACCTGGGAGGCGGAGGCTGCGGTGAGCTGAGATTGCACCACTGCACTCTAGCCTGGGTGACAGAGTGAGACTCCATCCCCCCCCAAAAAAAAAGATAAGCTATAAATGTACAATTGCTAGGGAGAAATTCAACAGAACTGTTTTAGGGTAAAGATCTTTGGGGCCCACAGGGAATTTCCTTGTGGGCCAATTGTGAGGGAAGTATGTAGCTTTTTATCTTTATAGTTATTTTATTTATGAACCATGAGAGGCAGGTTTGAGGGACCCAGTTCCCAGGACTCTTCCCTTTGGCTTAGTGAGTTTGGGGTCCCAAGATGTATTTTCCTTTCACAGTCTGTAAGTGGTAAGATTCATTTTCTTCTAGGCAATTTATGTCTTCTTCCCTCCCTTCCTTCTTTCTTTCCTTCTTCTTTCTCTTTTTCTCTCTTTCTCCCCTTCTCCCCCTCCCACTTCTTCTTTCTTCTGGTATACTGTATTAGCTATCTATACTGTGTAACAAATTGTCCCAAAACTTAGTGGCTCAAAATGATAACATTTATTGTATCATAATTTCTATAGGTTAGCAATCCAGTATGGTTTAGCTGGGTTCTCTACTTCAAGGTTTCTCATAATCAAGGTATTGGTAGAGCCGTAGTCATGCTAAGGCTCCACCAGGGAAGGTGACACTTCCAAGCCCACTCATATGGCTGTTGGTAGGATTCAGGGCCTTGCAGGGTGTTGGAACCTCAGTTCCTCCCTGGCTGTTGGCTGGAAGCCTCCCTCAGTTTCCTGCCACATTGGCCTCTCCATAGCTCACAAAATGGCAGCTTGCTTCATCAAGGTGAGCAAGGCAAGAGACAGGCAGAGAGAGAGGCAGAGAGAGAGACAGAGAGAGAATTCTATTGTAACCTTATGACAGAAGTGATATTCCAGCACTTTTACTTCCTTGGTTAGAAGGAAGTCAGTAGGTCCAGCCCATACTCAAGGGGAGAGAATTACACAAGGGCATGAACAGCAGAGACGGGAATTACTGGGGACCATCTTAGAAGTCTGTCCACCATATACTTTTCCTGTAGTTTCCTAATTCTTTATAATGAATACATATAACTCTTAATATAGAGACAAATATTCAATACAAAGATAAAAATAGAAAATGTAATCCTAAGCCAGGTACTGTGATTCATGCCTGTAATCCCAGCACTTTGGGAGGCCAAGGCAGCAGATCACTTAAGTCTAGGGGTTCAAGACTAGCCTGCATGACATGGCAAAACCCCATCTCTACAAAAATACAAAAATCAGCTGGGTGTGATGGTGCACACCTGTAGTCCTGGCTACTTGGGAGGCTGAGATGAGAGGCTAGCTTAAGCCCAGGAGGCAGAGGTTGCAGTGAGCTGAGATCACACCACTACACTCCAGCCTGGGCAACAGAGATCTCACCTCAAAAAACAAGCAAACAAACAACAACAACAACAAAAAAAACACAAACAAACAAAAAACACATGTAATCCTAAGTGTTTCTGTGACCTTATGTGGACGGAGTTCTGCCTCTCTAGGGATTGTCCACTGTGAATCCACTATAATTTATTAGCTATTCTTTTGTGGGTATTTAGACCATGTTTCATTGTTCACATTACAGAAAGGGCTGCTCTGAACTTTCTTGAACATGTCTCCTAGTGAACACATGAAAGAGATTCTCCAGAGTATCTGCCTAGAAGTCAAATTGCTGGGTTTGGGGCTGGCTAATAACACCAAGTTGGGTTTTTTTTGTTTTTTTTTTTTTGCAAAATGGTTAATTTCACACTCCAGTAAGCAGTGTGTTAGAGTTTCTGTTGAATCGTGTCATTTATAGTGTTATTTTTCACCAATTGAGTGGGTATAAAACCCTATTTCTTTATGGTGTTAACCTTTTCATTCTCTTACTTGTTAGTAAGGTGGAGTGCCTCTTCATGTTTTCATGTTGATTTGCCTAAGTTCTTTAAATAGTCTGCATGCTAAGCCTTTGTTGGTTTTATGTTGTGAATATATTCTCCTTACATTGTGCTTGTCTTTTTACTTTATATTGTCTTTTGATTAACAGAATTTATTTTCTTTTTTAATTTTTAAATTGATGTTAATTTTTTAAAAAATAGAAACAGGGTCTCACTATGTTGCCCTGGCTGGCCTTGAACTCCTGGCTCAAGTGATCTTCCCACCTTGGCCTCCCAAAGCACTGGGATTAAAGGTGTGAGCCACTGCACCTGGCCTATTTATTTACATCTAGTTGAATTTTTTGATCTTTTCCTTCAGGTTTACTGGTTTTGAGTCTTGTTTCAGAGAAAGCATAAATATGTTATCCTGTATCCTCTTCTAGAGATTCAAAGTTCTGACTTTCACATTTAAGTCTTTATCTCCCTCCAGCTGATTTTTGTGTATGGTGTGAGGCTGGGATCAATTTAATTATTTTTCCAATTTAGTATTTTCTATATGAATGAGCAATTGCTCCAGCAACATTTATGATATAGTCTCTACTACCTCCAGCCATCTGCAAGCCTATTTCTGTCATAGATCAAGTTGTATGTCCTTTAAGTTTTATCCTTCCTTTGTCTTGGCCTGAGCCATTAAAACCCCATCTTAAGTTCCATGGCTTTATAGGAAGTCTTATACCTGGTTGAGAAAGTGCCTCACCTTTTACTACTTTCCTTTACAAGTACCTTGACCAACTTAGTTCCTGGATTTCTCGTGTAGATTTAAAAATCAACTTGTCAAGTTCCATAAGAAACCCTAAAATTCCATTGAATATATAAATCCATTGGAGAGAATTCATACCTTTACGGCAACAAGGCTTCCTAACCATATACATAGTATTTCTATTTATTTGGATCTTCTCTAATGGCTTTCAATAAAGTTTGAATATTTTCTTCATAAAAATCTTACACATTTTGCTAGATTTATCCTAGGTACTTTACAGTATTTTTTCCTTTTGTAAATTACATCAGTTTTTTAAAAATTGTTTTCTTCTTAAAGAAATGGTTTGCTAGAAAAAAAGAAAAATATTTGTTTCCTATTTATTGCTGATGTATAGAAATGTAATTTATTTTTTCCTCTTTACTTTATTAGTCACCTTATTAAACTTTTGTCTTTTTATTTATTTTTAATTTTTAAAAAAGTTTAATTCACTCTTTTGGAGTTTGCAGACAACTGTATTTTCTGTCAATATTGGCAGTTTTTTTCTTACTTTTCACTCTTTATATCTTTTACTTTATGTCTTTTTTTCTCTTGCTGCAGTGCTTAGAATCATCCACACAATGTTAAAAAGATGTGACTTTTTGATCCTACCACGTTCCTGATTTTTTTTTTTTTAAACAGAGTCTCACTCTGTTACCCAGGCTGGAGTGCAATGGCACAATCTTGACTCACTGCAACCTCTGCCTCCCAGGTTCAAACGATTCTCATGCCTCAGCCTCCCCAGTAGCTGAGATTACAGACGTGCACTACCCAGTTAATTTTTGTATTTTTAGTAGAGACAGGGTTTTGCCACGTTGGCCAGGCTGGTCTCCAACTCCCGACCTCATGGGATCTGCCCACCTCAGCTTCCCAAAGTTCTAGGATTACAGGCATGAGCCACTGCACCCAGCCCCATGTTTCTGACTTTAAAGGGAAGGTTTTCACATTTTCCCTGTCAAACAGGACGTTCTCTGTGGGTCTTTTGTTAACCTTTTATCAACTATCTACAGAAAAAAAAAAATCTGCTTTATCTTCAGTAATATTTCTTTTGCTTTCCTAATATTTTTTCTCTTGATCAATGTTGCCAGAGATTTGTCAGTTTTATTGGTCTATTCTAAGAACCAACTTTTGGCTTTATTGATTTGTTTTATTATTTCACAGATTTCTTCCAACTTTATTTTATTTTGGGATTTTACATTACATTTTCTTTTTCTATTAATTTTCAGCTTTTACTTTCTTTTTAAAAATATAAACATTTAAGGCATAAAGTATCACTTTTACATCTCCCCAAAAGTTTTGAAAATAGTATTTTAGTTATTGCTCAGTCCTAAGTATTATTACTTAATTTCCATTATTAATTGTCCTTTGACTTGTAAGTAATTGAGATGTCTGGTTTTAAATTTCCAAATGTATGGTGCTTTTAAAAACATACTTTATACTAGTGACTTCTAACTTAGTTACATTATGATCAGAGACTCTGCTACCCATATATTACCTATGCTTTAATGTTTGTCACACTGTCATTGACTTGCTTTATGGCCAATTACATAGTCACTTTTTTAAATGACCCATGACCCGTGTGTGCTTTGCTTGGGAAAATGTATATTTGCTACTTGTGGGATACACAATTCTATATATATCGACTAAATCAACTTTGTTAATTATGTTAGCAAAATCTGTATCATTACTTAATTTTTATCTGCTTAATCTATTGTTGATTGAGAAAGAAGAGTTGAAATCTTCAACTCTGATGGTGGTTTTGTCAACTTCTTTTCCCTATGAATGTATTTCTATTAATGTTTGCCTTATATGCTTTTTTTTTTTTTTTTGAGACACAGTCTCACCCTCTCACTCTGTCACCCAGGCTGGGGTACAGTGGTGCAATATTGGCTCACTGCAACCTCTGCCTCCCAGGCTCAAGTGATCTTCCCACCTCTGCCTCCTGAGTAGCTAGGACTACACGTGCATGCCACAGTGCCTGGCTAATTATTTTGTATTTTTTGTAGAGATGGGGTTTTACCATATTGCTCAGGCTGGTCTTAAACTCCTGGGCTCAGGCGATCTGCCCACCTTGGCCTCCCAATGTGTTGGTATGAGCCACCATGCCCAGCCTTGCTTTATATATGTTGAGGCTCTTATTAGATGCATACAAGTTTAGAATATCTTCTAGGTAAGTTAAACCGTATATCATTAGGTTGTAATCCTCTCTATTGATACCAATGTGTTTTGTCTAATAATTCATTCTTTTGATATTAATATATCCATCCCAGCTCTCTTTGAGTTAGCATTTGCTTAATGTATCTTTTATCCTTTTTAAAAATTTTTCAACTTTTCTGGATCGTTATATTTTAGATGTGTTTCTTATAATCAGTATATTACTGGATTTTGTTTATTTAATGAAAACTCTCTTTTAACTGGCAATATTAATCCTGTTATATTTATTTTGATTATTTACTTTTTTTTTTTTTGAGATGGAGTCTCGCTTTGTCACCCAGGCTGGAGTACAGTGGCGTGATCTCAGGTTACTGCAACCTCTGCCTCTCGGGTTCAAGCAATTCTCCTGCCTCAGCCTCCCAAGTGGCTGAGATTACAGGCACGTACAACCATGCCCAGCTAATTTTTGTATTTTTTTTTAGTAGAGACTGGCTTTTGCCACGTTGGCCAGGCCGGTCTCAAACTCCTAACCTCAAGTGATCCTCTCACCTCAGCCTCCCAAAGTTCTGGGATTACAAGCAATTATTTACATATTTGGATTTGTTCTCACCAATCTTTTATTTTTATTTGTCCAATTTCTCCCTATGTGGCCTTTTCTCTTTCCTTGCTTTTTTGGAAGGCAGTTCTCCTATTCATTTTCTTATTATTGCATTTTTTCCATGTGTAGAAATTTATAAATGCTATTTCTATTATTTTGGTGAATATCTTTATTTATTTTGTTTCTTAAAGACAGGTTCTCACTCTGTTGCCCAGGATGGAGTGCAGATGTTGTGGAGTGCAGAATCATGGCTCACTGCATCCTTGACCTCCTGGACTCAAGTGATCCTCTTTCCTCAGCATTTTGAGTATCCATGACTACAGGCACAAGCCACCATACCCAGCTAATTGTTTTATTTTTTGTACAGACAGGATCTTCCTATGTTGCCCAGGCTGGTCTCAAACTCCTGGGTGCAAACAATCCTCCTGCCTTTGCCTCCCAAAGCGCTGGGATTATAGGCATGAGCCACCGTGCTCGGCCAAAGACCTTTAAAAGTATAGGCCAGGCGCATAAAAGTTTAGGCCAGGCACAGTGGCTCATGCCTGTAATCCCAACACTTTGGAAGACCAAGGCAGAAGGATTGCTTGAGGCCAGGAGTTTGAGACCAGCCTGGGTAACATAGCGAGACTCTGTCTCTACAAAAAATTTTAAAAATTAGCTGGGTGTGGTGGCATGCACCTGTAGTCCCTGCTACTTGGGAGGCTGAGACATGAGGATCACTTGAGCATAGGAGGTCAAGGCTGCAGTGAATTGTGATCACGTCACTGTCCTCTACCCTGGGTGACAAAGGGAGACCCTGTCTCTAAAAAAAAAAAATAAGTTTAACTCTAAAAAATCTAGAGTTAAACAATATCTTAATTCCCATTTTAATCAAGGACCTCAAAATACTTCAACTCTCTCATCCTCCTGCCAAATTATATTCTGCCTTTTTTATCCCACAGTTTTTATGACTTTTTTGTATACAATGTTGGTTTAGATTTACCAAAATATTTACCATTTTATTTGTTCACGATTCTTTGTTGCACTTCAGACCATTCTTATGACATCAGATACCTCCATCCTAAACTACGCCTTCAGAAATTGCCTTGGTGAAAATCTGATTTTAAAATATCGGTTTTTGTTCATCCAAAAATATCTATATTAAGATATTTTTATTATGATATTTATTAAGATATCTTAATATAATAAATTATATTAAGATATAATTTATTAATAAAATATTAATATTAATATTTTATTAGTATCTTAATAAATATCTTTATTAAGATATTTTTTGTACGAGTGCACGATTCTAGGTTAACAGTTACAACTGACCCTTGAATAACATTGTGGATAGGACTGCTGACCCCCAATGTAGTTGAAAATCTGTGTATACAGGAGGCTGAGGGAGGAGAATGGCGTGAACCCAGGAGGCAGAGCTTGCAGTGAGCCAAGATCACGCCACTGCACTCCAGCCTGGGCGACAGTGAGACTCTGTCTCAAAAAAAAAAAAAAAATAGTAAATCTTGTATAACTTTGACTCTCCAAAACTTAACTACTAATAGACTACTGTTGATGGGAGGCTTACCAGTAACATAAACAGTTGATTAACAGATATTTTGTATGTTACATGTATTATATACTGTGGTCTTACAACAAAGTAAGCTAAAGAAAAGAAAATCATAAGGAAGAGAAAATATATTTACTGTTCATTAAGTGGAAGTGGATCATCATAAGGGTCTTCAGCCTCGTCTTCATGTTGAGTAGGCTGAGGAGGAAGGGGGGTTGGTCTTGCTGTCTCAGGGGTGGCAGAGGAGGAAGGAAATCAGAGTAGAAGTGGACTCACGCAGTTCAAACCTGTGCTGTTCAAGGGTCAACTATTTTCCCGAAATACTATAAAGAGATGACACAACTGTTTTTTGGATGTCACTGTTGTTGACAAGTCTGCTTCCAATCGAATTGTTATTTCCTCCTAGATAATCCGACTTTCCTTTCTGAATGCCTTTAAGATCCTCTCTTTGTCTTTGATGTTCTTCACTTTGACCACTGTGTATGTGCATGTGTGTGTATGTTTGTGTGCACATGAAGAAGGCTAATTCTGGGAGATGTACCTTATTTCTCATGAGTTCAGCAATACTTTAAAAAGTATATTTTATCCATGATCCAGTTGTTTCTTAAGAGGAAGGTCCTTCAGAGTACCTGGTCTGCCACAATTCCAGAAGCAGAAGTCTATGATGCTTTGTACATGCACAATCCTGCGTGTGCACAGTGGCGTGGTGGAAACCTCTGGGTGGACACACCCCTCCATGCCTACATCTGTGTGTGTGGGAGCCTTTAGTGTGCCCATCCCTCTGCTATTTTTCTAGTTCAAATGCAAACCCTTCAGGTCAGGGGATTCGCTTTCTGTCAGTCTCATTCCCTCCTGACAACCTTACAGTACTTACTCCCCACGGTCAGAGTAAGCACTGGCTGCTGTTTGGTTTTTACACCTGTTGGGAAAAGGAGTATATTAGTCAGGGTTCTCCAGAGGGACAGAATAATAGGGTGTGTGTGTGTGAGAGAGAGTTTATTAGGGAGAACTGGCTCACACGATCACAAGGCAAAGTCCCACGATCTGCAAGCTGGGGAAGAGAGAAGCTGGCAGTGGCTCAGTCTGAATTTGAAAGCCTCAAACCAAGGAAGCCAACAATGCAGCCTTCAGTCTGTGGCCAAAGGCCCAAGAGCCCCTAGCAAGCCACTGGAGCAAGTCCCAGAGTCGAAAAGCCAATGAACCTGGAGTCTAGTGTCTAAGGGCAGGAGGAGCGGAAGGAAGCATCCAGCATTGGAGAAAGAAGGCAGCCAGAAGCCCCAGTGAGCAAGGTGATCCCACCTCTTCCACCTGTTTTTGTTGTAGCCTTGCTGGCAGCCGACTGGATGGTGCCCACCCATACTGAGGGTGGGTCTTCCTCTCCCAGTCCACTGACTCAAATGCCAACCTCCTCTGGCAACACCCTCACAGATACACCCAGAAAAAATACTTCGCATCTTTCAGTCCAAACAAGCTGACACCTAATATTAACCATCACAAGGAGAAATGCTGGGAGAGCCATGGCTGGCCCAGCCCCTCCTCACTGCATCCTCTGCTTTCCCATGTGTCTTGTCCACAGCTCTGCCCCTGAGGACTGCACGTCCTTCAGCATCAACGCCTCCCCAGGGGTGGTCGTGGATATTGCCCACGGCCCTCCAGCCAAGAAGAAATCCACAGGTTCCTCCACATGGCCCCTGGACCCTGGGGTAGAGGTGACCCTGACGATGAAAGTGGCCAGTGGTAGCACAGGCGACCAGAAGGTGAGTGTCATAGCTGTGGGGTGGCAGTGTGGATGGGCTTCAGCAGGGCAGCCACACACACTCTGTCCTGCCGTGATCCACAGCACCAGCCTGGCAGAGCCTCTTGCCCTGTGGAAGAGCTCGTGATGGCTTCTTCCAGCCATAGTGTCCTTGGGGACAATAATATACGGCTACCAGGGGTTCATGGAGGTCAGGGTTTAGATTAAACTCTATTCAGCAAATCTTTAGTCAGTACCTAACACATGCCAGACACTGCTAGACACTGCCAGGCACTGGGAATCCAGAAATGAATAAGACAGCTGAGGGTGCAGCCCTCATGGGGCTTACAACCTATGAATGGTAGCATCAGAGAATCTACTGGTAAACAAACAATTGCAAATGATACTGAGTTCTATGGAGGCCACAAACTGGTAGCCCCAAGGGATGCTGGTCCATGCTCCTGGATCGGTTTCCTGTGTCTGGTATAGAAAATCACCATGGTGGCCTGGCCGGGCACAGTGGCTCACACCTGTAATCCCAGCACTTTGGGAGGCCGAGGCGGGTGGATCACCTGAGGTCAGGAGTTTGAGACCAGCCTGGCCAACACGGTGAAACCCCATCTCTATTAAAAATACAAAAATTAGCTGGGCGTAGTGGCGAGCGCCTGTAATCCCAGCTACTCAGGAGGCTGAGGCAGGAGAATCTCTTGAACCCGGGAGGGGGAGGTTTCAGTGAGCCAAGATTGCGCCACTTCACTCCAGCCTGGGTGAAAGAGCAAAACTCCGTCTCAAAAAAACAAAAGAAAGAAAATCTCCATGGTTTGCTTAAAACAACAGAAGTGTATCCTCTCACTGTTCTGGGGTTCAGAAGTCTGAGGTCAAGGTGCCAGCAGGGCCAGATTTTTCTGGAGGCTCCAGGGGAGAATAATTATTTGCCTCCTCCAGCTTCTGGGGGCTGTCAGCAGTCTGATCTGTGGCTGTCTCACTCCAGTCTGCTTCCATGGTCGCACTGCCTCTGCCCCTTCTCTGTGGAATCCCCCTCTGCCTCTCTCATAAGGGTACTTGCCATGGGATGTGGGGCCCAGCTGGATGGTCCAGGGTGATCTCCTCATCTCAAGATCCTTTTTTATTTTTTTGAGACAAGAGTCTCGCTCTGTCGCCCAGGCTGGACTGCAGTGGTGCAATCTCGGCTCACTGCAACCTCCGCCTCCTGGGTTCAAACGATTCTCCTACCTCAGCCTCCCAAGTAGCTGGGAGTACAGGCACTCGCCACCATGCCCAGCTAATTTTTGTATTTTTTTTAGTAGAGATGGGATTTCACCATGTTGGTCAGGCTGGTCTCAAACTCCTGACCTCAAGTGATCCACTCACCTCGGCCTCCCAAAGTGCTGGGATTACAGGCATGAGCCACCGCATCTGGTCTCAAGATCCTCAACTTAGATCTGCAAAGACTTTTTTTCCAAATGAAATCACATCGACAAGTTCCAGGGATTAGGATATGGATGTATCTTTTTGGGGACCACCATTCCACCTACTACACCCCCTTTGCCTGTAGATGGGCTCAACAGGACCCTCTGGGGTTCCCACAGATCTCTGGGCCAACAGCCACTTATTCCCAGCAGAACCAGCCAAGCAGGCTTCTCCCTGGGGGAACACAGAGCTTGACTATCCAGGCAGGCTGGGGAGGGGGTGGTCGGGGAAGGCTTCCTGAAAGAAGTAGCAAGCTGAAGGGTGACACGAACTACCCACCTAAGAGCAGGAGAGAGGAGAGAGTTTGACACAGAGGGGCAGGCTGTGTGCACTCTCTGGATGAGAAAAGGGTGAGACACGTGTTGGGGAAACTGAGGAAGTTCTGTATGGCAAGAAAGGTAGATGGAACAGGAGGTGAAGGAGTCAGTTTGAAGAGTTTGGTATCAGGGACCTCATTTTCTGCAAACAACAGGAAGCCAACAAAAAGTTTTCAGCCAGCGAATAACAAGACAGCATTTGTACTTTAGAAGGATCCCAATGGCTGTGGCCTAGCAAGTAGATAGGATCTAGGGAGTGGGTGGGAGGCAGGGAGACCAGACAGAAGGCTGACACCATGGTCCAGGCAGAGGCAGTGATGGCCGTGGCGTTTTCCTGGATTTCCACTGTCTACAGGGCAGGTCCGAGCACCTCCGCGTGGCCCCTCAGGAGCTCCTCTTCCTCTGGTGGCAGCTCTTTGGCTCTGCTTTGGAAACTCCCCACCGCCATTTTGCTTGGATGTGTCAACCCAGATGCTCCACCCTCCTCTGGCCAATCCGAGGTGTTCTCCTAGGATTTCTGAACCTTGGGCACAGTGGATTGGTGTTTTCTCATCTCTTCCTGAAGAAACCTCCATCCACTCAAAGCTCCTGCTCCCCAGATCCCCCAGGACCCGGCCTTTCCAGGGTCTGGTTCTTCAGGTCTTTCCTTGATCCCTTCTGCTTGCCAGAGTCAGTTCTGTGGCTTATGATCAGCTCTCTCTAGCGCCTCTTCTGCCCCATCTCCAGCTGCTGGGCCCCTACTCCCTTTCCCAGATCTACCTCAAAGCACACTCCTTCACAAACGACCCTGCCAGGCAGAGTGTCTCCATTGCTGGGCCCCCATAGGATGCTCTTCTGTAGCACCAGTCATTCAAGCTTTTTGCTTTCCCTCCATTCCCATCGGATGGGGCCACTCCTTACAGGCTAGGACCAGTTCTTGCCCAACTTTGTCTCCCCAGTGCCCTACCCTGAGCCGGCACATAGGAGGGGGTCCAGTGGGTGTTTGTTGAATGACTAAGAGAAGTCATTAGTGATCTGCTCTCCCATAGGTTCAGATTTCATACTACGGACCCAAGACTCCACCAGTCAAAGCTCTACTCTACCTCACCGGGGTGGGTAAGTGACAACCAGGATCCTAGAGTGCCGTCTCATCCCCTGCCCACCTCCTAATCCCTGCAGGATGTCTCTGTAGGAGAAACTACACCTGGAGCTTACTTTAGACTGAGTAGAGAAAAAGCATGGTTTCTAGCCAGTCAGACATCTGGGAGTTCGAAATATTCCATCCTTAGTCAGTGAACCACAAAGAAATACAATGTGGCAGTGGTGGTGCGGGGAATTTTAATTATATCTTAACATTTTGCTTCTCAAGTTAGGAAGTAGGAACTTGGATTTTCAATATATGCATCTCCATTAATTTTTTTTTTTTTGAGATGGAGTCTCACCCTGTCACCCAGGCTGGAGTGCAATGGCATGATCTCGGCTCACTGCAACCTGCGTCTCCCAGGTTCAAGCGATCCTCCTGCTTCAGCGTCCCTAGTAGCTGGGACTACAGGCGCTTGCCACCACGCCTGGCTAATTTTTGTATTTTTAGTAGAGATGGAGTTTCACCATGTTGGCCAGGCTGGTCTCGAACTTCTGACCTCAGGTGATCTGCCTGCCTCAGGCTCCCAAAGTGCTCGGATTACTGGCATGAACCACTGCGCCAGGCCCTCTATTCCTTTTTGATACCTCAAATATCTATAACAAAAAGTAGATAATGACACTGTCTTATACAAGAATATAGATAGTGTTCCTCAAATTCCATTATTTATATCTCATCTTCACCATTTCTGCCATATCAATGATCCACCTATACTCATATTTATGTAATGTTCTTCTTTAAATAAAATCCATTCTTAAACTTGACCTCATTTTGAACAATAATATCATGATTAGTATCATTATGTGTATTAAACATATAAGTAGCAGCCAGACATGGTGGCTCACACCTGCAATCCCAGCGCTTTGGAAGGCGGAGGCAGGAGGATCGCTTGAGCCCAGGAGTTTGAGACCAGCCTGGGCAACATAGTGAGATCCTGTCTCTACAAAAAATAAAAAAAAACAGCTGAGCATGGTGGCATGTGCCTGTAGTCCCAGCTACTCAAGAGGCTGATGTGGGAGGATTGCTCGAGCCCAGAAGGTCAAGACTACATGATTGTGCCACTGCACTCCAGCCTGGGTGACAGAGTGAGACCCAGTCTCAAAAACTAAAAAATATATATATACACACACATATATATATAATATGTAGCATATAGAATCTTCAGGTTTCATTTCATTAATGCATTTCATTCATTAATGCATATTTAAGTAATAATACTACAGCACTTACTCAATTGCCAGGCACTGTGCTAAGACTTTACATTTAATCCTTACAACAATCCAGTGAAATTGGTATTATTATTATCATCCCATTTTACAGGTGAGGAAACTGAGGCACAAGAGCTAAACAGACTTGTCCAAGGTCATGCAATTGGTTAGTGAAGGAGTCAGGAAGTCCAGGCCACGAAAGGACAATGCTTCCCCGGCCCTAACTAAGACGTGGCTATGAATATGTTTAGAAGGTCATCTGGGTCAGTCTCATGTGGGACAAGGGTCACCATATCATGCTGTGGGGCACACGGATCTATTTTATTGGAATGACCTTGCAGTCATATATTCGGATGAGGGAGGAAGGATTTACAAACAAATGTTTGCTTTCTCAGCCAAGCCATTTGGACAGAGTGGGGGCATGTTCAGGGTTGCAATTTGTCCCCAGATACAGTCACAACACATGTCATGAAGAGCCCGTGGGGCTGGTGTCACCGCTGGGTCCCCCACCCCAAGGTCACTGAGGGCTGGGGCCAGAGTCTTTCGAGAGGCTGGCAGGGTGTGCCTGCAGAGGCTTCACATCGAACCTCTCATTGTGGTGGTTGGGAATTCCTTCCAAAATCCCTGGGGGTGGCCAGACGTGCAGGGTCTGGTGGACATCACAGTTGTGGCCCCGCTGAAGGGGAACAGGTGTGGTCAGAGGCCCCAGCTCTGCTGTCCGAACTGTAGCCAGACTTCCTGGGGGCCGTGGAGGAGGGATGTCTTGAACCTGTGTCTCCTCTGAAGGACGGGAAGAGGGGCTCACACTATGGGTGCACACAGTCCCCTGGGGAAACGACCTGCCCATTCAGGGCCAGGCTGGGTGCCCCAACCCCGGACCCTCACCAACCTCTCCTCTTACTTGATGGGATTTCAGAAATCTCCTTGTGCGCAGACATCACCCGCACCGGCAAAGTGAAGCCAACCAGAGCTGTGAAAGATCAGGTACCACTCACCCAAACGCTCCTTTCCTACTTCTACTGGATTCTCCCCGGGCGCCCCCTTGTGGTGATGGGGCAAATGCTGGCCTGTCCCACGTATTCCGTGTTAACTGTTAAAAAAAGAAAGAAAATTAGCATCACCATTAATATTTTGGCTTATGTATTTCCCATCTATTTTACAAAATCAGAATTTCACCAATTGTGGGTTCAGATGTGTTATCCTACAAACTGGAAACCCTACTGAGTCACCCAGTTAATACACAGCAGAGAGGAAATTCGTGGGCAGGTCTCGACTCTGGCTCAAAAACTCCCTACTCCATGCTCTACAGCTGATATGGGAGAGATTTCTGCAGAGCTGTCTACATGGGGGAATAACAGAGAAAGGAAGAAATGGCAGGGGGAGAGGCGGGAAGGAGCCAGGTGGGGAGAGGGAGGGTGTGTTGTGGAAAGACAGGATGATGGGATGTGCAGAAAGGGCAGGTGAACGCTGTCTTAAACCAGAGTCTGCAGGTAAACCTGAAACCCCAGAGCTGCCTGCACCATTTTATGCTGGTGTGCACTGGGGGCTGTGCCCTGTAAAAAGATGAAGATCCTTTGTGGGGTCAGCAAAAGTGGGAAGACAAATTACAACTCTAGGAGTAGAATCTGTCCCTGTATCCCTCCCGAAATGCAGTCATTTCCCAGGGGCAAACGCTCTCCCGCGAAGGGAGGCGCCATCACTATTAGATCCCTACAGGGTGGGGCTGCTTAATGTGCTTTAATCTCTAGGCAGATATTAACTGGCTGCTAAGAATAGTACCACACTTTGCTGAATGAGTAATTAAGAGTTCACATAATAGTAACTATTTAGATTAGAATATTGACATACATATTTAGCTGCATTTGGTTTGTCAAGCTCAACATTTTATTTATTTATTTATGTATTTATGTATTTATTTATTTATTTATTGAGATGGAGTCATGCTCTGTCTCCCAGGCTGGAGTGCAGGGGCGGTTCACCGCAACCTCCGCCTCCCAGGTTCAAGTGATTCTCCTACCTCAGCCTCCTGAGTAGCTGCAATTACAGGTGCATGCCTCCACGCCCAGCTAATTTTTGTATTTTTAGTAGAGACAGCGTTTCGCCATGTTGGCCAGGCTGGTCTTGAACTCCTGACCTCAGGTGATCTGCCTGCCTCAGCCTCCCAAAGTGCTGGGATTACAGGTGTGAGCCACTGCGCCCAGCCAACATTTCTTAAAAGCTGTTAAAATCCATGTGACTGTCTTGGGCTCCTTTTTTTAAATGGATGAATTGTGTTTTGGGTGAATTTGGTTGTGACTTTTGGAGTAAAAGGCAAAAATCCACTCCTGAGATCAAATAATTAATTGATGTGGAAGCAAGATGTGTAAACTGCACTGGGTTAAAGAAGTGATGGGGGCCGGGCGTGGTGGCTCATGCCTGTAATCCCAGCACTTTGGGAGGCCGAGGAGGATGGATCATGAGGTCAAGAGATTGAGCCATCCTGGCCAACATGGTGAAATCCCATCTCTACTAAAAATACAAAAATTAGCCAGGTGTGGTGGCATGCGCCTATAGTACCAGCTACTCAGGAGGCTGAGGCAGGAGAATCACTTCAACCTGGGGGGTGGAGGTTGCAGTGAGCCAAGATCACGCCACTGCACTCCAGCCTGGCAGCAGAGGGAGACTCCGTCTCAAAAAAATAATAAATAAATAAATAAATTTTAAAAAAGAGGTGATGGGGAGTTGCTATGCCTCTTGCAAGAGTTGGAGGGCTCTATGCTAGTTTCTGAGCATGACTCTTCCCTGCTGGTGTCCAGAGGACCTGGACCTGGGGCCCTTGTGGACAGGGTGCCATCCTGCTGGTGAACTGTGACAGAGACAATCTCGAATCTTCTGCCATGGACTGCGAGGATGATGAAGTGCTTGACAGCGAAGGTAAAGAGCATTTGCTAGCTAACGGGAAGGGCTTTTTATAAAGCCCTTTTGCCCACATAGCCTGAACCTGGTGACGGCCCTCTGAAATAAGGGTTATTGAAAGCATCTTCTTGTTGGCAAATCTGTTTTATAGGTGAAGCAATGGGCAAAGGCCCTCGGGGGTCAAGTGACCTCCCCAAGCTCACGCAGCGGTCAGGGAAGAGCTGAGGCCAGTGCTGTCTCCTGATGCCTCCTACAGGCCCTGGTTTCCATGCCTCACCCTGCTGCCCAACCTAAACGCTCTTAGGTCAAACCTGGAGCCTGAAATCCTTCGAAATGAAAGCTTTTCATTCCCAAACTCATATCAGAGCAGGCCCTGAGACCTCTGCCATAGGCCGGGCACGACTCTGACCACTTTGGAATGATTAACTCATCTGATCTTCCAACACAAACCTTTATAGGTAGGAAAACCAAGGCACGGGGAACTTAAGCAATTTGCCCAAGGTCACAGCACTGACACGTAGCAGACTCGGGGTTTGAACCCCGGACGTCCCAACACCGGAGCAGGTTTAGAGGCATGAGGATGGTGGGGAATGCAGGATCTCTGCAGGCAAACCTCTGGGCTGCTAAGGGGGTGGCTCCGGGGTTGAAGTGAGGAAACATTATCCACCTGCGCTGGAGGAAGGTGCTAAGGGGCTCTGGCTGGCAGGCCTTCCTGGGGAGCTCTTAGAATAACATAGAAATGGATGTATTTTCAAGTTGCATGTAGTTGGCCTGGCCCGATGCCAGGGGACAGCCTCTGTACAGTGCCTGACATGCGGTAATAATCACAACAGCTGTCCTTTGTGGGCACTCCCGGGGTGCCAAGAGCTGGTATAAGCACTGTGTATCACCTGACTTTATCTTCACAACCATTCTACGGTGGGTACAACTCTTGCCCCTGTCTTAGTGATGAGGAAACAGAGGCAGAGAAAGCTGAAATCCGTTTCCTAAGCCCACCCAGATCCCAGATTCAAACCAAATTGACCGCAAAGCCTTTAAGCCCTTGGCTATCAGTCAGTCCCTTGGGAACCATCTCTTCACTCTCCCCACCCTCTACCCCTTCTTGGCTATTGTTCAAGTTGGTTCACAAACCCCACTTCTTGCTCAGGACCAGCACAGAAACCTTTCACTCGTTCATTGCACAAATCTCAGCCGAGCGCCTGCCGCCTGCTGGTCATTGTTCTAGGGAGTTCTCGGCTTTCTAGGTTCAAGATTCAGGGAACGTTGCAAGGAGCAAAATATTAATAAATGTGGTCCCCGCTTTGCTGAGGTTACATCCCCAGCTCATCCTAGTGGGAGGAGACCAAAACCTTAATGAGCTCTCATTCCAAAATGAAAACCATCATTTAAATACTCAAAATAGCATAAAGAAAAGAAAACCAGGCAACATGGTAAAGGGAGGTCTCAGGGGAGCGGTGGGGTGTGAGGCTCCACCAGGAGGTGAGGTGGCTATGGGAAACCAGCAGCGGTCTCAGGGCCCTGTGACTCAGGCAATGCCCTTCTCATCCCAGACCTGCAGGACATGTCGCTGATGACCCTGAGCACGAAGACCCCCAAGGACTTCTTCACAAACCATACACTGGTGCTCCACGTGGCCAGGTCTGAGATGGACAAAGTGAGGGTGTTTCAGGCCACACGTAAGTCATCCCCATCTTTGTTCCCCTCCTGCCCTGGCCAACGGGGCACAATCCTGTCACACAGCTGTGTGGCAGATAAATCCTGAGCACCTACTATGTGCCAAGTTCTAAGAACAGCAGACGCAGCAGTGGGCAAGACAGACGACATCTCGTCTACTACCTTCCAGTTGGAGGACACAGACAAAATGACTCGTTATTGCTCCCTGCTTTTCTTTCTCTCTCTCTCACACACGCGCGCGCACACACACACACACACACACACACACCTCCTGGTTATAGACTTTGAGTGCAAGCTGACAGCATGTGGCATGTAATCATTTGTTCTGCAACATCCTGCTAATCAGAGACATCAGGAACTTCTCAGTGACCCACGAGCACCTGCAACTAAGTAGGTGCCAGGTTGATCCCAGGCACGGGGCACAGAGCCATGACTGTGACCGAGTCCCTGCCCTCGTGTTGCTTTCATCTTAGTGGCTGGGAGAACTATAGGTAAAATAATTACATAAAACACCTAGTGTGTCCAACGCTGTGACATGCTATGTAGAAGAATGCGGCAGGGAAGGGGATGTGGAGTGAGGAGTGGAGTTCGGGTTGTGTGGAGAGAGGGTGGCCAGGGAAGGTGTCCCCCATGAGGTGCCATGTGAGCAGAGGGAGGTATAGGAACAGCCAGACAGACACCTAGGGGAAGGGCGTTCCAGGCAGAGGGAACGGCAAGTGCGTGGGCCCTGAGGTGAGATCATGCCTGTGGTTTGGAGGAATGCAGGGAGGCTAGTGCAGCTGGGGCGGAATGTGCAAGGGTTAAAGTGGGGGATGAGGGTGGAAGAGACAGGGCAGAGGGGAAGGGGGAGGTCAGGTAGGCGTATATTGACTTTGGCTTCTGGATGGAAGGAGATGGAGAGCGCCATGGGAGGGTTTTTTTTTTGCATGGGCCTGACAATCATTCTGATCCTGATCATTCTGCCTGGTCTATTCCAAGCTTTTTTTTTTTTTTTTTAATTTTTTTTTTTGAGAGAGTCTCACTCTGTTGCCCCGGCTGGAGTGCAGTGGTGCCATCTTGGCTCACTGCAGCCTCCACCTCCTGGGTTCCAGAGATTCTCCTGTCTCAGCCTCCCCAGTAGCTGAGGTTACAAGCATGTGCCACCACATCCAGCTAATTTTTGTATTTTTAGTAGAGATGGGATTTCACCAGGTTGGCCAGACAGGTCTCGAACTCCTGACCTCAAATGATCCACTTGCCTCAGCCTCCCCAAGCACTAGGATTACAGACACCATGCCCAGCCTCTGTTTCTTTTTTTTTTTTTTTTGAGATGGAGTCTCTCTCTGTCGCCAGGCTGGAGTGCAGTGGCGCAATCTCAACTCACTGCAACCTCCACCTCCTGGGTTCAAGCAATTCTCCTGCCTCAGCCTCCCGAGTAGCTGTGATTATAGGCATCCACCACAATGCCTGGCTAATTTTTTTGTGTTTTTAGTAGAGATGGGCTTTCACCATGTTGGCCAGGCTGGTCTGGATCTCCTGACCTTGTGATCCTCCTGCCTCGGCCTCCCAAAGTGCTGGGATTACAGGCGTAAGCCACCACACCCGGCCTGTTTCATTCTTAAAGTGATTAAACTGACACTGATTTGGTGACAGGTCAACTTATTGCCTCCACCCAGGCATCACCTCCTCCAGGAAGTTCTCAGGGATTCCCTCTATCACAGCTGTCTGCTATTTTCATGATCTCTGCTTCTCCCTACTCACCCGTAAGACTGTGCACTCTCTGGGGGTGAGGATAGGAGGACAGTGACTCTGTCTCCCTGGTCCCCTGCTGTGCCCCTGTCCCCCGCTGACATCTGGCTAGAGCAGATGCTCAGGAATGAGTGAAGGAATGGTGTATACTGGACTTCCTATAAAGTTTGGAATAGCTCAGGCACCCCTGCCACACCCTTCTGGGACTTCAGCCGGGGAGCAGCGTCCCAGCTAGAACTTCAGTCCTTTTCTCCTAAGGGGACTGGCCAGATTTGGCTGCAAGGGGTTCTCTGATGGTGCCATGTGGTGACCCTGGGAAAGGCTTCTGGGGAGCACTAAGGAGAGGAGGAAAAGTCTTCAGAAGTGGGGACGCAGACCTGAGTCTCCCCTGCCTCTCTCCTAGGGGGCAAACTGTCCTCCAAGTGCAGCGTAGTCTTGGGTCCCAAGTGGCCCTCTCACTACCTGATGGTCCCCGGTGGAAAGCACAACATGGACTTCTACGTGGAGGCCCTCGCTTTCCCGGACACCGACTTCCCGGGGCTCATTACCCTCACCATCTCCCTGCTGGACACGTCCAACCTGGTAGGCCGAGAAGGCAGCCCTGCATCGGGGGCCTGGGCTTCCAGGCAGTGGCCTGGCTAGGGAAAGGGGTACAGAGCCCAGCTGGGCAGGGGGACTCCAAACAGCTGCAGGAAGTGGTAGGTGCTGGGCCCTGGCAGCGGTGACAGCCCCTCCTTCCCCTTACCCCCTCCCCTGCAGGAGCTCCCCGAGGCTGTGGTGTTCCAAGACAGCGTGGTCTTCCGCGTGGCGCCCTGGATCATGACCCCCAACACCCAGCCCCCGCAGGAGGTGTACGCGTGCAGGTGAGAGGTCCTGGGGTGCTGGGGTGGGTCCAGACAACAAAGAGCCTGAGTTCCATCCGCAGCACTCACTGTGTGATGGGAAAAACAGTCACCCCTCCCCTGCCCACTGAGAGCTTGCTGCTTGTTGGGGGCTCTAAAAAGGCAGGGAAGTTCCCTACTGTTGTTGTCATTGCCTCTGTCCTGCCCTGATGCAGCTGAGGCTACGTTAACTCCCAGGGGCCTGTAGAGTGTGTCCCATGGACCTTGTGCACCAGAAACTCCTGGGAACTCATTTAAAATGCACCTTTCTGGGCTGGGCACGGTGGCTCACGCCTGTAATCCTAGCACTTTGGGAGGCTGAGGCAGGTGGATCACTTAAGGTCAGAAGTTTGAGATCAGCCCAGCCAACATGGTGAAACCCTGTCTCTACTAAAAAATACAAAAATTGGCCGGGCGTGGTGGCGCATGCCTGTAATCCAGCTACTCAGGAGGCCGAGGCACGAGAATTGCTTGAACCCTGGAGGCGGAGGTTGCAGTGAGCTGAGATTGCGCCACTGCGCTCCAGCCTGGGCAACACAGTGAGACTCCATCTCAAAAATAAAATAACCAGCCTGGCCAACATGGTGAAACCCCGTCTCTACTAAAAATACAAAAAATTAGCCAGGTGTTGTGGCATGTGCCTGTAATCCCAGCTACTCGGGAGGCTGAGGCAGGAGAATCACTTGAACCCAGGAGGCCAAGGTTGCAGTGAGCCGAGATTGCACCATTGCACTCTAGCCTGGGCGACAGAGCAAGACTCCGTCTTGAGAAAATTAAAAATAATAAAAATTAAAAATTAAATTAAATTAAATTAAATTTAAATTAAATAAAATGCACCTTTCTGGCTGCCTGTGAGCTGCTGGGTCTTATCCCTGAGGACGGGGCCCATCTGCATTTTGGGGAGGCCCAGGCAATCTTCCTGCAGTCTGAGAGCCGCTGACAAGTGTGCTGGGGTCTCAGGAGACCCTCTCCTCCCCTCTTCTGATAGCTTCAGGGGCAGAAGAGTAAGAGGGTAATGTGGTCAGGACGCAGGCTGGAATCCAGTGAGGACTGTATTCCGGTCCCAGCACTGTTCCAGGTGGTGTGACCTTGAACAGTGAACTCATATTCTGTCTTCTCCCAAGTTGATATGGTTTGGCTCTGTGTCTCCACCCAAATCTTATCTTGAATTGTACTCCCACAATTCCCACGTGTTCTGGGAGGGACCTGGTGGGAGATAATTTGAATCATGGAGGTGGTTTGCCCCATACCATTCTCATGGTAGTGAATAAGTCTCATGAGATCTGATGGTTTTATCAGGGGTTTCCACTTTTGCATCTTGCTCATTTTCTCTTGCCGCCGCCATGTAAGAAGTGCCTTTTGCCTCCCACCATGGTGTCCCCAGCCATGTGGGAGTGTAAGTCCAATTAAACCTCTTTTCCTTCCTAGTCTCAGGTATGTTTTTATCAGCAGCGTGAAAATGGACTAATACAGTAAATTGATACCAGTAGAGGGGGGCGTTGCTGAAAAGATACCCAAAATGTGGAAGCAACTTTGGAACTGGGTAACAGACAGAGGTTGGAACGGTTTGGAGGGCTCAGAGGAAGACAGGAAAATGTGGGAAAGTTTGGAACTTTCTAGAGACTTGTTGAATGGCTTTGACAAAAATACTGATAATGATATGAACAATGAAATCCAGACTGAGATGGTCTCAGATGGAGATGAGGAACTTGTTGGGAACCGGAGCAAAGGTGACTCTTGTTATGTTTTAGCAAAGAGACTGGTGGCATTTTGTACCTGCCCTAGAGATTTGTGGAACTTTGAACTTGAGAGAGATGATTTAGGGTATCTGGCAGAAGAAATTTCTAAGCAGCAAGGCATTCAAGAGGTGACTTGGGTGCTGTTAAAGGCATCCAGTTTTAAAAGGGAAGCAGAGCATAAAAGTTCAGAAAAGTTGCAGCCTGACAATGCAATCGAAAAGAAAATCTCATTTTCTGAGGAGAAATTCAAGCCAGCTGCAGAAATTTGCATAAGTAACAAGGAGATTAATGTTAAGCCACAAGGCAATGAGGAAAATGTCTCCAGGGCATGTCAGAGGTCTTCATGGCAGCCCCTCCCGTCACAGGCCCAGAGGCCTAGGAGAAAATGGTTTCGTAGGCCAGGCCCAGGGTCCCCATGCTATGTGCAGCCTAGGGACTTGGTGCCCTGCATCCCAGCTGCTCCAGCCATGGCTAAAAGGGGCCAGTGTAGAGCTCAGGCTGTGGCTTCAGAGGGTGGAAGCCCCAAGCCTTGGCAGCTTCCACATGGTGTTGAGCCTGCAAGTGCACAGAAGTCAAGAATTGGGGTTTGGGAACCTCTGCCTTGATTTCCAAAGATGTGTGGAAACGCCTAGATGCCCAGGCAGAAGTTTGCTGCAGGGGTGGTGTTCTCATGGAAAACCTCTGCTACAGCAGTGCAGAGGGGAAATGTTGGTTTGGAGCCCCCACACAGAGTCCCTACTGGGACACCACGTAGTGGAGTTGTGAGAAGAGGGCCACTGTCCTCCAGACTCCAGAAGGGTAGATCCACTGACAGCTTGCACCGTGTGCCTGGAAAAGCCACAGACACTCAACACCAGCCTGTGAAACTGGCCTACCAGGAGGGAGGCTATACCCTGCAAAGCCACAGGGGCAGAGCTGCCTAAGACCATGGGAACCCACCTCTTGTGTCAGCATGACCTGGATGTGAGACCTGGAGTCAAAGATCATTTTGGAGCTTTAAAATTTGACTGCCCTGCTGGATTTTGGACTTGCATGGGCCCTGTAACCCCCTTGTTTTGGCCAATTTCTCCCATTTGGAATGGTTGTATTTACCCAACACCTGTACCCCCATTGTATCTAGGAAGTAACTAGCTTGCTTTTGATTTTACAGGCTCATAGGAGGAAGGGACTTGCCCTGTCTCAGATGAGATTTTGGATTGTGAACTTTTGGGTTAATGCTGAAATGAGTTAAGACTTTGGGGGACTGTTGGGAAGGCATGATTGGTTTTGAAATGTGAGGATATAGGATTTGGAGGGGCCAGGGGCAGGATGATATGCTTTGGTTCTGTGTCCCCACCCAAATCTCATCTTGACATGTACTCCCATAATTCCCAAGTGTTGTGGGAGGGACCCAGTGGGAGATAATTTGAATCATGGTGGCAGTTTCTCCCATACTGTTCTCATGATAGTGAATAAGTCTCATGAGATCTGATGGTTTTATCAGGTTTTTCTCCTTTTTCTTCTTCCTCATTTTCTCTTGCCACCGCCATGTAAGAAGTGCCTTTTGCCTCCCACCATGGCCTCCCCAGCCATGTGGAACTGTAAGTCCAATTAAACCTCTTTTTCTTCCCAGTCTCAAGTATGTCTTTATCAGCAGCGTGAAAACGGACTAATACACGGGTGGAAGGGGTACCCACTAGTTCCTGCCTCATAACTTGTTAGATGGATTCCATGAGCTAATGCCTGCTAAGAGCAGATGGACCGGACGTGCCAGGAGCCTCTGTTCAGGCCACAGGTGACCCCTGAGCCACCTGTGTGTCCCTCCCAATCCTTCCAGGCTGAGCTTCAAATTCCAGAGCACTAAGGAGCTGCTTTTCTGCTCTCTCTAGTATTTTTGAAAATGAGGACTTCCTGAAGTCAGTGACTACTCTGGCCATGAAAGCCAAGTGCAAGCTGACCATCTGCCCTGAGGAGGAGAACATGGATGACCAGTGGATGCAGGTATGTGCCCTGCGGGGCAGGCAGGGTGACTGTCCCTGAGGGCCAAGAGACACTTGGGGGACCCGGGCTCCTGGGGTTCAGCCTGGTGCCTCACCGGCCACTCTTCCTTAGATGGACAGGGAGATAGGAACCTGAGAGATCCTTGGGCCGGGAGGCTCAAGCAAGTGATTCATCTGACGTTTGCTGTGGGCCACTGCAGGCCCACTGCAGTCACCAAGATGAAGCCACCTTCCTGCTTGAAAACACTCAGGTGGCCTCAGGAAATGATGTGAAGCTCAGGAGATTGGTGCTCAACCAGCCCCTCAAGTGGTCCTCCCTCCAGGCTGTCCATCTTGGGCCCAGCCACCAAAGCAGGTCACACCCCAGCTCCAGCACTTTCCATGGCTCCCATCTCCTCCTGCTTAGTCTGTTTCCAGGCCCTCTCAGCCTGCCTGGTTCCCTTCCCTGGGGCCAGCCTGCCACTGTGCCTGGAAACACATGATTACCAGTCTCTGTTTCCGTGCCACTCCCCCATCATGCCAGGAGTGCCCCAAGGACTGAGACTGGGCCTCATCCAGCCTAGCACCCTGACCCTCCCCACCACTGCCTTGCTTTGCCTCGGGACCCTGTCCTTCCATGCCGCACCCCTGCGGTGCTGTCTCTTGGACCCATCTCCCCATTCCCATCCCCCATCTCCAATCCATACCGGTGAATCCCAGCACAAATGCTCCTCGTCCATAAATTTCCCCCATCACCCCCAGCAGGAATTCATCCCTCTTTCTTTTCACCCCCACACAACATCCTTTCTTCCTTTCTTGCCATTCCATCTTTTCTTTTCTTTTTTTTTTCACTCTTGTTGCCCAGGCTGGAGTGCAATGGCTCGATCTCGGCTCATCACAACCTCTGCCTCCCGGGTTCAAATGATTCTCCTGCCTCAGCCTCCTGAGTAGCTGTAATTACAGGCATGTGCCACCACGCCTGGCTAATTTTGTATTTTTAGTAGAGATGGGGTTTCTCCGTGTTGGTCAGGCTGGTCTCGAACTCCTGACCTCAGGTGATCCACCCACCTCAGCCTCCCAAAGTGCTGGGCTTACAGGCATGAGTTACTGCACCTGGCCGCCATTCCATTTTTTTGATACCAAGTTGACCTGTGTGAAATTGCTGATATGTGCCATTTTTGATTTGCAAGAGTGGAACTTTCATCTGGTTCATCCTAATAGTAACTTATAGTAGTGATTATGTCCAACATCACACCTGCCTGCTAGAATACAAGCCTGCGGAGGCGGAATTTTCAGCAGATTCATTTCTGAAACCTCCCCGTGCTCCTCCTGCTGCTCCAGTGGCCCAGGCTGGGTCTTATCTGCCCTCCTTTGGGGAGGAGGCCGCGAGCTCTGGCGCCAACAGGTCTTCTCTGGCCCATCCTAGCTGCATCAGGAGCCCCTCCTCTGTGTCCCCACAGACCCCTCAACCCCTCACCCCCCATCACCTCCTAACCCTGGTGCCCACTGCCTGGCTCCCTTGTTTTCTCACCTTGAGGAGGGGTCTCAGTTTTGCTCACCAGGGGTCCCCAGCACTGGCCCAGGCACCACCAGGAGTAGGAGGGAAGGGCACTCCTGCAGGCTCATGGCCTCTCGTGCACTGGGCAAACAGGGGGCAATAAGCTCCGCTTCTGAGCCCCTTCTCTGAGATCAAACATCCCATAGGAATGTGCCCTTGACTGCAAGGGTGAGAGTGAGTGGATGGTTTCATGCCCCCATCCTGGCGTCGGGCACCAAGACCCAGGCAGCACGCGCAACAGCCTCCTCTCCACTCACTCCCACAGGATGAAATGGAGATCGGCTACATCCAAGCCCCACACAAAACGCTGCCCGTGGTCTTCGACTCTCCAAGGAACAGAGGCCTGAAGGAGTTTCCCATCAAACGCGTGATGGTACCTGCATGGGGTGGGGAGGGGGCACAGCTGCCGAAACCCTCTTGTCTTGAGACTCCCTCCTTTTAGCCTGCCTTCCCCGCCCGCGCCTGTAGCTGAGTAGCCCAGTGCAAGGAGGTGGAATTCCTACCAAAGTGGGAGCATGTAGGTGGGGCTTGTTATTTTTTTATTACCAAGATAAGATCTGGCTCTTCATTTCCCAAAACCCTTGTCACCCGTGAGCTCAGCTTGATCTCCAGGTAACCCTGCCGAGGAGGTGGCTCAGGCTTGGACCTCCCTGTGCTCTTGAAGAAGCTCTTGCTGCAAGGTGGAGGTGGGGCCGGGGCTGGAATCTTTCCCAATGCCCAGCTGGAGGCTCTGTCTTATGGGTGGTGTTTGGTCTTCAGGGGCTCCATCTGGGATATGGGGGATTTTGGGATCAGTGGATCAGTGGTCATTTCCTGGGTGTGACTTTATCAGCCACAGGCTGTCCATGTGGAGGTGGGAAGTGACGTATTGCTGACTCATGCTTGACTAGCCTGGCAGGTTGATGCAAACTCAGCACAGAACAATAATAATAATAGTTGCATTTATTGAGAATGAGTTGTGTGTTAGCCAGTGCTGCATTCTTTACCTGCACTGACTCATTTAATTTGATAAACTGTTATGGAGATTCTATCAATAGGCCCATTTTATAGAAGAAGAAACTGAGGCTCAGAGTGGAGAAGTTGGAATTCAAACCCGGCCAGTCCGGCTTGGTGAGCATGCTTTTCCCCGCCCTGCCTCCCTCTCCCTGCTTTCCCAGGAAGACCCCAGGCCTGCGCTCTGAGTCCTGGCAGCCCCTTGGCTCAAGGTGCCCAGGGAAAACGACGGAAGGAGTGTGGGGTCCAAGGTTTGCTAGGACAAATGGCTTTCCGACAAGCATCTGTACTGTGCCCCAAGGGAGGGGAGAGTGGCCCTGCCCACACAGAAGGCTTCAGAATGAAACTTCAGTTAAACTCAACAACTTGTCCCGAGTCTCGCTTCCTCCTGGCCAAGCTGTGCGCTGAGCAGTGGAGATGCAGAGATGCTGTTGGATTCACAGTGTGTACTCAGCCATGGGGTCGAGTTCATCCTGTTTCAGCAGCGTTGGGGCGAACCAGCCAGCTGCTACCGTGACTTTGCCCTCTTTCTGCTGCTTTCAGTCCTGCCTGGTTCAGTGGCTGTGTCTACTTTGATGCTCCAAGTATAACAAAGGCCAGATTTTCTGATGCCACAAGTCCTGCTGGACAGACAGACGGACACCTCGGCACCATTGTTGTCCCCTTTCCCACAGACAACTTTGGATGAAGGCAGGCAGCACTGGTCCCTCAGCTAAGCACATCTGTGTATTCCAACTCAAATCACTCAGAATGAGGCCAGGTGTGGTGGCTGACACCTGTAATCCCAGCAGTTTGGGAGGCCAAGGAGGATGGATCACCTGAGGTCAGAAGTTCGAGACCAGCCTGGCCAGCATGGCGAAATCCCGTCTCTACTAAAAATACAAAAATTAGCTGGGCATGGTGGTGTGTGCCTGTAATCCTATCTTCTCAAGAGTTTGAGGCAGGAGAATCCCTTGAACCCAGGAGGCAGAGGTTGCAGTGAGCCGAGATTGCACCACTGCACTCCAGCCTGGGTGACAGAGCAAGACTGTATCAAAAAAAAAAAAAAAGAAAGAAAAAGAAAAAACAACAACAAAAAACACCCAAATCACTCAGAATGAAGAGAATTGGAGAAAAAGTCACACTCAGCACCAGGCTTTGGCCCCACCTGCCTCTCCAGCACCATTGTAGGCCACTCTCGCTGTCCCTTACCCAGCCCCACCTCCACTGGCCTCCTTCCTGTTCTTCAAACTTGCCTAACGTTTCCCCACCTCACGGTCTTTGCATATGCCGTTCCCTCTGCTTGCAGTGCTGTTCCCTGTTCACGGGGCTGGCTGCTTCTCAGCCTTCAGGTTTCAGCTTCTATTTCCTACTCAGTGAGGCCTTCCCTGATGCTAAAAGAGGGATCCCTACTCCCACCCCAACTCCTAGCCTTCTCCACTACAGCCCCCTGTTGACTTCTTCAGTGTATTTTGTTAAAATCATGGACTCGTTCATCTACTTTTCGTTGCCTGCGCTGCTGGGCCTGAGGCTGTTATGCCTTACGCTGTCCATCGGGCAGCTGGCACAAAGCTTCACACACAGTGGTTGTTCTTCCTGTAAGCATCGTCAGTAAATTTTCTATCACCACCATCAATGGGAAACCAGCAGCACTTCCTGCAGATAGAAGGCAACTGTGAAGTTAAACAGAATGAAACAAGATCCTGCTACCAAAGCCAGCTCGTTACAAGTGACTGCAGCATCTCTGAGCTCGAGGTCAGCTCTCTGCTGGTTAAAATGAGGGATTAGCAGGTGTCAAGGATGTGTTTGCATCACTGAAACTTGAATTTTTGAGGAACCAGAAAAGACTGGAGGAAAATGAGAAGGGCAACAGCTTTCCAACGTTGTGCCTCAGGCCGCATCACCTGGCATCCATGAGCGTCCCCCACACAGCCCACTCTTGGGGGGCCACTTCTGCAGACTATGGATATGCCTTCATTTGCCTGCAGAAATCCAAGGCTGAAGGCTGTATAACTGACCCCCTCTCACAACAACAGCCAGGGCAGTGATGTGGCTGAATTTACATTCATTCATCAAACACTGTTTGAACACATACTCAGCGGGGCCTTGTTCTAGGCACTTGAGATATGACAGGGAGCAACGCCAAGGTCCCTGACCTCACGGAGGGGACGTTCTGGCCCAGAGAGACAGACAGCAGACAATGAATAGAACAAAGCAGTTATATGGTTCCTTAGAAGGGGATGTCAAGAGCTACAGGTGCCAGGTGTGGTGGCTCATACCTGTAATCCTAGCACTTTGGAAGGCCAAGGTGGGAGAATTGTTTGAACCCAGGAGTTTGAGACCAGACTGGGCAACATAATGAGACCTTGTCCCTACAAAAAAAAAAAAAAAATTGTTTCAATTAACTAGGCATGGTAACACATGCCTGTAGTCCCAACTACTAGAGAGGCTGAGGTGGGAGGATCGCTTGAGCCCAGGAGGTCAAGGCTGCAGCGAGTCATGATTGCACTTCTGCACTCCAGTCTGGGTGACAGATGAGACCTTGTCCCAGAGGAAAAAAAAAAAAAAAAAAAGAGCTACAGGGAAAGACAGAGTAGAGCGGAATGGAGGGGCTCATAGGTGCCAGCGTGGTAGGGAAGGTGGATTAGGTTACATTCTTAAAGCCGAGTCTGGTGGCTCATTCCAGTAATCCCAGCACTTCGGGAGGCCAAGGCTGGTGGATTACTTGAGCCCAGGAGTTCGAGACCAGCCTAGGCACCATAGTCAAACCCTGTCTCTACAAAAAAAAAAAAAATTAAAAATAAAAATAAAAATAAGCCAGGCATGGTGGTGCATGCCTATAGTTCCAGCTACTTAGGAGGCTGAGGTGGCAGGACCCTTGAACCCTGAAGGGTGAGGCTGCAGTGAGCCATGATCACACCACTGCATTCTGGCATGGGCAATAGGAGTAAGACCTGGTCTCAAAAAAAAAAAAAAAAAAAAAAAGATTGCGTTCTTAAATAGGATGGTCAGGGTGGGCTTCACGGAGAAGCTGACCTTGCAGCAGATGCTTGAGGGAGGTGAGCGAGTTGGCCATGTGAGTGGGTGTCTGGGTGAAGAGTGTTGTAGGCAGTGAAACAGCCAGTGCAAAGGCCCTGGGGCAGGAGCATGCCTTGAGTGTTCCAGAACAGCAAGAGGGCCTGGAGGGGTAGAGCAGAGCAACCAGGAGGAGAGGCAGTCAGAGAGGAGATAGGAGGTGGTAGAAAAGGCAGTCAGGGAGCTGATGGGAGGCAGTAGGAGAGGCGGTCAGGGAGGTGATGGGAGGTGGGAGGAGAGGCGGCCAGGGAGGTGATGGGAGGAGAGGCAGTCAGGGAGGTGATGGGAGGAGAGGCGGCCAGGGAGGTGATGGGAGGAGAGGCAGTCAGGGAGGTGATGGGAGGTGGGAAGAGAGGCAGTCAGGGAGGTGATGGGAGGTGGTAGGAGAGACTGTGGTCAGAGAGGTGATGGGAGGCAGTAGGAGAGGCAATCAGGGAGGTGATGAGAGGTGGTAGGAGAGGCGGTCAGGGAGGAGATGGGAGGTGGTAAGAGGGGTGGTCAGGGAAGAGATGGGAGGTGGTAGCAGAGGTGGTCAAGGAGGTGATGGGAGGAGATGGGGGGCAGTAGAAGAGGCTGTGGTCAGAGGTGATGGGGAAGGGACGGGATGACCGGATGGGGTTGGGCTTGTTGGCTACTGTTAAGGCTGCTTGTTTAGAAACTGAGAATCATCACAGGGTCTTAAACAGAGGAGGATTATGATCTGGTTTGTTAGAAAAGGGAACAAGCCCTGCTATGTGTTGTTGAGTAAAGAGAACAGAGGCAAGGGGCAAGGGAGTGGGCAGGTGAGGGATGCTGGGAGTGCAGGCAGGGTGTGGCCAGAGGAGGTGAGAAGCCATGAGATTCCGGCTATGTCTGGAAGGCAGAGCCAGCAGGGCATTCTGACCCCCGCTATGAGAGAGGCAAGCCAAAGCTGACAGCAAGGCTGTGACCTCTGTGGGTGGCAGGCACCATCCCCTGGGAGGGGAGGACTGTGGGAGGAGGAACAGATTGATGGAGAATGAGGGGGTGGGAAGAGGGGACCCAAAGTTCTGTTTAGGGCAAGTGGGAGACAATTGGTCAACATCCAAATGGGAAGTCAAGTGAGCGTGGATACACATGTGATGTTTGGGAGGGAAGGGATGCCCAGAGATGCGAACATGAGGGTTGTCGGCTCGGGAACGGAATTCCATGAGACTTGGCAGGACGACTGAAGGGGCAAGTGAGGTTGGAGGTGAACCAGGATCCCCCGGTGTCCTGAAAGCCAAGTGCAGAAAGTGTGCGGAGAACACAGGTGTGACCGCCTGATTCAGGGGCTTCTGAGGGGAAGGCGAGGCCCGCGCATTGCACTTGGGATATGGCCATGTGTTCATGGAGACCTGGACAAGGAAAGCTTTGATGGGCGGGAGAAGCGGGTTGGTCTGGGTTTTAGAGAGAAGTGGAGAGAGGAACTGGAAGTGTGATTGTTAAATCTGTGGAATCAGGCCAGGCGCAGTAGCTCACACCTATAATCCCAACACTCTAGGAGCCGAGGCAGGAAGATTGAGCCCAGGAGTTTGAGACCAGCCTGGGCAACATAGTGAGACCCCATCTCTACAGGAAAGAACAACTTTAAAAATTAGCCAGGTTGTGATAGCATGCACCTGTGGTCCCAGCTACTCGGGCGGCTGAGACGGGACCGTGATCCTTTGAGCCCAGGAGGTCAAAACTGCAGTGAAGAAGTAAATTTGAAGATCACAGACCTCCTTAAGACCCACTCATCTTCCCAGAAACTCACACCTGGGCACATAATTTGGCGTCTACTCTCAGGGAGTTCATGGCCCCCATGAAGCCTCAGGGAATGGACCATCTATGTGTAGAAGGCTAGATGTACCCTCTCCTGGGAGGCAGGGGAGATGGGCGGTGGACTGAATAATGGCCCCTCTACATCCTAGTCCCCCCGAACCTGATGTTTCCTTATATGGTAAAAGGGACTTTGCTGAATGTAATTATATTAGGGATCTTGTGATGGGGTGATTATCCTGGTTTATCCTGGAATGCGGGAGGGCCTGTGATGATGGAAGCAGAGACTGGAGATCTTTGAAGGTGGAAGAAGGGGCTGCCAGCCAAGGCGGCTATTAGAAGCTGAAAAAGACACGGAAATATAATAGATTCTTTCCTCAGGGCCTCCAGGAGGAACCAGCTCTGCCATCCCTGGACTTAAGCCCAGTGGAACTGATTTCACACTTCTGGCCTCCAGAATTTTAAGAGAATAAATGTGGCTGGGCGTGGGGGCTCATGCCTGTAATCCCAGCACTTTGGGAGGTCGAGGCAGATGGATCACTTGAGGTCAGGAATCCGAGACTAGACTGGCCAACATGGTGAAACCCCATCTCTACTAAAAAAAAAAAAAAATACAAAAATTAGCTGGGCGTGGTGGGGCGTGCCTGTAGTCCCAGCTACTCAGGAGGCTGAGGAGTATTCCTTGAACCAGGGGCGGAGGTTGCAGTGGCTGAGATCATGCCACGGCCCTCCAACCTGGGCAACAGAGTGGGACTCTGTCTTAAGGGGAAAAAAAATGATGTTTTACAGATTTGTTTTATGCCCAAGTTAAGGTTTACCAAGCAGCTGGCACGCTTTAGGGACCCAACAAATGCTAGTCCCTTTTCTTGTCCATTGAATGAACTCAACATTCCTTTAACCTTCCACATGTGATAACAGCACCTGCTATGTGCCAGCTGTAGACGGTACTGAGTTACTTCCTGTGCCCAAGTTCATCTCTAAACTTGGACCCCCCGACCCTTCACCAGGGACCTCATTCCTCTAACTCTTGGCACTCCCTTCTCCTATCTCAGGGTCCAGATTTTGGCTATGTAACTCGAGGGCCCCAAACAGGGGGTATCAGTGGACTGGACTCCTTTGGGAACCTGGAAGTGAGCCCCCCAGTCACAGTCAGGGGCAAGGAATACCCGCTGGGCAGGATTCTCTTCGGGGACAGCTGTTATCCCAGGTAAGGAGGGGAGTAACAGGAAGGGGTGGCCAGGACCCAGGTATGCCGTAGAAAAGCAGAGGCCAGAGTGGAAGCCTTGCCTTCCTGCTTCCGATTCTAGACAGCCCAACAGACTTGAGGGAGTGTGAGAGGAATCCAAGCGCAGGGTGAGGAATGCGGGCTTTGGAGCCCATAGACCCAAGTTCAATTCCAGCCCTGCCACTTACCCTCTTTCAGTCAGTGAATATTTACTGAGCATCCAAAATGTTCTGGGAGCTGGGAATGCAGCCGTGGACAAGAAAGACAAGTCCTTACCACTACTCTAGTAGGGAAACAGATGATAGAAAAGTAGACAAGATAACTTCAAATGACAAAAACAAAAGAGAGGGGCACGGGAGGAATAGGAACTGTTAGGGTGACCAGGGAGGTCCTCTCTGGGGAAGGGGCTTTTGAACTGAGGCCTAATGACAGAAGGGACAGGGCCACCTGGAGATCTGGGACAGAGAGTTCCTGGCAAATGAAAGTGCATGTGCAAAGGCCCTGAGGCAGGAATGAGCTCCTGCGTGCAAGGCCAGGATGGCTAGAACCTATTGAACAAGAAGAGGCTGGGCACAGTGGCTCACACCTGTAATCCCAGCACTTTGGGAGGCCAAGGCAGGTGGATTACCTGAGGTCAGGAGTTCGAGACCAGCCTGACTAACATGGCGAAACCCCGTCTCTACTAATGCAAAAATTAGCTGGGCCTGGTGATGCATGCCTGTAATCCCAGCTACTCGGGAGGCCGAGGCAAGAGAATCGCTTGATCCCGGGAGGCGGAGGTTGTAGTGAGCCGAGATTGTGCCAGCCTGGGCAACAGAGCAAGACTCTGTCTCAAAAAAAAAAAAAAAAGTGAGGAAGAACAAGGCACTGCAACACTAATTTTTTTTTTTAGGAGAAAACTGAGGCTCAAACAGGTGAAGGAATGTCCCCAAGGCCACATGGCTAACAAGAGATCACCGACTTAGGTCAGACTGGCTCTAAGCCCCATGTGTACCCAGAATACCAGCATCTCATCTAACTCAAGAGGCAGTGCTTTCTGAGGCTAAGCTCTGTTCTACTTACCTTAGTGACTCTGTGCCTCAGTTTCCCCCAATAAAACTAGAATGACAATTCCTTGATTTCTCAAATGTTAGGGGATAAAATAAAGGCATTCTAGACTCCTGCATCCCTTTCTCAGCTGAAGGAGAACCCTGACCTTTTTGCCAAGCCCCTTGTCCTTCAGGGACTTCCCTGTAGCCCTTGCTGCCGATAACACCCCTTTAACCCTGCCATGACAGCAATGACAGCCGGCAGATGCACCAGGCCCTGCAGGACTTCCTCAGTGCCCAGCAGGTGCAGGCCCCTGTGAAGCTCTATTCTGACTGGCTGTCCGTGGGCCACGTGGACGAGTTCCTGAGCTTTGTGCCAGCACCCGACAGGAAGGTACAGTCTTGGGGGCTGCCTCAGGAAGCCATGCCTCCTTCCTGGGTAGACCCTCTGCCTGGGGTGGGAGCAACTTTACTTGTCTATTTCTCCTTCACCCTTAGGATGGCAGTAGAGGAGGTGGCCAGCTTGGGTCCAAGTCCACACTACTCCCACCCTCAGCAGATCCACCCTCGTTGGGAGCTCCAGGGGCAAAGCTGACTTCTAACCCCAGTGTTTCTGCCTCCAGGGCTTCCGGCTGCTCCTGGCCAGCCCCAGGTCCTGCTACAAACTGTTCCAGGAGCAGCAGAATGAGGGCCACGGGGAGGCCCTGCTGTTCGAAGGGATCAAGAGTAAGTCGGCCCTGCCTTGTTCTCCTGTCTGTGCACCTTCCTGCTTCCCATAGTCCGCTGTTGCCTGGAGGGAATCATCCAGGCAATAGGGTAGCATCTGAGCACCTACTGTGCGCCAGGCACTGTGCCAAGTGCTAGGGAGACTGCATGAACAGGGCAGAACAGCTTGCTGCCCTGTGGGCTCACAGGCCAGGGGGAAGTGAGTCAAAAGAACAGCTCCAACACAGGGGCTTTGAGGGGTGTCTGAGTGGATGGAGCTCAGGGAAGGCTTCTTGGAGGAGGCAGAGGCCAAGCAGTAGCATGCAAGTAGGGGTTGGCTGGGCAAACGGGGCAGGGAAATGAGAGGAAGAGAGATACCACAGGCAGAGGGACGGGGGTGGGGCGGCTCAGAGGCAGGAGAAAGCACGATGTGTGTGAGGACCTCGGGGAGGTTCGGTATAGCTGGAGCACAGATGAAATATTACTCTCTCAGCAGAGCTCACAGACATGGGCCAGGCCCCGGGCTGAGATGCCTCTGTGGCTGAGAGCTCCACCTCAGATCTGAGTATGTTGTGTGGCATCAGGAGAGGGCTGACCTGTTTCTTCCTCTCTCGATGGGATCTCTTTGGAGATAAGATAATTTAGCGTTAATGCAAGGCAAAATGTTCCAGTGAACAAGTTTCATGGTTCAACTTTATAATAATTATAAGTAAACCTGTTAAATTTTTCTGGACATTCTTTTCTTTTGAAACGAAGTTTTCCTCTATTGCCCAGGCTGGAGTGCAATGGCGCGATCTCGACTCTCTGCAGCCTCTGCATCCCGGGTTCAAGTGATTCTCCTGCCCCAGCCTTCCGAGTAGCTGGGATTACAGGTGTGCACCACCACACCTGGCTAATGTTTTGTATTTTTAGTAGAGATGGGGTTTTGCCATGCTGGCCAGGCTGGTCTCGAACTCCTGACCTGGTGATCCACCCACCTCGGCCTCCCAAAGTGCTGGGGTTACAGGCATGAGCCACCACGCCTGGCTTAAAACAAGGACATTTCTTATTGACAGCAACTAAATGGTACTTGTAGCATTTTTATCACACAGTAGATTCCATCCATTCACTATACTTTTCTGAGCTGTCTGTCCTGCATGCAAGTAGATATTTTTAATGTTGTCTGTTTTCTGTGCTGTTCCTGTAAGTGTGCTATTAAAATACACTAAACTAGGCTGGGCGCGATGGTTCATGCCTGTAATCCTAGCACTTTGGGAGGACGAGGCGGGTGGATCACGAGTTCAGGAGTTCAAGGCCAGCTAGGCCAAGATGGTGAAACCCCGTCTCTACTAAAAATACAAAAATTAGCCGGGCGTGGTGGCGGGTGCCTGTAATCCCAGCTACTTGGGAGGCTGAGGCAGGAGAATCACTCGAACCCGGGAGGTGGAGGTTGCAGTGAGCCAAGAATGTGCCACTGCACTCTAGCCTGGGTGACAGAGCAAGACTCAGTCTCAAAAAAAAAAAAAAAAACAAGAAAATATTAAACTAGGCCAAGTGTGGTGGCTCACACCTGTAATCCTAGCACTTTGGGAGGCTGAGGCGGGTGGATCACCTGAGGTCAAGAGTTTGAGACCAGCCTGGCCAACGTGATGAAACCCCGACTTTACTAAAAGTACAAAAATTAGCTGGGCGCAGTGGTGCGCACCTGTAATCCCAGCTACTGGGGAGGCTGAGGCAGGAGAATCGCTTGAACTCGGGAGGTGGAGGTTGCAGTGAGTCAAGATCGCACTACTGCACTCCAGCCTGGGCGACAGAGCAAGGCTCTGTCTCAAAACAAAAAAAAAATTACACTATAAAAATATATTTTAGGCCGGGCGCGGTGGCTCACGCCTGTAATCCCAGCACTTTGGGAGGCCGAGGCGGGCGGATCACGAGGTCAGGAGATCGAGACCATCCTGGGTAACACGGTGAAACCCCGTCTCTACTAAAAATACAAAAAATTAGCCGGGCGAGGTGGCGGGCGCCTGTAGTCCCAGCTACTCCGGAGGCTGAGGCAGGAGAATGGCGTGAACTCCAGGGGGCGGAGCCTGCAGTGAGCCGAGATTGCGCCACTGCACTCCAGCCTGGACGACAGCGAGACTCCGTCTCAAAAAAAAAAAAAAATAATAATAAAAATAAAAATATATTTTAAAAAGAATTTAAATGAGGTGAGAACAACATTTTTAATGAGAACTTATACTGCTAAAATATTGTATTAAAGATATTTGACTTGCAGATGCTCACAGCAAACCTGTATGGTAAGAATTATTACTGACTCCATTTTATAGATGGGAACACTGAGTCCCCCCCCGGCACTGGCTGGGAAGAGGGAAATCGACCTCTAAGTTCATTTGCCTTTTTTTTCTTTTTCTCCATGACAGAAAAAAAACAGCAGAAAATAAAGAACATTCTGTCAAACAAGACATTGAGAGAACATAATTCATTTGTGGAGGTAGGAGCCTGGGTGCCTACACCCCAGCAGACCTGACGCCCTGTCCCCGGCTCAGCCACTTTCCCAGTGATTAGAGGCACACAGAGGCTCAGGGTCTCAGGATGCGCTGGAAGACAGAGACACAGAAGCAAGGGCAGAAGCAAAGACTGGGAGAGGCTGAGGGAGCAGAGGGAATGGGAGGCCCCAGGGTCCCCCGAGAGCACTGGCCAGAGGCCCCTCTGTGCAGTGAGGCCTGGCAGCCACCTTCACTGCCTTCCTGACACTGTCCCAGGTCCTACCCTCCGGCAGGGGGCCTCAGCCCCACACTGTCCCCCACCCCCACCCCCGACTGCCATCAGTCCCCCACTCACTGCCCCTGCCCCTTCCCCAAGAGATGCATCGACTGGAACCGCGAGCTGCTGAAGCGGGAGCTGGGCCTGGCCGAGAGTGACATCATTGACATCCCGCAGCTCTTCAAGCTCAAAGAGTTCTCTAAGGCGGAAGCTTTTTTCCCCAACATGGTGAGGAGGTGGCGGCTTTAAAACCCCAGGGTGTGGCATGGAGGTAGCTCAGCCCGAGAGGCCAGTGGGGCACCCGGGCGGTCCCAGAGGGCTTGGCTCCTCTCTGTAACCGTTTGTAGCTTTGTCCTGAGTGGTACAAGGTCAGACGTGACCAGGTCCATGCACGTTGGTGTCTTTCCACAAGGTCAGGCTTCTACTGATGCTATTTCCATCATAAAATCCACAAGCCACACGGAGTTCCCCAGGGGCAGTCCTCAGGTGGGCAGAGCCCTGGGCACACAGGCTCAAGCCACTCCACAAGTCAGTCAGTCCTGCAAACCATACATAGTAGTGTACTTAATCAACACAGAAATGTTACAGATGAAACATTCTTACCAAACAAAGCAATATTTAACATCAAGAGAGAAGGGGATAGGAAAAGGGGTCAGTGAACCAGTCCAAGGAGAGTGATGTGGACAAGGAGAGGGTCCTGGGCTGATCTAAATGGACATCAACGTCTTGCAAGGAAGAGTGTAATTTTGGCAGAGCCTTCAACAGCGGGTGCCAGGTGCTAATCACTAGTGACAGCAAGACAGTGTCTGTTAAGACAGTCATCTTGAGGCCGGGTGCGGTGGCTCACGCCTGTAATCCTAGCACCTTAGTAGGCCAGAGCGGGTGGATCACTTGAGGTCAGGAGTTCGACACCAGCCTGGCTAACATGGTGACACCCCCATCTCTACTAAAAATACGAAAATTAGACAGGTGTCCTGGCAGGAGCCTGTAATCCCAACTACTTGAGAGGCGGAAGCAGGAGAATCACTTGAACCTGGGAGACGGAGGTTGCAGTGAGCCAAGATCATGCTATTGCACTCCAGCCTGGGTAACAGAGTGAGACTTTGTCTCGGGAAAAAAAAAAAAAAAGACAGTCATCTTGAGCTAGTGAAGACCTGCTCTTTTTATAGCCAGAGTCCTCTGGTGAGGACTGATAGTAATAGAGTATGCCTGCTTATGTCCCTATCTGGTTGGGTGCAGTCTCTGTTGATTAGGCAAACATCTGGTTCCTGTTAGCATGGTGCCTTTTGAAATGTAAGATGGAGTCTTTTTCTAAGATGGAGTCACTTATGCCAAGGGTGCTCTATACAGGCTTGCATGGCCCTGTACCACTTCCAGAGCACCTTCTGGTATCTCACAACAATTCCAGAAGTCAGAGTCTATCGTCGCTTCTGCCAGGGCTCTGGCTTCAAACCCCATGCCGTAACTACCATGCTGCCTTCCCACGTAGCACCTTCCCTGGGGCTCCGGGGTGATGCAGGGGATGGAGGGATGGATAGGGAATCAACCAACAAACACGACACCCTCAAGTCACCTTATGCACCATAACAGGGACACACGTGGGGGCACCACCTCAGACTGGAGGGTCCGGGAAGGCCTCTGTGAGGAGGTGGGGCTGGCACTGCCTAGGCTGAGTGGGATTCACCTTCTGGAGGCTGCACTTGTGGGTGGTCCCACCTTTGTCTTGAGCGTTCACCGTGGCCCCTAAGTGCTGTCTTGATATCATCCATTGTGTTTTTGCCATTCCTTGGCCCCATTCCTCCCTCTCTTCAGAGCATACCCGAGACCGAGGCAGAGACTTCACCCGGTCCTACTGGGGAACCCCAGCCACCCCCTTCTTCTGGAGCTGGGGGTTACAGTTCAGGGAGGAGCCAGCAGGCCCTACCACCGTGGTTTTCAAACTGGGTTCCCACTCAGCCTAGGCAGTGCCAGCCCCACCTGGGGCTCCGGGGTGGTGCCTCAAATCCAGTGGTTCAGATTTTCTGTTTCTGCATTGACATTCTGCAAAAGATTGTGTGTAGAATAAAGGGTTCCTTGGCCAAAAGGAATTAAAGTATTGACCCCAAGCGTTTTGTTTCCCTCCAGTTTGGCCAAGCCAGGCTTCCCAGTGCGGGAATGAAAGTGGACGCCCGCGGCTATGGTAGTCAGCAACGCTGAGGGCTGACTGTGTGCCTTCACTGTTCAAGGTCCCCAGAGGGAGTCTGAGCATGAGACCAGACTCTCTCCCAGGAGCTGGCTGTGGGAGGCGGGGAAGAGGGAGTGATGAACAGTACGAGGCACTTAGCACGCATGGGCTGTGTCTAGGCGGTGGCCCCCTTGAGGACTCATGACCCATGGAAAATGGCTGTGCATCTACTGTGTGCCAGCACAGTGCTGTGCCTACATGTTCTTACCTAATTGTCATTGCAACGGAGATATGTGTTGGGCTCATTTTGCTGATGAGGCTCAGAGGGGTGATATGACTTGCCTAAGGCCACACAGCTATTGAATAGCAGAGTTAGGATTCAAACCCACATAGGCCTACAGCCAAAATCCCACCTTCCCACCTCACCAGGCCACCTGCCAATCTAATGGAGGAAGCAGAGTCATTTACATACATTATTTACATATGGAAAGTGCCATAACAGAGGCAGTCATTTATCTGTCTAGTCAACAGATGTTTATTGAGTGCCTACGACGTGCAAGGCGCAGTGCTGGGAGTTATGGGAACACAGAGCAGGAGTGACTGCCAGAGCTCAGGGATTCATGGGCAGTTTCACAGAGGGGCTGCCATCTGAGCTGGGCCCTGAGTAATAGAAAGAGTTTACCAGAAGGTGACAGGTAGGGGAGGAGAACGTAGTGTTAAGAGCATGGGCAGCATCAGAAAGAACGAAATCAGCCAGGAGGGGTGGCTCATACCTGTAATCCCAGCACTTTGGGAGGCTTAGGTGGGAGGATTGCTTGAGTCCAGGAGTTCAAGACCAGCCTGAGCAACATGGAGAAACTCTGTCTCTACAAAAAACACAAAAATTAGCCAGGCGTGGTGGCATCTGCTGAGGCAGGATGATTGCTTGAGCCCAGGAGGTGGACACTGCAGTGAGCTGAGATGGCACCACTGAACTCTAGCCTGGGTGAAGAGTAAGACCCTGTCTCAAAAAAAAAAAAAAAAAAAAAAATTAAATAATGTCCTTTGCAGCAACCTGATGGAGCTGGAGGCATTATCCTAAGTGAACTAAAACAGAAAATCAAATACTGCATGTTCTCACGTATAGGTAGAAGCTAAACAGTGGATACACATAGACACAGAGATGGAAATAATAGGCACTGAGGACCCCCAAAATGGAGAGAATGAGAGCGAGGTGAGGGCTGGAAAATTACCTATCGGGTACGATGTTCATTGTTTGGGTAATGGATACACTAGAAGCCCAGTGCCCACCAGTAATCAATATACCCATGTAATAAATATGCATATGTACCCCCAAATCTAAATTTTTAAATTTAAAATAAATAAGAGTATGGAACTTGGAGTCTAATAGCTGTAGTCCAAGTATAGCTGGGTGGCCTTAGGCAAACAATTTTCCACGTCTGGGTCTCAGTTTTCTCATTTGTAAAGTGGGGCTATTATTTTTATTTTGTTTTAATTTTTGAGACAGAGTCTCGCTCTGTCACCCAGGCTGGAGTGTATTGGAATGATCTCGGCTCACTGAAACCTCCACTTCCTGGGTTCAAGCAATTCTCCTGCCTCAGCCTCCCAAGTAGCTGGGATTACAGGCACACCTGGCTCATTCTTGTATTTTTAGTAGAGACGGGGTTTCCCCATGTTGGCCAAGCTGGTCTCGAGCTCCTGACCTCAGGTGATCCACTCGCCTAGGCCTCCCAAAGTGCTGGGATTACAGGCATGAGCCACCACACCCAGCAATTTTTATTTTTGAGGTAGAGTCTCGCTCTGTCGCCCAAGCTGCCAGGCTGGAGTGCAGTGGCACAATCACAGCTCACTGCAGCCTTGACCTCCTGGGCTCAAGTGATCCTCCTCCCTCAGCCTCCAAAGTAGCTGGGACCACAGGCACGCACCACCATGCCAAGCTAATTTTTAAAAATACTTTTTTTAGAGATGGGGTCTCACCATGTTGCCCAGGCTGGTCTCAAACTCTTGGGCTCAAGCGATCCTCCTGCCTCAGCCTCCCAAAGTGCTGGGACTACAGGTCTGAGCCACCACCCCTGGAGGGGCTATTATTTCCAAAGGTCAGAGAAGGGTGGGGCCGCTCAGATTGCGCTGCAGGCTGCCCGCTGCTGCCTGTGACCTGAACCCTCACTTCCCTGCAGGTGAACATGCTGGTGCTAGGGAAGCACCTGGGCATCCCCAAGCCCTTCGGGCCCGTCATCAACGGCCGCTGCTGCCTGGAGGAGAAGGTGTGTTCCCTGCTGGAGCCACTGGGCCTCCAGTGCACCTTCATCAACGACTTCTTCACCTACCACATCAGGCATGGGGAGGTGCACTGCGGCACCAACGTGCGCAGAAAGCCCTTCTCCTTCAAGTGGTGGAACATGGTGCCCTGAGCCCATCTTCCCTGGCGTCCTCTCCCTCCTGGCCAGATGTCGCTGGGTCCTCTGCAGTGTGGCAAGCAAGAGCTCTTGTGAATATTGTGGCTCCCTGGGGGCGGCCAGCCCTCCCAGCAGTGGCTTGCTTTCTTCTCCTGTGATGTCCCAGTTTCCCACTCTGAAGATCCCAACATGGTCCTAGCACTGCACACTCAGTTCTGCTCTAAGAAGCTGCAATAAAGTTTTTTTAAGTCACTTTGTACATGAGGTCAAGATGTTGTTGGTATCATTCATTCATTCACTCATTTGTCATGGTTGAATTGACTATCACAAAACAAACTGAAAAGTGTTAACAGGCTGCACTGAAGGCCACGTTATTGTGTGTGTCTTTTGCTCCCAGACATGTATTTGGGCTATAAAATTTTGCATGATCCTAGTTCGTTCTGAGTTTCCCACGGGACCTTTCCAAGAAGAGGAGGAGGAGGGAGCAGGGGAGGGGTAAGCCCCGCTGAGAATCTGGGCATATCCCTCTTTAAACTCACCTACAACTGGGCATTCACCTACGTACTGATAGCGATGGATTTTTGTGGAATGAAGTAATTCATCTCCTCGGTGTTCTTTTTTATATTGCCTTTTATGGCTTCGACATAAAGACTCAGATTCCTCTGTAGAAAATAAAACTTGATGGCTTGAGATCATTAAAATTGAGACCAGATATTGGCTCAAAAGGGTCCAAGATATTCAGAGAACACCCAGGGATCCTGTTATTTTCATGTAGGTCATGGAGAATATATGATGGCGGAAAAGATGAATATCAAAAGCCTCTGCCTTCACACTTCCTGATTTCAAAACATACTACAAGCTACAGTCATCAAAACAGTGTGGCATGCTCATAAAGACAAATAGACCTATGGAATAGAATAGAAAGCCTGGAAGTAAACCCTCGAGTATAACATTTCTCCAAAGATGATATACAAATGGCCAACAAGCACATGAAGAGATGCTTACCATCACTAACCATCAGAGAAATGCAAATCAAAGCCACAGTGACCTCACACCCATTAGAATGGTTACTATAAAAAAAAAGTGTTGGTGAGGATGTTGAGAAATTGGAACCCTTGTGCACTATTGGTGGGATTGTAAAATGAAATGATACAACTGCTATGGAAAAAAGTATAGAGGTTCCTAAAAATAATTAGAAATACAACTGATATATGATCCTGCAATCCCACTTCTGGGTAAATATCTGAAAGCAAGATCTCCTTTTTTTTTTTTTAAGAGGGGGTGTTTTACCATGTTGCCCAGGCTGATCTCAAACTCTTAGGCTCAAGCAATCTGTCCACCCTGGCTATGGAATATTATTCAGCCTTAAAAAGGAAGGAAGGAAGGCCAGGCACGGTGGCTCACACCTGTAACCCCAGCATTTGGGGAGGCCAAAGTGGGCAAATCGCTTGAGCCCACCAATTTGAGACCAGCCTGGACAACACAGCAAAGCCTTATCTCTACAAAAATAAATAAATAAATAAATAAAATAAAAAAAAAAAGAGTTGGGCATGGTGGTGCACACCTATAGTCCTACCTACTTGGGAGACAGACGTGGGAGGATCACCTGAGCCTAGGGAGGTCAAAGCTGCAGTGAGCCATGATTGTGCCACTGCACTCCAGCCTGGGTGACAGAGTGAGTGACCCAGTCTCAAAAATAAGGAAGGAAATCTTGTCACATGTTACAACATGAATATGCTTTGAGCACGTTACGCTATGGGAAATAAGCCAGTTACAAAAAGAGAAATCCTGTATGATTCCACTTACATGAGTTACCTAGAAAAATTCACAGGAACAGAAAGTAGAGGCTGGGCCAGGTGACTCACACCTGTAATCCCAGCACTTTGGGAATCTGAGGCAAGTGGATCACTTGAGGTCAGGAGTTTGAGACCAGCTTTGTCAAGATAGTGAAACCCCATCTCTACTAAAAATATGAAAAATTAGCCAGGTGTGGGGTGCACATGCCTGTAATCTCAGCTACTCAGGAGGCTGAGGCACATGAATCACTTGAGCCTGGGAGGTGGAGGTTGCAGTGAGCCAAGATCGCCCCACTACACTCCAGCCTGGGCAACAGAGCAAGACTCTGTCTCAAAAAAAAAAAAAAAGTAGAATGGTGGTTGCCAGGTACTGGAGGAGCAAGAAGAAGGGAGTTGTTGAATGGGTGTAGAGTTTCAGATTTGCAAGATGTAAAAGCTGGAGATCTGTTTCACAACAATGTAAATATACTTAACACTGTTGAACTGTACACTTAAAAATGGTTAAGATGGGCCAGGTACAGTGGCTCACGCCTGTAATCCCAGCACTTTGGGAGGCCAAGGCAGGCAGATCACCAGAGGTTAGGAGTTTGAGACCAGCCTGGCCAACATGGTGAAACCCCGTCTCTACTAAAAGTACAAAAATTAGCTGGGCGTGGTGGCGTTTGCCTGTAGTCCCAGCTACTCGGGAGGCTGAGGCACGAGAATCGCTTGAACCCAGGAGGCGGAGGTTGCAGTGAGCCAATATTGTACCACTGCACTCCAGCCTGGGCATAGAGTGAGACTCTGTCTCTAAATAAATAAATAAAAACTGTATTTTTTTTTGAAAAGCCTCTGCCCTGCCCCACTAAGGAGAAGTGGATCCATAAAACCTGGGTCAAAATACACTGCTCTGAAGACAATCGGCTGCTCCCCCAGCCCCAAATGTACTGAAGCAAAGGATGTGAGTGTTTCTGTGGACCAGAAGGGGACCAGGGACAGAGGAAGCTGGTATGAGTTGAGCCCCAAACCTGGCAGATAGGGCTGCCTCGAGCAGCGAACAGGACTTAGCAGATAAAACTGAAGATTTTGCTGGATTCCTAGGGCTGGGGAAGGACTCAGAGACAAGCTGGTGGATAAGGCACCCCTGGCATCAGGGGACATGCAGATGCGCAGATGTTACCCCAGCCACGTATGGGTTGCAGGTGGGAGGTGTCTCTGGAGAAGTCAGGGAAGCCCACGGGAGAGAAAGTGCTACCATCCCTCTAGAGCACAGAGCCATCCCCTGATCATGCCCATCAAACAAAAACTTCCCTGTTCCTTTCGCCTTGCTCCCACCTCTCCCTTCCCCAGAGACCACATAGGAGTTTCCTGAAGCTGCTGTTACAAATCATCACGAACTAAAAGGCTTAAAACAATAGAGATGGACCCTCTCTCAGTTCCAGAGACCAGGAGATCAAAATCAGTCTCACTGGGCTGAAATTCAGGTATCAGCAGGGCCATCCCAGCTCCAAAGGCTTTAGGAGGGGAGTTTCTCTTCTAGCTTCTGCCAGCTTTCCTCAGCTAGTGGCTGCCTCATGCCAATCTCTGCCTCCCTGGTCACATGGCTTTCTCTTCTGTGTGTGTCAAATCTCCCTCTGCCTCCCCCTTATAAGGACACTTGTGATGATATTTGGAGCCCATCGGATAGTCCAGGACAATCTCCCCATCCCAAGATCTTCATTCACCTCTGCAAACAGACTCTTTCTTTGTTTCTATATGAGACAACCTACAGGTTCCGAAGATTAGGACCTGATCTCTCTTGGGTGCCATTATTCCACCTACTGTAGGTTGGAAATCACCACGTGCCAGCTGCAGCCAGCAGAATAGGAAAGAAATAAGCCAGGCACCTCCTTTCCTTTCCGCAGCTCTAAGCCTTGCACCTGCATCAAGCCCTCATAGGAAAGGGTGAACATTCCCCTTTACAAATCTGAGTCCTGAATTGAGAGTGTTTTATGTCTGGTTCCTGGAAACAGATTCTTAGATGGAGATTTGCCTGCAGGAGGTTTATGGGGGGTGCCGGGGGAGGGTGTTTCCGGAAGCGCACCTGGGAGGGAGTGTGGGGCTCAGAGGGGGACACTGAACTGGGATGCAGTTGCCTCAAGGCTTCAGGCAATGCACGGGGTATCTTGGGGGCTGGGGAAGGGCCTCAGAGTTGTCCTGCATTCAGACAAGGCAACCTGGCCTTTGTCCCCCCACATTGGATGTGGCTGTCCCCAGATGGGGACACAACCAGGTACTAGGCCGCTCCTAGGCACAGAAGGCAATTCCAGAAGAGAGACTTGCGGCACTCGCAGCAGCTGGGGGCGTGAGTGCCTCCCCCTAAAGGGGGGCGCGGTGGCACACCACAGCGCCCACCACAGTGACCTCAAGTGACCATGGGACTTCTGATGAGCAAACCTGAGTTGAGCATGATGAGCAAACCTGAGTTGCCGAGAGAGAACTTCTGCATGGAATAAGCATGTGAGGAGTGCGGGAGTCAATACAAAGTTACTTTATGATCATGTAACCCAAGCAGGTCCAGCCAATGCCAGTTGGAGAGCTCGAGCCCAAAAACAAGAGCAAAATGTGGTAGAAGGTGACTTTATTTACCAAAACTAGCAATGGGGGAGTGGTTGGATTCACATCAAAAGCAACCGCTTCGCCTTTCTGGGTTGAAGGCAAGAGTTTTAAAAGGGAAACTCTGGCTGGGCGCGGTGGCTCACACCTGTAATCCCAGCACTTTGAGAGGCCGAGGTGGGCGGATCACCTGAGGTCAGGAGTTTGAGACCAGCCTGACCAACATGGTGAAACCCCATCTCTACTAAAAATACAAAAATTAGCTGGGCGTGGTGGTGGACGCCTGTAATCCCAGCTACTTGGGAGGTTGAGGCAGGAGAATCGCTTGAACCTGGAAGACAGAGGTTGCGGTGAGCCGAGATGGTGCCATTGCACTCCATCCTAGGCAACAGAGCGAGACTCTGTCTCAAAAAAAAAAAAAAAAAAAAAAAAAGGAAATTTGGTACAGGAGGTGTGCAGGAGTTGTGAGGAGTACAAGGTCTGTGTCTTGTTTCCATGGCTAACTCGGGTCTCAGTCCCCCTAAAGCACGGGCTGACGTCATTTCAGCAATGTGCTGAGTTGTTGGCTAGCTGCCTGGAGGTAATCTCTTGAATTCTGCAGCTGGGTCTCCAGGCTCGGTCTGTCTCAAGATTAGCCCCTGGAACTTCTTTTATCATCATCATCATCATCATTTAGAGACAGGGTTTCGTTATGTTGCCCAGGCTGGTCTCAAACTCCTGGGCTCAAGGAATCCTTCCGTCTCAGCCTCCCAAAGCTCTGGGATTACAGGCGTGAGCCATCACACCTGGCCTGGAACTTGTAAGCAAGCATATAATTAGATACTAGCATACAGTTAGATAAATGTGAAGGGGCTTTATGGTGGGAAAGGGAGGGACATGGAGTCTATTTTAGGGTTAAGGGAAAAGGCTTCTGCAGTTTGCTTTAAGGTTACTTCTTGAGACTGAAGAGAAAGGGAAAAAAAGTTGTAAAATGCATTTGAAGTTAAGCTGCTCAGTTACAATCACTAACCCCTCGGTTCAGTGGAGACACCCCTGGAAGCCCATTGGGTTATTATCTTTATTTTATTCATTTATTTTTTTTTGAGATAGAATCTTGCTCTGTCGGCCAGGCTGGAGTACAGTGGCATTATCTCGGCTCGCTGCAAACTCCATCTCCCCAGCTCAAGCGATTCTCCTGCCTCAGCCTCCTGAGTAGCTGGGATTACAGGCGTGAGCCACCACACCTGGCTAATTTTTGTATTTTTAGTAGACGGGTTTCACCATGTTGACCAGGCTGATCTCAAACTCCGGACCTCAGGTGATCCACCTGCCTTGGCCTCCCAAAGTGCTGGGATTACAGGCCTGAGCCACCGTGCCCGGCTGGGTTATTATCTTCTTAGGGGGAGGACAAGGAGGTGATTTAGTCATTTGCTCCACAATAACTTGTTGAGTACCTACTATGTCTGGAGCTGTTTTGCAGGTGCTGGGGATTCAGTGGTGAATAAGAAGCCCCTGGAGGCGAGCAGGACGTGCTCTGGGTCTGAGTCACTTTCATCTCTGTCCACGAGGCTGGGTGAGGAGCCTTCCTCACTGTGCTCTGTAGAGCCCTGGCACAAGGCAGGGCTGCCCCAGGGTGGGGAACGTCAGAGCTTCCAGGCTGCCTTCCTCCAGACCCCAGAGCCTGGACTGGGCCTCAGCGACCCCTCCCCAGTCAACCCGTCTTCTCCCTCCAGCTGCCTCTGGCCGCTTGTGCGTGAGGGTGGGTGAGCCCTTTGGGATGAGTCTCATCAGAGCCTCTGCACGCTGAGTGCTTCCTGCCTGCTTAATTTTGCCACTTTCAATCCAACCAGAGGGGCATTTTGGGTCTTGCTGACCAACCCCCTGCCTCCAAGAGCAACTAAAACAGAGACATCCTTGAGAGTTGTGTTGAGTGCTTAAAACCTCCAGGGAGGGAATTTTTTACTGCAACTTGCAAATTTAGCCAGCCTGGCTGACCGAACAGGCTTCACTCAGTACCTCATCTCCACCTCCTATGCTGGGTACACCTGGGTGCATATTAGAGCAAAGGCTGAAAACAAATGTTTATATTACAGTACAACCCTATGTAAAATACACAGCTGTACAAAGGGGTAAGGCTGCTTTTTACGTACTGATACAAAGAACTTCTCTCCAGTATAACTATGAAGTGAAAGAGGCAAGGTATGGAATACTGGGTGGCACATACTACCGTTTATATAAGAAGACAGTAGTAGGAGGAGAGAAGAAAAGAGCAAAAGCGCCCCGGACATAGTAGGTGTTCAGCAATTCTAGTGGAGCAAATGACTAAATGACCTCCTTGTCCTTCCTCAAAAAAGATAACCCAATGGGCTTCCAGGGGCATCTCCACTGAACTGAAAAGTTTGTAATTGTAACCAAGCAGCTTAACTTTGAGCACATTTTACAACTTTTCTCTTTAGTCTCGAGATGTAACCTCGAAGGAACCTGCAGAAGCCTTTTTCCCTTAACCTTAAAATAGACTCCACGTCCTTCCCTTTCTCACCATAAAGCCCCTTCAAATTTATCTAACTGTATGCTAGTATTGGAGGAGGAAGAGAAGAAGAAAAGGATACACACACATATTTACTTGGTCATGCATAACATTTATTTGGAAAGACATATAAGAAACGGGTAACACTGTCACTACCTCCACCTGCAGGTGGGTAAGGCACAGGGCAGGAGGGAGACTCTGAACTTGGAATCATGTGACTGTGGTACCTATTCAGGAGTAAGCATGACCCAGCCTGGGCAACATAACAAGACCCCATCTCTGCGGAAAAATGTAAAACCATTAGCTGGGCATGGTGGTGCACATCTGTAGTCCCAGCTGCTCAGGAGGCTGAGGTGGGAAGACCACTTGAGCCTGGGAGGTCAAGGCTGTGAACCATGATCACGCCACTTCACTCCAGCCTGGGTAACGGAGTGAGACCCTGTCTCAAAAACAACAACAAAAAAAAACTCAACCCAAGCTTAAGACATGAAATGAACACAATTTTAAAGTCAGTTATGTAAGTTCCTTGTGCCAGAGAAGGGTTCCTATTTCTTTGCTCTGTGGGCTCCGCTGAGATGAGTAGCAGCTGATGACCCTGGCTTGATGTATTCATTCCACTAACACTTGCTGTGCCCCCACCCCCACCGACACAGCTGTAAGCAAAGAGCTCACCTTAATCACTGGGGGTTGGGATGCAGGTTCCTGGACCACACCCTAGACCTTCTGGGCCCAGGAATTTGCAATGTTAACAAGCACCCTTGATAATTTTTGAAACCACCAGAGGGTTAATAACCACCTAGTCTAGGCAGGCGCTGTGGCTCACGCCTGTAATCCCAGCACTTTGGCAGGTCGAGATAGGAGGATTTCTGGGATCAAGAAGTTCGAGACTAGCCTGGGCAACATGGCAAAACCCGGTCTCTACAAAAAATACAAAAATCAGCTGGACATGGTGGTGCACACCTGTAGTCCCAGCTACTTGGGAGGCTGAGATGGATCACTGGAGCCAGGTAGGTTGAGGCTGCAGTGAGCTATGATTGCGCCACTGCACTCTAGCATGGGTAGAGACCCTGTCTCAAAAACAAAACCAAACCACCAGTCCAGCACTTTGCCGAGCTCCTTCGTCAATTTCCAGGAGACACACACCCTAGAACTGAGACCCCAGAGCCTGGGCATGCTGCCACACATTGCCATCCTGACTGCTACCATCAACTCCTCCCAACTGCCCTCTGCAGGTATTTGCCCCGACAGCTTCCAGCTGAGTCCTCCAGCAACATGGCCAAGTTGATCACTCCAAGGCACCGACTTCCCAGAGCCCCTCCTCTTCCCAGCTGAAGGCCACAGATGCCTAAGCAACCGGCCTCAGACTCCCCTGGCCTGCAGCTCTGCAGGCACGAGGTGCCTGATAAATTGGTGATGAAGGGGTTCTGATGCCACCTGCTCCCCAGACTATCAGCCACCAGGAAGCTCTTAGAGGGAAAATCAGTGACACCTGGGCAGCTGCTGACCCCTCCCCTTCTTAACAAGGGGGTGGCCTGCACAGGCCTGGACTGTATAACAGGGAAGGGCAGGGTGAGCCCTGGGGCGTCTGAGGCTGCTGTGCTGAGTGAGGGCTGCGGTGCAGGCCTGAGGATGGTCAGCGTGGAGGGCCGAGCCATGTCCTTCCAGAGTATCATCCACCTGTCCCTGGACAGCCCTGTCCATGCCGTTTGTGTGTTGGGCACAGAAATCTGCTTGGATCTCAGCGGGTGAGATGCTGGGAGCTCTGCCAGAGGTGGCAGGCAGACAGGCAGGCAGGCCTGGGACCCAGTCCCCTTGATCTGGGAGTTGGGGGTTACTTCTCTAGCCTCACTATCCTGCCCCATCTTGGGAAGCCTTGGGTCTCTAGTGGGGGGCCTCCCAGTTCCAACCACGCAGAATTCTGACTTAAATCCTGCCTCTGCCCTGTAGCAGCTGCCATGGACTCTTAGTGAGGCAAGGGCCTTGGCCTCTCTGTTCCCCTATCTGTGAAACCATGGGGACGCTGGCCTCGGGGGGCTGTGAGGAGCAGGCCAGGGAGACTGCTAGATGCTGGAGCCTGCAGGTGGAGGTGACTCAGCAGGGTCACAGTACAACTTCCTGAGTCGCTTGCCCTGATCTTTTTCTTTATGGGGATCCTTTGTGGCTCCCCCCTTCTTGGGAATTGGGTGCTTATTACTAAGATGTAGCTGTGGTAACTTCTGCAGTGTCGGTAGCGGGATGGGGTTTGGGCTGGAGCCCGTCGGAGAGCAAACACAGGGGTCCTTTGGGAGGGGGTGGGTAGGAATAAGGACCCCAGACCACTCTGCCTCAACACCCTAAGGAGAATGAGGATTCGGGAGCCGTCCCCTCCCCCATGCCAGTCATCTCCTAGGCTGAGAAGGTGTTTGTGCCCTGACGCGTGTCTCTTACCGGGCAAACCAGGTGTGCCCCCCAGAAGTGCCAGTGCTTCACCATCCATGGCTCTGGGAGGGTCTTGATCGATGTGGCCAACACGGTGATTTCTGAGAAGGAGGACGCCACCATCTGGTGGCCCCTGTCTGATCCCACGTACGCCACAGTGAAGATGACATCGCCCAGCCCTTCCGTGGATGCGGATAAGGTAAGCCTCAGGGGAAGAGGTGAGGGGCATCTCCCGGGGTGGGACCTAGCACAGCCACTGGGGCTTCCTCCTGGCTGCAGACGTGACTCGAGCCTGGGAAACACGTTGTTTTGCACGTCTGATCTCATCCAGTGTCTGCAACAGACCAGTGGTGTGGGCACTCCATGACCCCATTTTACAAAGAAACAGAGGCACCTAGCGAAGGTGCCCTGCCAAGTCAGCAACCAGCAGGACTGGGATTTATTTTTTATTTTCATTTATTTATTATTATTTTTTTTTTTGAGTCTCACGCTCATTGCCCAGACTGGGGTGCAATGGCACAATCTCAGCTCACTGCAACCTCCACTTCCCGGGTTCAAGCAATTCTCCTGCCTCAGCTTCCCGAGTAGCTGGGACTACAGGCACCCACCACCATGCCCGGCTAATTTTGTATTTTTAGTATGAGACAGGGTTTCACTATGTTGGCCAGGCTGGTCTCAAACTCCTGACTTCAAGTGATCTACCTGCCTCCACCTCCCAAAGTGCTGGGATTACAGGCATGAGCCACCACACCTGGCCTACCATCACTTTACATATGAGGAAACTAAGGCACAGAGTGCTGTGTCTAAACCTAAGTAGCCTACCTAGAGTGGGATAGACCCAGGATTTGAGCTTGAGCCCAAGGGTGTATTCTCCCCTGGGTAAGCTGTCTCCCTAATGGGGTGCCTATGTTGGGGAGGTTCTCCTGTGGTAGAAGCAGGTGGCTCATTCAGGGCAGGAGTGTTCAACCTTGGTTGCAGGTGAGAACCACTGGGGAGCTAATAACATCAATACCCAGGCCACACCCCCTCTACCAATTAAACCTGAGGTACCAATGGAACCTCAGGGCTAGGATCCTGGCCGCTGGTTTAAAGCTCTCCAGGTGCACCCAGTGCGGGGCTGGGGGTGAGAACCATGATGGAGCAGTTCAGGACTGGGAGAGCTCTCCCTCCCTCCCCCCACACCCTACAGGACCTACTGGAGATGTCTGCTGCAGAGGGGTAGGTACACACACCCACCTGCGCTGTGTGCCCAGGGCAGGCAACTCCCTGAGAGGCAAGTAGTGGACTTAGGTAGGAACTGAGTGTCTCTGGCCAGGTGTGGTGGCTCATGCCTGTAATCCCAGCACTTTGGAAGGCTGAGATGGGCAGATCACCTGAGGTCGGGAGTTTGAGACCAGCCTGGCCAACATGGTGAAACGCTGTCTCTACTAAAAATACAAAAATTAGCCAGGTGTGGTGGCAGGTGCCTGTAATCTCAGGTTCTCAGGAGGCTGAGGCTGGAGAATCGCTTGAACCCAGGAGGTGGAGGTTGTAGTAAGCTGAGATTGTCCCACTGCATTACAGCCTGGGCAACAAGAACAAAACTCCATCGCAAAAAAAGGTATCTCAGATAAGAATGGAGGCCACGGTGGGTGCCAGTGGAACTCCAGACTACCTGAGAACCATTCTCTGCCCAGGGCTCGGCCTCCAGGACCCTCAGGAGTGGCCAACAAAGAACCTTGAACTTAGAGGACTAAAGCTTCTATTTAAGGATGGGGTGGATCTGTCACATGCTCTGGCCAATGGTTGGGTCTCTGGTTCATGACCAAGACCTTGTGGTCAGGGTCAGTGGCTGGAGGGCAGGTCTCTTTCTAAAAGCATAAAGTAGAGGCTGGTGTGGGACACAGTCCCACAGTTGGGACTGAGTCCCAACGCTGCTTCTTCACCTGGGTGTCCTTCTTAGTGAGCAGCTTAAGCCACCAGAGGCCTGTTTCCCCACCGTGCACCTTATGGAGTAGGACATGGGACCCCAGGAGAGTGGGTTTAGCAGGGAGGATGTATAGTGTGGTTTCAAGCTTGGGCTCTAGAGCCAGGCAGCCTGTTTCTTAAATCCCTTTGGGATAAGTCCCTTGATCACCCCGCCATCAGGGATACAGCTCTCACGTGGACAGGTGGTTTCAAGCCTGGCTCTCGACAAGGTTAGGGTTGGGGGTCATGGCAGGTTCTAAGTCCTTAGGGGACTGACTCAGCCCTAAGCGCAGGGCTGTGGCCCCATACCAGCTCATAGGTGAGACTTCAGAAGCCATAACACAAGACCAAGATCCCACGCCTAGACTCGGCACATGGCCTGGGGCTCTGTTCCTGGCACCTCCCGTCCAACACTGCCTATGGTTTCGGGATGCTGTCTCCACAGGTCTCGGTCACATACTATGGGCCCAACGAGGATGCCCCCGTGGGCACAGCTGTGCTGTACCTCACTGGCATTGGTGAGTGTTGCTCCAACTGGGAGCCTGGGGCCCAACTCACCGCTGGGGTTGGGGAAGGGGTGGGATTGTAGGAGGAGCCAAAAAAGATTCTCCAGGTAACAAGATGCCTCCTGTGGGCCCCAGGAACTCCTGAACAAACTCCTAAATGGATTCATTTGAGATACCCACTCACACACTCCCTCCTCGACGCTCAGTCACTTCTCCATCTTCGTGCACTGCCAACCTAATTCTGAGAATAGAAACAGCCAGAACTTCCGTGTCGCTGCCATCTACCCACCTACGCCTGTCTAGTGCCTACCTTCTTCCTTTGTTACTAATTGACGCATCTGGTCCAAAGTTAGTCTTTCTTGTCTCACTAGATCCTTTCTTATTCAAGAACATTCCTTTGTCAATTCTTACCAATGTAAGAAGCCGCCACCCTTCCCCGCCCTCTAGATCACCCCCATCAGCTCAGGAACAAGCTCTATAACATCTACTTTTTTTTTCTTTTTTTTCTGAGATGAGTCTTACTGTCACTCAGGCTGGAGTACAGTGGCATGATCTCGGCTCACTGTAACCTCTGCCTCCCAGGTTCAAGTGATTCTCCTACCTCAGCCTCCAGATTAGCTGGGACTATAGGTGTGTGCCACCATGCCTGGCTAATTTTTATATTTTTAGTAGAGACAGGTTTTCACCATGTTGGCCAGGCTGGTCTCGAACTCCTGACCTCGCGATCCACCTGCCTCGGCCTCCCCAAGTGCTGGGATTACAAGCGTGAGCCACTGTGCCTGGCCATATCATCTCTCTTAAACCTGATTCTAGGGTGTTTGTTTTTGTTTGAGATGGAGTCTTGCTCTGTTGCCCAGGCTGGAGTGCAGTGGCGCGATCTTGGCTCACTGCCCATTCCACCTCCCAGGTTCACACCATTCTCCTGCCTCAGCCTCCCGAGTAGCTGGGACTATAGGTACCCGCCACCATGCCCGGCTAATTTTTTTTTATTTTTAGTGGGCTAATTTTTTTTATTTTTAGTGGGCTAATTTTTTTTATTTTTAGTGGGCTATTTTTTTTGTATTTTTAGTGGGCTAATTTTTTTGTATTTTTAGTGGAGACGGGATTTCACTGTGTTGGCCAGGCTGGTCTCAATCTCCTGACCTCGTGATCCGCCCACCTCAGCCTCCCAGAGTGTTGGGATTACAGGCGTGAGCCACTGTGCTGGGCCTAGGTTGTCTTTTAAAGTCTATTCTCCCACCTCTCTTCCTGAGGAGCCATCTGTGTCCTCAATTTCTCTAGAATCTTCTCAAATTAGACACCTACCACCAACGGAGTTCTTTTAGAACTCTAACATCTACAACACTAAGTTTTTGGTTTGTGTGGGTTCTTTTGTGTTTTTGTTTTGTTTTGTTTTGTCTTGTTTTTTGTTTTTGAGACAGTCTCACTCTGTAGCCTAAGCTGAACTGGAGTGAAGAGACACGATCATGGCTCATTGCAGCCTCAAACGATCCTCTCACCTCAGCCTCTCCAGTAGCTTGGACCATAGGTGTTATACCACCATACTTGGTTAATTTTTTATACAGACATAGGTATCCCTATGTTGCCCAGGCTCCTCCCACCTCAATCTCCAGAGTGGCTGGGACTACAGGCACGCACCACCATGCCCAGCTGACTTTATTTTTTTATTTTATTTTTTCCCCCATAGAGAGGGTTTTACCATATTGCCCAGCCTGGTCTCAAACTCCTGGCCTCAAGTGATCCTCCCGCCTCAGCCTCCCAAAGTGCTGGAGTTACAGGCATGAGCCACGTACCTGCTGGTCAATCCCCTCTTAACACACTTGAACGCTTCAGGGATGTTCAACTTATTTTTCCTCCTGCCTGTTCCTTCTCAGAACCCTTTGGAGCTCAGAGGAGCTCTTCTCAGTCCTTTGTCCCGCTGCTTCCAGTCAGTGAAGTGTCTCAGGCTCAGGAGGCAGGTCACGTGACTCTAATGTCACCTATGGGCAGGCTGCTCCCACAAACCCGACTTGGATATTGCCTACCCAGCATGATCGCTTCGGTGTCTGACAGATGTCTGAAATGCAAATGGATTCTCTCTACTCCTGAAAACCTGTTTTTCTAGTAGTCCCTCCATCACAGTAGGCGGTAGCTCCATCCTTCTAGTGTAAACCTTGGCATCACCTGATTCTTCTTACCCCACAGCAGTCTGAATCTTGTGTTACCTGACGTTTCGCCAGAATCCAGCAACTCGCACTCCCAGTGTGTTCACTCCGGCTCGAGCCCCCATCCTCTCACCTGGGTCACAGCCCAGACCTCCCAGTGGGGTTCATGCTGGCACTCTTGCCCTTCTGACTAAGACCTCTAGCCTTGATCCAGCAGCCAGAGTGGTACATCTTTAAGTGGAATATTGGAATAACGCCTTCCAACTGCTTCCACGTTGCTTGGATTAAAGCCAAAGTCGCTGCCCACGAAACTACACGAGTAACCCTGCACTGCCTCTGTCTTTACCGCTTGTGAATCTTCCCCCTGGGTCATCCTGCTGCTTCTGCTGTGGGTCCTGTTGGCCACTCTAACCCTTGGCCTTGCTGCCTTGGGCTTCCTATTTCCCCTAATGGCTCTTACCCTAGATGTTAACCCAGATTTTCTTGCCTCCTTTAGGTCTCTTTTCAAATGTAAACTTGGGCTCCCTTGATCATCTAAAACTGAAATACCCTCGCTCCATTCCTTCTCCCATATCCCTCAGTGCTTATTGCTATCAAACATGATGTACCTGCTTGCCCCACCCCTGGTGTACACATATGTGCTCATGTAAGCTCTAAGGAGATGAGGTCTCCGTCTTGCACGCTGCTAGATCCCTAGGACCTGGGGCAGCCCAGTTCGCAGTGGGCATCTGGTCCCTGAGCATCTGCTGGTCAGGTGCTGATGATGTAACAGCAAACAAGTCCTGCGTTCGTGGCCCTGATATTCCAGTTGGGAATCAGCATGTCAAATAATGAGCTGTGAACAAAAGACCACACTGGAGCGACGTGGTTGTCCCTTGTGTGGTGGAAGGGATGGGAGGTGGTATGCTAAGGAGGCGGGACAGTCCCTATGACAGTACCTGGGCAAAAGCCTAGATCCTTAAGTGTGTTTTTTTGTTTGTTTTTGTTTTTTGAGATGGAGCATTACTCTGTCACCCAGGCTGGAGTGGAGTGGTGCGATCTCTGCTCACTGCAATCTCCACCTCCTGGGTTCAAGTGATTCTCCTGCCTTAGCCTCCTGAGTAGCTGGAACTACAAGCACCTGCCACCACACCGGGCTAATTTTTGTATTTTTCATAGAGACAAGGTTTTGCCATGTTGCTCAGTCTGGTCTTGAACTCCTGACCTCAGGTGATCTGCCTGCCTCAGCCTCCCAAAGTGCTGGGGTTACAGGCATGAGCCACCATGCCCAGCTAATCCTTAAGTTTTAAAGGGGCTTAGAATTGTCATGTATTGAATTTTTTTTGGGGGGGGGGACAGAATCTTGCTCTGTCACCCAGGCTAGAGTGCAGTGGTCTGATCTCAGCTCACTGCAACCTCCACCTTCCCAGCTCAAGTGACACTCCTGCCTTGGCTTCCCAAGAGGCTGGGACTACAGGTACCCTCCACCATGCCCAGTTAATTTTTTTTTTTTTTTTTTTTTAAGACGGAGTCTCGCTGTCGCCCAGGCTGGAGTGCAGTGGCGCAATCTCGGCTCACTGCAGGCTCCGCCCCCTGGGGTTCACGCCATTCTCCTGCCTCAGCCTCCCGAGAAGCTGGGACTACAGGCGCCCGCCACCTCGCCCGGCTAATTTTTTTGTATTTTTAGTAGAGACGGGGTTTCACCGTGTTAGCCAGGATGGTCTCGATCTCCTGACCTCGTGATCCGCCCGCCTCGGCCTCCCAAAGTGCTGGGATTACAGGCGTGAGCCATCGCGCCCGGCCGCCCAGTTAATTTTTGTATCTTTAGTAGAGATGCGATTTCACCATGTTGCCCAGGCTAGTCTCCAACTCCTGACCTTAAGTGATCCATCCACCTCAGTCTCCCAGTGTTGGGATTATAGGAGTGAGCCACTGTGCCCGGCCATATTAAGCCTTTCCTATGTCTTGGAGCATAAAGCTTTCCAGAAGACTAGAGAGGTAGACTTTGCAAGTAAGAATCACTTGGGTAGAGGCTGAAAGGCATGAGATGGCATGAGAGGACCATGATGGGCTTGTTTTGTGAGTTCCTGGGAGGTTTGGGGTAGACATTTGACTACTTGGGCCTCTCCAGGCTTGCTGATATGAAGCTGTCACCTTTGAGAATGGTTTCTGCTTCTAAGCTGATAGCATGCCAGAAAGGCTAGATGCCCTGATGCCAGCCTTGGGCAGCCCCACAGGAGATAACCTATAACTTTGAGGTTCCATCTGGCAGGTCAAGGTGGCTGGGACACCCTTTTCTTCTGTTTCAGAGGTCTCTCTAGAGGTAGACATCTACCGCAATGGGCAAGTTGAGATGTCAAGTGACAAACAGGCTAAGGTGAGTCTGCCAGCAAAAGGGGGCAGGGAAGGGGCCCTATAAGCCAAATCTGCCCACAGGCTCACTTGATCTGACCTTCCTCGTGTCTAGCCCAATTGCTGTGACATTGCTGAAGGATTAGATACGTGGAGGGGAGGGGTAAACCAAACTGTCACGGTACAAGTCAGAGCTGATTAAATTCCTTTTCTTTTGTGGGGTATTTTTTTGTTTTTTTTTGTTTGTTTGTTTTTGATGTTGTTTTTGATGGAGTTTCCCTCTGTTACCCAGGCTGGAGTGCAGTGGCATGATCTTAGCTCACTGTAATCTCCACCTCCCAGGTTCAAGTAATTCTCCTGCCTCAGCCTCCTGAGCAGCTGGGGTTACAAGCGTGTGCCACCACACCTGGCTAATTTTTTTTTGAGACGGAGTCTCGCTCTGTTGCCCAGGCTGGAGTGCAGTGGCACGATCTCAGCTCACTGCAAGCTCCATCTCCCAGGTTCACGCCATTCTCCTGCCTCAGCCTGCCGAGTAGCTGGGACTCTAGGTGCCTGCCACCATGCCTGGCTAGTTTTTTTTGTATTTTTAGTAGAGACGAGGTTTCACTGTGTTAGCCAGGATGGTCTCGAAATCCTGATCTCCAGTGGTCCACCTGCCTCGGCCTCCCGAAGTACTGGGATCAGAACTGATTAAATTTCTAGCTCACTAAAAAAAAAACCAGAATGTCTGGCAACTCTAGGCTCATGTCCTACCCTGGTTGTGGAGTCTCCTAGATGAGAGGATTAGCCGCTGCTGCCAGGTGGCACGTCTCTTTTCCAATTTGCCTCGGTCCCTGATTCTCTGACTCTGAAATATGAGGTAAGTAACTGGTAACCCCGAACCTAGCTTCTTTCCCTTCCTCTTAGCCTCCTTACCTGACATGACCTTCCTGTGCCTACAGATTCTTGACCTCACCAGTCCTGTTCCATGGGTCCCTGTACCCTGGAGAAAGGCTTGGCTGGGCCCCTCTGCTATGAGGTGCATCCGAGAAACAGAAGATTTATTTGGCTCCTTCCTGAGCCAATGTTCCCATCTCATTTGCAGAAAAAATGGATCTGGGGTCCCAGCGGTTGGGGTGCCATCCTGCTTGTGAATTGCAACCCTGCTGATGTGGGCCAGCAACTTGAGGACAAGAAAACCAAGAAAGTGATCTTTTCAGAGGGTAGGACCTCAGACTGTCTCTGCCTTTCCTTCTTGGTCTCTTTGCTGCCCTGCTTCTCAGCAAATGGATTCCAGACTAATTTTCTCCACCCCACCCCCGACACCCTCTTCCCCAGTCCCCATGCCTGGGCTGATCAAACCTTTTGTCCTGAGTTGTAGATGTATAATTGGGTAAGAGAAGTCACATAGCCCCATGCAAAGAGCATGGGTGGTTACTTGTTTCCTAGCTGTGAACTTGAGCACACTAACTTCCCTGATCTTGTTTCCCTATTTGTAAAATGGGGATGATGCAGTTGGCCTCCCAACTATATCAGTTGGTTGACAAGACTAAATGAAGACAATAGGGGTATATGCGCTGCTTTCTAAAAAGCCTCTCATAGTCTGGGCCAGGAACCTTGGACTGTCTTGGGTAAAATTCGCCTTGGATCCTGACTTGCGGTTGGGACCAGGGTTCTGGGTCTTAGCAGTAGAATGGAATGTCTTGTTTCCTACTGAGACTGGAAACAAGACTGGAAACAAGGTGAACCTTCACTGAACTGATCGAGGTAGGCCCTGTTCTGTTTGTGGGGGACCATGGGATAAATCCCATCCTCCCTCAAAAGGAGGCCCTGAGGTTTGCAGCTTGCCTGTAGCCACCTAGAACAAGCAGTGAAATGGTAATTCTTCGGGCCTGGGCCCTAGCAAAAGGCAGGGGGTCCTTGGTGCTCTGTTCAAACTCCCGGCCCCTCTCTACTGCTCTTCCCTCCACCCCCAGAGTGCTGGCCTCCAGACATTCCTTAACCTTTGCTTTGTCTTTTGCCCAGAAATAACGAATCTGTCCCAGATGACTCTGAATGTCCAAGGCCCCAGCTGTATCTTAAAGAAATATCGGCTAGTCCTCCATACCTCCAAGGAAGAGTCGAAGAAGGCGAGAGTCTACTGGCCCCAAAGTGAGTGTTCTTGTGCCAGCTCCAGCTTTGCCTGCTCTCGACGTGCCAGGCAAGTTGTGCCCACACCTCCTCCCAGCAAGGTCCCCAGCAGAAGCCTGCTGGAGACCTAGAGCTGCAGATGAGAGGCTGTTGTGGCTGTACTTGTGTTTCCAGGATTCTCTGGCTGCCACCTTCCCCATAGGCTAAATCTGTACACATGGGTGAGTTATTGCACCTCTAAGCCACTTTCTCCACTTGTAAAATGGGGGTAGCTGTGCCTTCCCTGCAGGCTAGAAGAGAAGAGAGACATATCCACTGAAACAGTAGCTATTGCCTTACACAGAGTAGATCACATCTCCCAGTGACTCCTCTCAGGAGAATCCATCTTCACTCTAAACCAATGATCCACTATGTTAAATTTCCAGAAATCTGAGGCCAAAACCTCTAGAGCGGCAGCCACGGTAGCACCTGCATCCCAGCCACCACGCCATCCACCACCCATCTTCAGCCCTCCTCTCCTGGGAGGCAGGTAGCATACTCTATTCTATAGATGGAGGGCTGGTTAGGAGGTACACATGCCCAACTCCAGCAAAACAGCCTTGCACATCTTTTGACTTCCCTGAACTGGCTCAGGACTTGGCGTACCTCTAAATCTCTCATTGAGAGCTAGCTCTGCTTCTGGACGGACATGCCAGCATGCTTTCTTTGGGTTTTGTTTTGTTTTTCCCCTTTGAGTCAAGGTCTAGCTCTGTCACCCAGGCTGGAGTGCAGTAGTGTGATCACAGCTCACTGTAGACTAGACTCAGCTTCCTGGACTCAAGCAGTCCTCCTACCTCACACTCCCAAGGAGCTGGTATGACAGGTGTGTGCCACAACTGGCTAATTTGCTTTTCTTGTAGAGACGGGGTCTCACTTTGCCCAGACTGGTTTCAAACTCCCGGATGCAAACAATCCTCCTGCCTTGGCTTCCCAAAGTGCTGGGATTACAGGTGTGAGCTACTGCACCCGGCCCAACCTGCCACCTTGTCTTGTAAACCATGCTTAGCTTCAGCTACGCAACGCAGGGAGCTCTGTGGTCTATACTGTGCCTCTTCTCAGAGGGCACCATCTTTGTTGCCAGCATTGGAGAGTGTGCCCCTGCCACTTCCTGGTCTACACTCTGGGGCCTTGGCTCAGTCTCCTACTCCATCTCTTCTGCAGACCATAGATCTCAGCTGGATTTCAAAGTAGCCTGGGATTAGCCAGAAAAGGTAGCCCAGCTTGGACGTGGCCATCTTACACATGAGCTAGAGTGAGCCGAAGAAACCCAGGGGTCTAGGTCTGGTTCAGGCCACAAGGGCTACTCTGGCCCTGGGAGGCTACCAGTGCTGAAGTAGGTGGATTAGGCCAGGCAGGCCTTGGAGTCCGCCGGTTCATGTAGCTTGCTAAGGATGCCATACTTCATCATGTGGATCATAGCGAACTACCGGTTTCTTTATTGAAAAAGCTTATTCAGGCTGGGCGTGGTGGCTCATGCCTCTAATCCCAACATTTTGGGAGGCTGAGGCAGATGGATCACCTGAGGTCAGGAGTTCGAGAACAGCCTGGCCAACATGGCGAAACCCTGTCTCTACTAAAAATACAAAAATTGGCATGGTGGCGGGCATGCCCGCCAGCTACTCAGGAGGCTGAGGCAGGAGAATTGCTTGAACCCGAAAGGCAGAGGTTGCAGTGAGCCGAGATCATGCCACTGTACTCCAGCCTGAGTGAGACTCAAAAAAATAATTTTTTTAAAAAAACTTATTCAACAATCTAGGGGCTGAGCACGGGGCTTATGCCTATAATCCCAACACTTCGGGAGGCCAAGGCAGGCGGATCACCTGAGGTCAGGAGTTCGAGACCAGCCCGGCCAACATGGCAAAACCACATCTCTACTAAAAAATACAAAAGCTAGCTGGGCTTTGTGGCATATACCTATAATCCCAACTACTCAGGAGACCAAGGCAGGAGTGAACCTGGGAGGCAGAGGCTGCAGTGAGCCGACGTTGCACCACTGCACTCCAGCCTAGGTGACAGAGTGGGACTCTGTCTCAAAAAAAAAAACTTAAAAATCAGGGTAGGGCAACACAGCATGTTATGTTTTAACAAGCCTTCCAGGTGACTCTGAAACATGCTAAAGCTTGAACCACAAAAAGATACAGCAAAAGAGTCTGAAAAGTTTACAGAGGAATAGAAAGCCAGAATACAGGGTTCTAGAAACAGGCTGGGTGTGTTGGCTCACACCTGTAATCCCAGCACTTTGGGAGGCCAAGGCAGGAGGCTTACTTGGGCACAGGAGTTCAAGACCAGCCTTGGCAACACAGTGAGACCTTGACTCTGAGATAAGATTATTTTTATAAAGAAGCCTGGCCAGGCGTGGTGGTTCATGCCTTAATCCCAGCACTTTGAGTAGACCAAGACTGGTGGATCACTTTTGAGGTCAGGAGTTTGAGACCAGCCTGGCCAACATGGTTAAAACCATCTGCTAAAAATACCAAAATTAGCTAGGTGTGGTGGCTTTAGCTTGTAATCCTAGCTACTCAGGAGACTGAGGCGGGAGGATCATGTGAACCCGGGAGGCAGAGGCTGCAGTGAGCCGACATTGCACCACTGCACTCCAGTCTGGGCAAAGTAAGGCAGTGGCCAACCCTGGCAAATGCTGTGGGATAGACTAAGATGCCCAAGCCCATAGTAAAGTCACAATCCTCAGAATGGCAGTCATCAGTGACCCTGATAATAACAGTGAAAAGCCAGGTTGAAATGGGGAGGCACAGTAAATCTAGGCCACAGAAAGAATTCTCTCTCCGTAAAGGGAGATGTGTGGTGGTAATTACAGGGGCCAGCACGCAGTCGAGCGTGTCTGAAGCTGGTAGTACACGGGCAGATGTATAGATGGAACTGATCCAACAGGGGTGGGGAAATGGATCCTAGAGGAAGATCTGAGAAGTTTGCAGAGGAATAGAAAGCCAGAAGACAAGGTTCTAAACAGGCTGGGCGTGGTGGCTCACACCTGTAATCCCAGCACTTTGGGAGGCCAAGGCAGGAGGATCACCTTTAGGACTATGGAATACAGGTGAGTCTGTGGACAGGAATGAGACGATAGTGTTTGAGTAGTGTTGGTGGCTTGCTCTGAGGTCTGGTCGTAGCCTGAAATGAGGCCTTTTGGTGTGATGGTTTTCTCCAGCATCTCAGGTGCAAGAGTGAGCTTTAAAGACCTGGTGTGACCAGAATGGAGGTTTTCCAGGAAAGCAAACTAGAAAAAGGTGTGGGAGTGGACAGTGTGTATAAGAGAGGATGTAGTGATGGGTTTTTGGGCTCTGAGAAGGGTCAAAGGGAAGTGTGAGGATGGAGGGTGGGGATCGGTAGGAGGATCTGGGACTGAGGTTGGGGACTCGCTGGGGTGGGAGCATAGGTGAGCGAAACAGATCGGAAGGCATTGTCTGCCTTGGAGGTGGCATCTAGTCTGGGTTATGATCATTGTAATGGATGTCTAAGGTGGTATAGAACCCAGGTTCATTGAAATAAGGTCGTCGAAGAGAGATCAAAATGTCTAGATGTTCTAGTCTATTGTCAGATACCAGTGACACAACAGCAGTGGAGGGCAAGTATGCTAGAACAATCCACGAAGGATGGAGAGGATGACATCGTCGTCCCCAAAAGAAAGGGGTAGCTGGCATTATCTGATGGCCAGCACTTCACAGGAACTGGGATTCTTGAGGAATAGAGAAATGGCCGAGAAGTGCCAGTGAAGAACCAAGAAGGGTACCCACCTTCCTGTAAGTCCAGCAGTACATGGCAGGTAGGAAAAAGCTCAGCTCAAATCATCAGTATTTGCTCTGTGCCCTGAGGATCCAGCTCTGGAAGAATAAACCATGTTACCTGCTCTCAGAGCCTGCTACGACAGATGGACAGACAGTCGAGGACCCAGCAGAGGCTGGAGGGAGCCCTTTAATATGCCCCCAGGGTGGGTAGGGAGAGTTTGAGGTAGCTAAGGCCTCCTGGGCAGCTCTGTGAGGACTGAGGGCAGGGAGGGCCTTCCAGGTAGAGGCAGCTATTGTGTGTACTTGGGTCGCAGGGCTTCTGGCCTCCCCCATGCTTCTGTTTAATGGGGACAACAAATGCCTGCTTCAAAGGGTCCTGAGGATGTGAGCCCATGAGCCTGAAACACCTACCACAGCTCCTAGCAAAGATAGCCCACAGTGAAATGTTAGCTATGCTTCACAACAAACTATCTGTGAGAGGGGCCCCCAGAAGGTCAACCACAGGAGAGCCAGCCAGTAGGGGATTGTGGCAAACAGACTGTGACCCTCTCGCCCTCACTGCCTGGTGGTGAATCACCCTTGGGTGGAATGGCCACAGGGAGCCCAGGTCCCCAGAACAGGAGCAGGCCCTAGGTGTGTGGCACCTCTTGGGCTGCATGCCGTGGGCCTGCTGATGCTATCGCAGGTCAAGAGGGCTGTGTCTGCACTGGGAAGTTGCAGGGGTTCCTGGGGGAAGACTGCCTTGTCTGGTCTTGCCCCATGAGGCCTGGCTCAGGGCTGGTGAAGCATCTAGGTAGATGAGAAGCAGGAACTAGCACAGGAGTGGTCCCGGTGGGCCCAGTTCCCTCACAGCCAGCAGCAGGACTGAGGCTGGGCCTGTAACCAGCATCCCCAGGGCCTCCAAGGAGGGGCTGCTGCAGAACTGCAGAGTCCATCGGGAGGGCTGCTGGGGCTCTAACCCAGAGCAAGAGGCCGAGGACCCAGGGCAGTGCCTAACCAGGGGCAGCCACGGCCGCAGCTGCAGCCATCTGCTGGCACGTTGGAGGAGCTGGAGATGGAGGCAGCTGGCAGTGCCGTGCAGAAGGTCTGAGGATGCTACAGTTCCTGGATCTCTTGGGGTTCTAGTGGCCAAGGTAAATCTAGCTTAGGATCCCCTGAAATAAGTCACCTGGAATCTTGAGCAGGAACAGCCATCAGGCCTACAGCTGCCACATCGGGCACAGATAGAGGACAGGCCAGGAAAGAGGAAGTTCGAGTGACCCAGGTGGGAGAAGTCAGGGTCATTTCTGACCTAGAAAATGAATGGACTTGGGCTGGGCACAGTGGCTCACGACTGTAATCCTAGCACTTTGGGAGGCTGAGGCAGATGGATTGCCTGAGCTCAGGAGTTGGAGACTGGCCTGGGCAATGTGGTAAAACCCCATCTCTACTAAAAATACAAAAAACTAGCCGGGCATGGTGGTGCACACCTATAGTCCTAGCTACTCAGGAAGCTGAGGTACAAGAATTGCTTGAACCCAGGAGATGGAGGTTGAAGTGAGCCGAGATAGTGCCGCTACACTCTAGCCTGCTCAACAGAGCAGGACTCCACCTCAAAAAAGAAAAGGAGGGGGGGGGGCCAGGCGTGGTAGCTCACACCTGTAATCCCAGCACTTTGGGAGGTCCGAGGTAGGCAGATCACGAGGTCAGGAGATCAAGACCATCCTGTCTAACGAGACGGTGAAATCCCGTCTCTACTAAAAATACAAAAAATTAGCCAGGCGTGTGGTGGTAGGTGCCTGCAGTTCCAGCTACTCAGGAAGCTGAGGCAGAATGGCCAGAATCCAGGAGGCAAAGCTTACAGTGAGCTGAGATCACGCCACTACACTCCAGCCTGGGCGACAGAGCAAGACTCCCTCTCAAAAACACCTTTAGGATCTAATTAGCAAACGGACAACCACCACGTGTGGTCAACTTCCTTCTGATCTCTTCTGTGCATGGTTTTGTATTTAATGACCTAAAACTAGGAGACAGGCTTAACATGTATAATCATAAGAACACTTGGTTTCTTCAGAAAACTTGATGGAGGCATAATCCATCCAATAAATGGTTCTCACTGACCTTTCTAGCATCAGTAAGTGATTTTTTTCAGATGAGGCTGCTGAGCCCAGCCTGGGACAGTTTCTCACCTTTAGGACTCTGATATTATCGCAGGAGTTGGATTCATGGGCCAAAATGTAGAACCACCTACCCTGAGGCTTCACACCAGTCAGGAGCCTTGAAGGCATCATCACCTGAGCTCCAACTCCTGGCATGTAATAGGTCTTCAAGGAATACTGGTGAATAACTGGCCATTGCTTGTGTATGAACATCTGGTTGTCTACCAAGACCTGAATGCTAGAAACGGGGATGGCTGAGCCATTTCAGCTCCAGCCCTCCTGGAACTCACAGCCTTGCATCTGATATGAGGAATGAGCTGGTACCTTGACCATCAAATGTGACCGGCACCAGGTTACTTCAGTGGCTGGTCCATCCCTTCTTTCTCTCCTAGAAGACAACTCCAGTACCTTTGAGTTGGTGCTGGGGCCCGACCAGCACGCCTATACCTTGGCCCTCCTCGGGAACCACTTGAAGGAGACTTTCTACGTTGAAGCTATAGCATTCCCATCTGCCGAATTCTCAGGCCTCATCTCCTACTCTGTGTCCCTGGTGGAGGAGTCTCAAGACCCGGTATGTCCCCATAATAGATGGGTCCTCAGACTAGGATGCTCCGGTGGGGGAAAAGCCATCTCCCACAGTTGGGCAGAGCTTGAGGTTTGCTGGGGGAGAGCTGCAGAAGGCAAGTGGGGCCCAGCTGGGGGCCGGACTGAACGGCCGGAACCCTGGGGTAAGAGGGGAGCGAGTAAATGTGGAAGCAGGTTGCTAACAGGACCTTGTCTTGTTGCAGTCAATTCCAGAGACTGTGCTGTACAAAGACACGGTGGTGTTCCGGGTGGCTCCCTGTGTCTTCATTCCCTGTACCCAGGTGCCTCTGGAGGTTTACCTGTGCAGGTGAGAGACCATCAGGCTGACTGTGCCAGGCGGTTCTCATAACTGGCACCCTCTTCTTTCTATATGCAGGGCAGGGTGGGTGAAGATGACTAGGACCTCTCACCAGGAGAGTTGAAACCCTTCTGTCTGAGCTGTCTGGACCTGCCCCAAGACAGTCCAATACATGCCTGAATATTCCCAAAGATGGGCATGGAACAGTGAATGAGACAGTCCCCCCATTATGTGAGGGCCAAACGGCATGGTTTTAAACAGTACCAAGTGCTCTAAAGCAGGGTGAAGATGGAGAGGTCAGGATGAGAACCTGTCCCAGGGACGATGAAGCTCCTACGGAGCCAGAGAACAGGTGTGAGCCCAGGAAGGGGCGGTGTGGGGATGGGTGAAAAGAGCAGAGCCCTGTGGGCCCTGGGTGTTACGGTGAGGTAGCTGGGGCCATACCTACTCTAAATACAGTGGTGAAAGCTTTCTGTCACCTGGATGCCTGCAGGAAGATGGTACTGCTCGCCCACTGCCACTTAGGGGCCCTGGTTCCTTTCAGTCTTGTTATGCTTTCCCCTGGGGTGGCTGCCTCCTCTCTGGAGGCTGAGTGCACACATCCTAGGTCCAGGCCCGGGCCCCAGGAGGGAGAAAGAGCCAAGATTTGGACACTGCAACCTATGGTTGCTGCTAGTGGTCTGGAAGTCTCCTGAACCACTTCTCACATGCCAAAATCCTGAACACGCACGGGGCCACGTCCGGCTTCAGGGAATCCAGGAGCAGTCTCTAGCTATGTAGCCACATGCCTAGGGAGAAAAGGAGATAGGATCCTGAAGGCAGAACCAGTGGGAAGCCAAGGGTTCTGTCTGCATGATCACTCTGGCCACATGGAAAGTCAGGTACAGATAAAAGGTGGAAGACCAGTCTAGACACAGCATGGCTCAAGCCAGGGTGGCAGGAGCAGCCTTTAGTTGGGATTGGTCCGCAGGTAGGACACCCCCGCCCCACTCGCTCCACACCGGCCGCCTCCAGATTACTACCACCACGTTGCCCTTTATTGCAAATTCCTTAGGTGAAGGCTTTTTTGTTTTTTTAAGGTAGGAGGCAAAGGATAATGCTGATGGAATGCTCTAGCAGGGATGGGAAACACTAATAGGAAAAGGTGGCCAGTGTGGTGGCTCACACCTATAATCCCAGCACTTTGGGAGGCCGAGGCAGGAGGATCACCTGAGGGTCGGAAGTTCGAGACCAGCCTGGCCAACATGGTAAAACCCCGTCTCCACTAAAAATACAAAAATTAGCCAGATGTGGTAGTGCATGCCTGTAGTCCCAGCTACTCAGTGAAGCTGAGGCAGGAGAATCACTTGAACCCAGGAGACAGAGGTTGCAGTGAGCTGAAATAGCCCCACTGCACTGCAGCCTGGGAAACAAGAGCGAAACTGTCTCAAAAACAAAAAATAAAATTGCTGGGTGTGGTGGCTCATGCCTGTAATCCCAGCACTTTGGGAGGCTGAGGCGGGCGGATCACCTGAGGTCAGGAGTTCAAGACCAGCCTGGCCAACATGGTAAAACCCCGTCTCTACTAAAAATACAAAAAACAATTAGCCAGGCATGGTGGTGCACCCCAGTAATCCCAGCTACTCGGGAGGCTGAGGCAGGAGAATCTCTTGAACCCAGAAGGCGGAGGTTGCAGTGAGCCAAGATTGCACCACTGTACTCCAGCCTGGGTGACAGATAAGATTCCATCTCAAAAAAAAAAAAAGACTTCTACCCCTCTTCCAGGCTCCGTGGGTGTAGAAGCCAGACAGCTTTTCCAGGGCAGGGCTCCTGGGGAGTGTGGTCCTCAGAGGAATAGCAGGCTTCAGGATGAGAAGGTAAAATCTCAGAAAGTCTGATGGGATTCTGCTGATGGCAGATACAAAAGACATAAAGCAGAGAGATGTGGTATCTCGAGTATTTGAAGACGGGTTTCTCACTCACAGGAGGCATCTACTTGTTCTTCAAAGAAACCCAAGTCTTCCATACAGTGTGATATTCAGGCATGGTTTGACCCCATATAGCTGCATATGACCTGCAAGACTGAGCCGACACACCCTTCCCCCAGTAAGCGTCAGACTGTTCTAGACCTTGTCAGGCTGGTAGCTCCCTGTGGCTTTGCATAGACCCAAGAAATAGGTTCTTTGGAGCAGTAGCATAGATACTATGAATGTGCTATGCCAGTAGTTACATTGCTGTATTCTATTAGTAGCAACATGAGCTTTGGACCTGAAGCCGGACTACAGTCCCAATTTCAATATCTCCCAATATTAGGGCCTTGCTGACCTCCAACTTTTGAGGACCTGTTTGTTCCGTTTGTTTAAGATAATTTATTATTTTTTCTTTTTGAGATGGAGTCTCGCTCCGTTGCCCAGACTGGAGTGTAGTGGTGTGATCTTGGCTCACTGCAGCCTCCACCTCCAGGGTTCCAGCAATTCTCCTGCCTCAGCCTCCCGAGAAGCTGGGATTACAGGCATGTACTGCCACGCCCAGCTAATTTCTGTATTTCTAGTAGAGATGGGGTTTCACCATGTTGGCCAGGATGGTCTCAAACTCCCAGTCTTAGGTGATCCGCCCGCCTCAGCCTCCCAAAGTGCTGGGATTACAGGCGTGCGCCACTGCGTCCGGCCAGATGAGTGGTCTTAACATCAGCCTCACACACTGCTGTTTCCCTTCAAGGAAGGGATGGCCACTGTAGATCTGTGAGCCTGATGCTGTGCACAACGGCTTGAAGACCCCAGGGCTCAAGACCCACCCAACGCCACACATATAAAAATGACAACCATGCATGGTGGCAGGCGTATAGTCCCAGCTACTGTGGGGGGCCGAGGCAGGAGACTCACTTGAACCCAGGAGGTGGAGGTTGCGGTGAGTCAGATCATGCCACTGCACTCCAGCCTGGGTGACAGAACGAAAGGAAGGGTACTTGCAGAATGTGACCGAAGGGTATAAACAGAGCAGGCCTTGGCTACCAGGGAAGGGGCCGCCACTGGCACTTCCCAACCTGGCTCTGCCATGGGCAAAGCTGAGTAGTGTCAGACAAGATGGGCTCTGAGCTTCTGGCTTGTGCCGAGGTCAGGGATGGTTGCTCTGTCGACCTCACGGGCAGGGATGTAACCTCTCCTGGTGAGAAGGATGTGTTCTTCCTCTCTTGGCACAAGGAGGTCATAACCAGTAAGGGACCTTCGAAAGCCTTCCCAGAACTGGCTTCTCTCCCATGGCAGGGAGCTGCAGCTGCAGGGTTTTGTGGACACAGTGACGAAGCTGAGTGAGAAGAGCAACAGCCAGGTGGCATCTGTCTATGAGGACCCCAACCGCCTGGGCAGGTGGCTCCAGGTAACACCCCACCTGGGAACCCACCTGTCGGGGAGGGGTGGGGAGACTCAGCATGTGCCACCTAAGAGGAACTTCACAGGCTTCTGGTTAACCTTAAAGACCGAAGCCTTGATAGGGGCGGCCCTGTTCTTAGGACTTCAGTGGAGGCTCAGATGAGGATTTGCCTGAGTCATGGCCACTAAGGAATAGTTAGAGTCCAGCCTCCTTCCCATTCCAGAATGGACACGTGTTCAAGACCACAGAACCCTAACCCCCAGGCCCCGGAAGGCTCTGATACCTTTGGCTAAGGCTGTGAGAGCTGGGCCACTGCCCTGGGGTCCCGCCTGACTCTGGCACAGCACCAAGTCTAGAGCCCCGGTCAGCCTTCGGTTCTAGAGCTCTGTCCTCTGCAGATGAGTGATCATCACATGCTAGGCACGCCATCCTGAGCACCAGAGATAAACTGGAACATATGCTGTCCCATGTTAGCAAGGATAGAACTTTTAAGTGCTATGAAATTTAGACAATGAGATGATACAGTGATTCATTAGACCAAATGAGGCAGTTTAAGAATAGTTGGGAAAATCTGCAAATGAAACTTAAGGAAACAAGGAGCTGGCCATGCAGAGATTTGGGGCAGGGGTGGCCAGGATTAAAAGGAGTTCCTGGCCGGGTGCAGTGGCTCAAGCCTGTAATCCCAACACATTGGGAGGCTGATCACTTGAGGTCAGGAGTTTTAAAACAGCCTGGAAAACATGGCAAAATACTGTCTCTACTAAAAAAATACAAAAATCAGCCGGGCATGGTGGCGCGCGCCTGTAGTCCCACCTACTCTGGTCACTGAGGCAGAAGAATCGCTTGAACCCAGGAGGCGGAGGTTGCAGTGCACCTAGATCACGCCACTACACTCCAGCCTGGATGACAGAGCGAGACTGTCTCAAAAGAAAAAAAAAAATCTGGGGTTGTGCTTGGAGGTCTTGAAGAAGGCTGATGCAGACAGATCACAGTGAACAAAGGTGAAAGGCAGGGCTACCTCCTGGTTAAGGTACCTTTTAAGCTAAGGACAAACAAGAGACACTCAAAGCATGAATCGGGAATGAAAGGTTATAGTTCAGGTTTTCAAAAGACCCCTCTGGCTAAGATGTAGGGAACAGATCTTAAGAGTAGGCAAGAATAGAAGCGAAACTGGAAGGCATCACAGTGGCATAGGGTGGAGACACGGTGGCTTCCTGAGTGGCACCAGCGCAGAGCTGACTCAGAATGTAAGCCAGTAAGGCTTGTTAATGGATTCTTTACGAAAGAAGAAAGGAAGAATCTGGATGCTCAAGTCTTTTTCGCCCAGACTGGAGTGCAGTGGCGCGATCTCAGCTCCACTGCAGCCTCTGCCTCCTCCTGAGTAGCTGGGATTACAGGCATGAGCCACCATGCCTGGCTAACTTTTTGGTTTTGTTTTAAGTAGACTGTCTCACCATGTTTCCCAGGCTGGTCTTGAATTCCTAGGCTCAAGTGATCCACCCACCTTGGCCACCCAAAGTGCTGGGATTGCAGGCGTGAGCCACCACACCTGGCCATGGATGCTCAAGTCTTAAACCTGAAGAGTAGGGGAGAGAGGGATCGGAGAGCCTTCAAGAAGGGGTGATATCTGAGCTGGGTGTTGAGGGTTGAGCAGGAGTTGGCAGGAAGGAAGGGGGTTCTTACCGTACCTTTTCCGTAAATGGGGTCCGGGGAGATGTGTGACTGGCAAACAATCTGTCTTCCTCTCCATTCCAGGATGAGATGGCCTTCTGCTACACCCAGGCTCCCCACAAGACAACGTCCTTGATCCTCGACACACCTCAGGCCGCCGATCTCGATGAGTTCCCCATGAAGTACTCACTGGTGTGGAACTTGGTTTGGCTAATCTGAGCTCAGTCCAATCTCTCAGGCCTGGGGCCTGCCTAGAAATAATGGGGCACCAAGTGGGGAGAGGGCCCAGGTGGCCTCTGAGGGGGGAGGGGACGTGGAAGTCTACCTGAGAGCCTGGATTTAGGGATAAGACTGGGGCCTAAAGCCATCCCCTACTAACACCCCTTCCCTGGCTCGGTCTCTCCCCCAGAGCCCTGGTATTGGCTACATGATCCAGGACACTGAGGACCATAAAGTGGCCAGCATGGATTCCATTGGGAACCTGATGGTGTCCCCACCTGTCAAGGTCCAAGGGAAAGAGTACCCGCTGGGCAGAGTCCTCATTGGCAGCAGCTTTTACCCCAGGTGAGCCACAAAGCCAGACGCCTCCAAATGAAAGGAAGGGACCATGGTCGTTCCCCTGGCCCCGCCTGCTTCCCATAGCACCTCAGCAGGTCACACACACTGGACCATTTCTTAAACTGAAGACATTTGAGCTTTTGATTCACGTGGGAGACTAAAGATGAGAATAAACCATTTATTCTTTGATTCCAGGGTTTAAACTGAAACAAGTGAAATTTGGTCCACCAGGATGTCATTTCCAAGAGATATGTGGTTGGATTTCTTGGTGGCCATAAATCCAAAATGATACTTGTGCCCGGGCTTGTCTGTCTAGAAACACTAGGCTCTGTTCTGAGTGGGGTCAGAGTAAGGGATTCGTAACCAACACATCCGCTATGGACCGGCCTCTTTCACACAACGGTCAGAGGCCAGCTCCCTGGAGGCAGCATGACACCAAGTGGCGGGTGACCAGCCCTGGGCCACACTGGCTCAAGAGCTGTTCTTTCCATCTTCCTTCTAGCGCAGAGGGCCGGGCCATGAGTAAGACCCTCCGAGACTTCCTCTATGCCCAGCAGGTCCAAGCGCCGGTGGAGCTCTACTCAGATTGGCTAATGACTGGCCACGTGGATGAGTTCATGTGCTTCATCCCCACAGATGACAAGAATGAGGGCAAAAAGGTCTGCTTTGGGGTCTGGAGAAGGGACATCTGACCCTTGCCTTCTGTTGGGGAATCTTGGAAGATTCTGGAGAGAAAACTGGCTTTTTCTTGTTTTTTTTTTTTTTTGTTTGTTTTTTGAGAGTCTTGCTCTGTCACCCAGGCTGGAGTGCAGTGGCGTGATCTCCGCTCACTGCAACCACTGCCTCCCGGACTCAAGCAATTCTCCTGCCTCAGCCTCCTGAGTAGCTGGAATTACAGAAACATGCCACCACACCTGGCTCATTTTTGTATTTTTAGTAGAGATGGAATTTCACCATGTTGGCCAGGCTGGTCTCGAACTTCTGACCTCAGAGGATCTGCCTGCCTCGGCCTCCAAAGTGCTGGGATTACAGATATGAGCCACCATGTCCAGCTGAGAAAGCTGGCTTCTGACCCAAGTTCTGTTTCCCAGGGCTTCCTGCTGCTCCTGGCCAGCCCCAGTGCCTGCTATAAACTGTTCCGAGAGAAACAGAAGGAAGGCTATGGCGACGCTCTTCTGTTTGATGAGCTTAGAGCAGATCAGCTCCTGTCTAATGGTAAGGGAACTCCCTTTCCACAGAACAGAACTGGGGTCTTCCTTTTTCCAGGGGTCCTTTCTACATAGCCATTCTGTCACGCTTGGCGTAAAGGATGCCAGGGAAGCACAGAAGCTGTTGGAATTGCCATATTAGAACGTCTTATTTCTGGGCTGCTCTAGTGGTACTACAACACAAGTAGACCAGATGTTCTGGGATGGCCTGGAGGCTGTTTGGATGTATTTGAAGGGGGACTCACTTAGTACATAGGTGGCCCCAAGTGGGGGGAAAACGGGTGTTAACAATGCTAGTGCCTGGATTTATTCAGGGCATGTTGGATTAAGTATCTAGGGACTGGGACTTTGTGGGTCTCCTGGTTACATTAAGGAAACACACAGGTGGACAAGCAGAGGTGGTGTGGCTGGTGCCATTGCACTTCTGATCTAAAGGCTGTGGGAGTGGGCTGGGCATGGTGGCTCACACCTGTAACCCCAGCACTTTGGGAGGCTGAGGCGGGCAGATCACCTGAGGCCAAAAGTTCGAGGCCAGCCTGGCCAACATGACGAAAGCCCATCTCTACTAAAGATACGAAAATTAGCCGGGCATGGTGGTGCATGCCTGTAATCTCAGCTACTCGGGAGGCTGAGGCAGGGGAATCGCTTTAACCTGGGAGGTGGAGGTTGCGGTGAGCTAAGATCGTGCCATTGCACTCCAGCCTGGGCCACAGAGCAAGACTCCATCTCAAAAAATAATAAAGGCTGTAGGAACCCAGAAAGGGGCTGGGGGTATTAGGTTTTTCTAGACCCTCAATACTCAAAGTGTTATCTGAGGGCCAGCGCACCTGGGAGCTTGTTAAAAATGTAGAATTTCCACCCTGCTCCACACCTCCTGGATACTCAGCCTTTGGGGTTGGGGCCCGGGAACTCCTGGTCATAGAAGCACCATGGAAGGTGACATCTGCTGAGCATGAACCACATGACAAAGACTATCACCTCAGAGCTGGCAAATAAATTGGGCATCCCTGTCCCAAAGATCAGGCAATTGAGGAACAAAGGTAATGTAACCTGGAGAGGGTCACAGGCAGAAAGTGCCAGGTTGTATTGGCATAAGGGGAGTAGGGGCTGAAGTCATCCTAACAAGCTCTAGGCTGTGTCCCTCAGCCTGGCACAGGCTATTCCCCCTCATGCTGGGGACAGAGTGGCCAGTGGCAGTAAGTCCTGCCTGGGAGTTCTGGTGTAGACCCTGGTCAGTCCCCAGAAGGAAGATATTGGACCTGAGGGTGTGATCCCTGGAGATAGGCCAGTCCTCTCGCCATGGTCACTGGCCCAGGAATGCACCCAGGTGGCTGGGCCTGGCCCGAGTGTGCCCAGCTCTGGGCAGTGCTGCCATTCCCTGACCAGCAGGCCTGCTGCCCGCTTCTTCCTACAGGAAGGGAAGCCAAAACCATCGACCAACTTCTGGCTGATGAAAGCCTGAAGAAGCAGAATGAATACGTGGAGGTAGGACCAGTGTGAAGGGGGCCATCCCCAAGAAAGAGCTGGTGCCGCAGGTCTTGCAGGAAGGTTTCCACCCACCCCTCCTGAGGGGTGAAGTGTTGGGCGGCGGGGGGCAGCTGCCTGCCACCCTTTCTTCCAGGTCTTGATACAGGCCCAGGTCTGGGGCTAGAGCTGGCCATATGCCAATGTAGGGAGACTAGAGGAGTAAGGAGTTAGGTCTCTGGAGTCAAACACAGCACGATGTACCTTTATGCTTGGAAGAGGGCTGGAAGTGGGTAACACAGCTTTCTATGGTGTCAGATGGCTGAGGACCCAGGGTGGGACAGGGGCAGGGAGGAGCGCCATGGCATGTCGGGACCGTTGACAGATATTACTTGCAGATACTGTCAGAGGGAGTTTACTTTGCTATGACTATGCAGCTGGATCTTTTCCCCCAAGCTGGGAAAGCCCTGATTATCCAGGTTCCTAGCTGAGAGCCAATGATGGCCCAAGCATTTTGCGAGATACCTCACTACAAACCCTGCAGATAGCCCTATAAAACTACAAACCCTGCAGATAGCCCTATAAAGTAAAACACCTCTTACATATGAGGGTAGTGAGGCACACAGTAAAACCGCTAGCCCAGGACAATCATTTGGGAAAATGAGTCTGAACTCCCAAGTTCATGTGTTGCTCATTATACTCAAGCTGCCTGGGGTCCATTTCCCGGAAAATGACATAGCTCCGCAGCCTCCTTGAAGAAGCCGGCTCCTCACTTCCGAGAAGCTGAGTATCAGACTCAAATAGACGAGGGACTACTCAATGCTTTCTGGATGAAGTGGCCCATCACAGCAGTCCCGAGGATGGTGTTCAGGGTCACCAAACTTCAGAGATCTTAGAAGTGAATCATTGGCTATAAGAAGCAGAGTCTCCCCAACTTGTAGAAGGAGAAGCTTAGGCCCAGAGAAGGGTAATTTCTTGGCTGAGGTTGCATGGTCAGCAAAACTGCTTCTCTCACTGGGTCCTTAACATTCCCAGGAATGTTCCCAAGGAATGTTCTATGCCCCGCACAGTGCATGGGTACCCTGTTTTGCAAGAACAGCCCCCCTGGCATAGCAGGGTGGGTGCCAGCCAGGCATGGGGCTGAGACAGCATCTCCCAGCCCCTGGCGACAGCTTAGGTGTGTTGGGTATGTGTCTGAAGCCTATTTCAAGACCTAGGGAGACAGGTGTGTTGGGTTATGTCTGAAGCCTATTTCAAGACCTAGGGAGATGCCTGGGTATTGGGCTCAGCTGGTCTGGGTTGAGAAGTGCCAGACGCTGTCTAGCCATGGGATCCTGGACTAAAGACTAGGCCATTCCTGAGCCCCTACTTCCCCATGTGAAAAGGGAACTGCCTATTTCGTAAGGCTGGTATGAAGTGTGAGGCTCCTGGCACACAGCAAGTGATGGGGATGGTAGTGGTGTCAGGCCATCACCTACCTTCAGTATGGAAGGAAACTGGTTTTAATTCCTGATGAGCTCTCCTTGCTCCCCCGCCCCCCCCCCCACCCACCCACCCACCCACAGAAGTGCATTCACCTGAACCGTGACATCCTGAAGACGGAGCTGGGCCTGGTGGAACAGGACATCATCGAGATTCCCCAGCTGTTCTGCTTGGAGAAGCTGACTAACATCCCCTCTGACCAGCAGCCCAAGAGGTCCTTTGCGAGGCCATACTTCCCTGACCTGGTGAGGGGCGACTGCGCATCCCTGGGTGGGGGAGGGCCTGTCCAGGCAACACTGGCTGCCACCTCACTGTGCTGGACTGCAGATATGGTGGACAGCAGATAACGGTACCTATGAGGAAATGGGAGGGAGACCCCTTCTCCCCCATCTCGGTTAGGGACGCCCCACCCAGAGAGCAAGTGTACAGGGCCTGAAGGCTTGGAGGTTCCCCAGGCAGTTACTATGGGCCAGGCCCTGGGCCAGGTGCTTTAGGAGCCTCAGTGAGCTGCGCCCCCAGTCTAAAAGGGTGAACCTGTGAGGCCCACTTCGGATGGGGTGCTATGCAACCCAGAGTCGAGGTTGCCGCGCATCTGCCAGCAGCGAGGCCTTGAGCAACCTACCTCAGGGTGGGTCTTCCTGTCCGCTATCTCCAGGGTCCAGGGCAGCAGTGTCTGATACATAGAGGTACATCAGCCCTTAAAATAACATTCTAGGCCAGGCGCAGTGGCTCATGCCTGTAATCCCAACACTTTGGGAGGCCGAGGCAGGTGGATCACCTGAGGTCAGGAGTTTGAGACCAGCCTGACCAACATGAAGAAACCCTGTCTCTAAAAATACAAAATTAGTTGGGTGTGGTAGCACATGCCTGTAATCCCAGCTACTCAGGAGGCAGAGACAGGAGAATTGCTTGAACCCCGGAGACAGAGGTTGCATTGAGCCTAGATCACTCCATTGCACTCCAGCCTGGGCAACAAGACTGAAACTCCGTCTCTAATATTTATTCTGCTTGGCTGGTCGTGGTGGCTCACCTGTAGTTCTAGTACGTTGGGAGGCTGAGGTGGGAAGATCACTTGAACTCAGGAGTTGGAGAGCAGCTAGGGCAACATAGTGAGACCCTGCAACTTTAAAAAAAAGAAAAAAAAAATGCTGGGGCCAGGGTGCAGTGGCTCATGCCCGTAATCTCAGCACTTTGGGAGGCTGAGGTGGGTGGATCACTTGAAGTCTGAAGTTCGAGATCAGCCCTGCAAACATGGTTGAAACTCTCTAGTAAGAATACAAAAAACTAGCTGGGTGTGGTGGTGCATGCCTATAATCCCAGCTAATCAGAGGCTGAAGCAGGAGGATCCCTTGAACCCAGGAGGCAGAGGTTGCAGTGAGCCAAGATTGCACCACTGGACTCCAGCCTGGGCAACAGCAAGACTGTCTCCCAAAAAAACAAACAAAACAAAACAAAAAATGCTGGGTGTGGTGCCACATGCCTGTAGTCTCAGCCACTCAGGAGGCTGAGGCAGGACAATTTCTTGAGCCCCGGAGGTGGAGGCTACAATGAGCCACTGCACTCTAGCCTGGGTAACAAACCAAGACCTTGTCTGATAAACCAAACCAAAAAAAAAAAAAAACATTCTGGGGCTGGGCGTGGTGTCTTACACCTGTAATCCCAGCACTTTGGGAGGCCCAGGCAGGCAGATCACTTGAGGTCAGGACTGCGAGACCAGCCTTACATGGAGAAACTGTCTTTACCAAAAATACAAAATTAGCCAGGTGTAGTGGTGCATGCCTGTCATCCCAGCTACTCAGGAGGCTGAGGCAGGAGAATCGCTTGAACCTGGGAGGTGGAGGTTGCAGTGAGCGGAGATCACCCTGTTGCACTCCAGCCTGGGCAACAAGAGCAAAACTGTTTTGTTTTTTTGTTTGTTTGTTTTTGTTTTTTAAATTCTGTTCCTACTTATTCTAAACCAGAAGTTATAGTCAAGAGTGGGGCTGTGAGTACAAGAGGTCCTGGCTTCACCAAGCCTATGCCGACTGTGGCTCACATCTGAACTTTCTCATGTAACAACTGACCCCTTATATAGGTGTGTAAAATGAACTGAGGCATTTGAGTGCCCCAATTCTCTAAACACCTGCTGACCTCTTCCCTGGGTCCTAGGGACACAGGCCCTGCATGCTCCAATTGTACATGGGTGTCTTCTAACTTGATCAGCTCAGTGTGGTCCGGCAGGGGTGAGTAACGGTAAGAAGCTGCTTTGAGGAGGAGTTGAGATACAAAAGATGCGCAGCAGTCAACTGACAAAGCGGGGGTGGGGAGAGTGTTTCAGTGGAGGCAGCAGCCATGTGTTGTATCCAGGTGACAAGAGGCCAGAATAATCGAAACGTAGAAACTAGAGAAGTTGACAATCCCAGACCTTGGCCAGGCAGGATTTTATCTGGCTGTTGAGAAACAGCCATTGTAGGGCTAAGCAAAAGTGAGCTGGGTTTCACTGACCTGGAGGAGGCGGCTGCCTGCCTGCTACGCCTGGTCTGACCGCAGAGAGGCAGGTGGGCGGCTGGCTTTCAGGCCTCTGATCCCTGTCCAGGCCTCACCCACCCTGTCTTTCTAACAGTTGCGGATGATTGTGATGGGCAAGAACCTGGGGATCCCCAAGCCTTTTGGGCCCCAAATCAAGGGGACCTGCTGCCTGGAAGAAAAGATTTGCTGCTTGCTGGAGCCCCTGGGCTTCAAGTGCACCTTCATCAATGACTTTGACTGTTACCTGACAGAGGTCGGAGACATCTGTGCCTGTGCCAACATCCGCCGGGTGCCCTTTGCCTTCAAATGGTGGAAGATGGTACCTTAGACCCAGGCCCTGGAGCTGCCAGCTCTGCCCCAGCGTGGATGGCCCACTGTCACCATGCAACAGCATGATTCTTTGCCCAGTAGAGGAGGCTGGAGAGTCCAGGCAACAGAACCCTTTCTTCCCTGTCTGCCCCGACCGACCCTCGGACCCAGTAGGATGGCAAATGCCGCCAGCTTGAACCCCTATGGGGAAAAGATGCAAAAGTGTTCAGCCAAGTGACGTTTACTAAATAGCCAATAAAGGGCTGGTGGGTGTGAATGCATCTTGGCAGTGACCTCCTTGTTTGGGGAGGGGATAAGTGACAACTGAGGACAAGGCTGAGCTGAGATACCTATGGCCATGCTGGCCTGCTTGTGTGGGGGGAGAGACTTGGCTACATCAGTTGCTGTCCTTCCCCTCATCTCTAAATTATGTCGTGGCAGGAAGTGGTTGGACTTATCCAAATGGACTTAGATTATCCAAATGGATTTAAGATTATCCAAATGCTGCTCTGGTTTAAGCAACTGGGACAAGCTGGGTCTAGAGTCCAGGGCCCAGGCTAGAGGAAGGTCGAGGGCCTCCCCCTTGGGACTGGTAGGACCTGGAGGGGGCAGGCCCACGGTGGGGGTGGTGCCATGCACGGCAGGCAGCTGGCCTCAGCAAGTGGAGGCTCTGGTCTCCTTGGGTCTGTAGGTGTGGCCTCTTTGAGAAGGCACAGCAGGGGTGGACCTGGGCTGACCCTCAGCCTGAAATGTCCCCTCCAGGGCCCAAAGCCACATATTCCCATCTGACCACCCCTGTGTTAATGGTACAGGGATGCTGTTAAGCTTTAACTGGCGCTGTGGCTCCCACCCTGCTCCTCCTGGATGATGATGACTCTAGGACACTCTAATCCTCAGGGTAGAACCTGAGAAGGGAGCCCTGTGTCCATGTCCCACAGGGAGTTGAAGGCAGAGCTGGGCCTCAAACTAGCCCCCTTCCTAACACCTGGGGCTCTGTGGGCAGCAGGCAGGACCTGGCCAGCCTCTGCCAGCTGCTGGGGCAGTGGAGGAGGGTCATCCTAAGGAAGCGAGGCAGAAGCCAGGGTTGGGGCAGCAGGGCTGGTCTCTGGATCAGATGTGGGTTTTTATCCAAGAGCTGTGCCCTGGTGTGCCAGCTACCCCAGGACATCTTACGACATCTCGTTAACCTGCCCATGGTGGTGCAGAGTTTATGGACTACACTAGAGACCTCTTGTTGTATTCATGGCTCTGACCCCTATACCAGCCTGGGACTGACACAGACCAGGCCTTCAAATATGGGGAGGGATGGATGAGCTCATCTGCATTTTCAGATAGTCTAGAAAAGCCAAAAGAAATAGAGGACTCTGGACCCCAAGGGCTTGGGGCTCCATCTCTAGGGAAAAAGGGGAGAGGAAAGCCCTAGGGCCAGAAGGGGGACAAAAGGTTCACTCTTCCACCCCCATGGGCTTTTCCCAGGGAACTTGCCCACCTCTACCAAGGGCTGCCTTAGGGTGGATGAATTGGTCCCTCCTCTGACCCTAACTAGACCCTCACCCAGAGCTTTTCAGGTCAGCCCTGGGCCCCTCCCGCCCCACCTGCCTAAGGGTCCTGCAGGAAATCTTGGCAGCTTGACACCCTTCTCTCCTGTTACCTCCCAGGCAGCACCATCCTGATAGCACCTGGAGAAGCACCCCCCCAGCCCTGGCTGTTAGCAGACACCTGCAGCAGAGAGCTGGGTGTACTTGGCTTGCACAGTGTTATAAACGTCTCTAAGTTAGGCACTGACAATTTACTCAAAGTCTGGATTTCCAGCTCCTGCTGCCAAGTCTTTAGACCTGACCACACTGGGCCCGAGGCTGAAGACTCACTGGCCACACCCTCTAGACAAAGATGTGCTCCAACAGGCCCCAGTCCCCATCCCTCCCCACTGTGTTCCCCTGCAAAGGTCAGTGGTCATTTGGCGCCATGCTTGCACTACTGCTGTAGGGAAGGAGAGGAAATGCTCCCTGTACTGGCCAAAGGCAAGAAAACAAGGTAAGTGGGCTCTGTGCCTCAGTTTCCTCACCAGCGCAAGTGGGTAAGAGTTGTGCCTGTCTCGAGGTTGTTCTGAGGACTGGAGTTATTTACATAAAGCCCTAGAAAGACACGTGGCACCTCTCATTCCTGAAGGCTGGGAGACCACATCTCTGTAGAAGTAAACAAAACCCTCCATTGCCTGCATAGCAGACACGGGGCCAGGCGCAGTGGCTCATGCCTGCAATCCCAGCACTTTGGGAGGCTGAGGCAGGTGGATCATTTGAGGCCAGGGCTTCAAGGCCAGCCAGGCCAACATGGGGAAACCCCGTCTCTACTAAAAATGCAAAAATTAGTCGGGGCATTGTGGCATGCACCTGTAATCCCAGCTACTTGGGAGGCTGAGTGGCTGAGTTGAGAGAATCACTTGAACCCAGGAGGCAGAGGCTCCAAGATCATGCCACCGCACTCCAGCCTGGGCAACAGAGTGAGACTTCGTCTCAAAAAAAAAAAGAACAAAAATCACAGGAAATGCTGGCGGGGTGGGGGGTGGGTGGGAGAGTGCTGGGGACCCAGTGTGGGGGCAGCTGAGGGTTTTGGAGATTCCAGCCCTCCCATGTGCCTCCCAACCTGCAACAGGCCATCTTTTAGTTCTCTAGAGGCACCGAGTCCTCTCCCCTCCAGGCTGCTTCAGTGCCCAGAATGCTTTTAGCAGGGGGCGACCCCCATTTCCCTTCCAAAGCCTTGAAGGGGCTGTTCCTGTCTCCCCTTCCCTCCTCCCTGCATCCCTGCCTACTGAGTCCTCCCAGTCTGGAGAGTGGGCTCCATTGCTATTGTCTGGTGTGAACACCAGCTAAGCTGGATCCTGAGACCCTCCAGCTTGACCATCCCGCGTGGCGCTTCCGCAGGTCCCCGCCCTTCAATGTGGGGCTGGGGCAGGTGTTCGGGGCAAAGCAGGGCTGGGTAGGAACCGGCAAGTCCCCTTCCCCATTCGCCATCCTTCCAGCCCTTTTCACTCTTCCCTGGGAGCTTAAGGAGCCGCTTAGTGTGGAGGACATTGGCCAGAAAGGCTGCTGGCTTGACGGGGCAGGACAATAGCAGGAGGCAGCAGCTTTGCAGGTGAGAAAACCCCAGAGCCAAAGGCCGGGCACGGTGGCTCATGCCTGTAATCCTAGCACTTCGGGAGGCTGAGGTAGTGGGAGGAATCACCTGAGTTCAAGAGTTCAAGACCAGTCTGGTCAACATGGTGAAACCTCATCTCTACTAAAAATACAAAGAAATTAGCCGGGTGTGGTGGCCTGTGCCTGTAATCTTAGCTATTCAGGAGGCTGAGGCAGGAGAATTACTTGAACCTGGGAGGAGGAGGTTGCGGGGAGCCAAGATTGTGACACTGCACTCCAGCCTGGGGGACATTAAAAAAAAAAAACCTCCAGAGCCGCCCGTGGGGAGCCTGCCTTCTCTGCCCCCCCGACTTCAGGAGGCTTCTCCCATCCCCCAGCCACAGGCCTGGCAGGCCCCGGCTGCTCTGTATTGGCCACCTACACTGCCCCTGGAAGGGCAGGTGAAGGTCTCCTGGATGTTCTCGAAGCTCTCAAGACAGCCCCTCCAGGGTGGCCACAGGTCACATGGGCTCCCTGTCCTCAGCCAGGGGCAGGCTGGGGGAGCAGGGGAGGCCATCTTTGTTACTAGGATCTTTGTGGTTCCAGGCACAGGTCTTCCTACCCGCCCCACTGTGTCCCTCAGCCAAAGCCATTTTCTCTCTGCACCCCACTTCCCTCTATAACACAGGAATAAAAAACAAACAGCCTTCCCTTCAAGACTGCCTGTGTGGCCGGGCGTGGTGGCTCACGCCTGTAATCCTAGCACTTTGGGAGGCTGAAGCGGGCAGATCACTTGAGGTCAGTTTGAGACCAGCCTGGCCAACATGGTGAAACCCCGTCTCTACTAAAAATACAAAAATTAGCAGGGCGTGGTGGCACTTGCCTGTAATCCCAGCTACTCAGGAGGCCGAGGCAGAATTGCTTGAACCCAGGAGGCAGAGGTTGCAGTAAGCAGAGATCACACCACTGCACTCCAGCCTGGGCGACAGAGCAAAGCTCCATCTCAAAAATACAAGACCGAGCGCGGTGGCTCATGCCTGTAATCCCAGCACTTTGGGAGGCGGCCAAGGTGGGAGGATCACGAGGTCAGGAGTTCGGGACCAGCCTGGACAACATGGTGAAACCCCATCTCTACTAAAAATACAAAAATTAGCCAGGCATGTGGTGGACACCTGTAATCCCAGCTACTCAGGAGGCTGAGGCAGGAGAATCGCTTGAACCCAGGAGGCAGAGGTTGCAGTGAGCTGCGATTATGCCACTGCACTCCAGCCTGGGTGAAAGAAACTCAGTCTCCAAAAAGACTGTCGGAGTGGACTGCAGGAGTCAGGGGCGAGACACACGACACTCAATTTGCAGCATGTGCCCAATACACAACAGCCAGTGTGTCAGCAGGGACGCTGCCCCCAGCAGTGGCTTCCCTGCCCACGGGGGCTCTTCCAGGGCAGGAGCATCTGATGGGAAGCTCCAAGCTGCCAAGGGGGGAGATGGGGAAACACCGTGTTTTACATTTGGACTGTCCTGCAACAGTGCACATGCTCCTTCTGCAGCTAACAGGCCATGGGAGACCGTTTCCTCCTCTCCCAAACTGGGCCAATGCCTGCCAGGAGGGGCTGGTCTGGACACTATTCAGCCAGTCAACACAAGGTGGCCTGCACTCGAGGTTCCAGGGATCCCAGGCATCTTTGCGGCTGCAGGGAGCCGGTGTCCTGTGCAAGGGTCTGGTCTAGGACTCTGCCCGGTATAGACTCAGCAGCAGCCTAGAAGGGAGAGTGTCCGTGATCTCTGAACCTACGACCAGCCTCCTGGTGCCCTCTGGTGGGCAGTTGGCCACAATGCCTGCACAGAGCAGCACTGGCCTGAAGCCACAGCCGGGGCCTGACCAGAGCCCCCTGCTGAAGTCTGGGGAGTGGGTGCACATGCAGTCACCGCGCTGGATGCCTCCCATGACTTATTTTTTTCCTCTCAAAGCCCCAGTGAAAATGCAAAGAACTCCACTTCTGAATTGGACAACTGAGGTACTGACTCTGTCCCACTCCCCTAGCATTTCATGGGGCAGAGTTGGGGGATCCACTCACTTCAACCAGTGCAGTTTAAACCTGGAAGCTCCCCTGGGGCCACATGTCTCCTGGCACCACCTTCTGTGGGTGCCAGGGCTTAGGAGGTACACATATAAGGAGTTAAGAAAAACAGAGCTCCGTTCCAACCGAAAAAGAAATGCAAAATCCAAGACAGTAGACAATGTTGTTGTTTATTTAAAATGTTTACTCCAAGAAATATATATATAAAAAAAATAATAAGACAATTACAGCACTAAACCAGGCACCTTCGACCAAATCACAACCTCCTCTTTGATTCCCCTTCACGCTAAGCCTCTTTCAAATTCTTTTTCCTGAGCTGGAAGACCAGTCAGATGCCCGCAGGGTCAGCGCCAAGCACATTCCCAACCGGGCAACTGTGTACCTTTCTCTAGGAGTGCACGACACCCTTCCCCCACAACTCCTTGTTTTAAAGGATTTAACCCATTAGGAAGCCCATTTTTCAATCTAAGCCAGAAGGAGCTGCGGGACAAGGCAGTCTTCACTTTGAAGGTCCCTTTCCTGCTCCAGTCCCTGGGCTAGGGTTCTAGAAGAGGCTGGCTGCCACGTTTACATGAGGCCACCGAAGATCTAAGTCCAGCTAAGCCCAGGGAGGCTCCTGCAAAGGCTGGGACCTCGGGTGCTGCGTCCTCAACCCTCTCGGTGACCACGGCTCAAAGGAGAGACCTCAAGGGTGCCAGGAGCACAGGTGCCTGGGCTGCATTCCAGGAAAGAGACCTGTCCAGGGAAACGGATCAGGCTGTCGCATGGAAGCTTACGTCAGAGATGGTGGTTTTGGGGTGATTTGGACAAATTAGGTTAGTTTAGCAAAGCTCTGAAGTAGCAGAAGCTTCTCCCCTGGACTACTGATTGAACACAGAACAAGAGATGCGCGTGGCGTCAGACTAAGTCTTAGAGAGATGCAGGCCAGTCTCCTCCCACAGGGCCTTGGGACTGGCAGGACAGACACTGCTACATGCCCTCCAAGGGCAGGAGTCACGGTAAGGAGCGACTGGGGTGGAAAATAGGGAAAAAAGCAACAACAACTACATCATTTTTGGCATTTTAACATGGAGACAGTGACAAGTGGTAACAAAGCAAAAGAAAAAAAAAACTTGAAGAGACCAATATTTAACTTTCCCATCCACCCAAGTCTCACACTTAAGTTCTAGTCCCATCTCCCCCATAAGCACCACTGAACTAAATATCTATTTTAAAGCACCCAAACCAGTCCAGACCCTCTGGAAACCAAGAGCCCCAGCCACAGCTGTCGCCTCTCTTGGGTCCAGGCGAGAGGAGGGTTCCGGGAAAGGCACCTCATAACTCACTCAGCGCAGCACACACGGCGGCGAGCTCGGGCACTTGACGAGGACGCAGGTGGCAGTCACAGCATCCGTGCTGACACGCAAGGAAGGGGACTCTTCGGTAATCCCAACTATTTGGTACCAGAGCCAAGCAAACGTGACTAAAGGGAGCTGGGTCAGCAGAACGGTACCCCGAGTCTCAGCAACAGGACGGCCCGCGCGAGGCAGGATCCAGGCGGGGGGGAGAAAAAGAGACCAAAGCACAAGGCGATCGAGGCTGGCACAGAAAGGGCTGATCCTTCTTGCAAGGACTGGAGAATGCACTTGACTGCTGGCTGGTCCATCTCTTAATTGGCGAGTGCGCGTGACAAGGCTCAGCCCTGGCTCCACAGGGAGCCACCAAGCTGACTCAACTGATACAAATGTTCCCACCTCTGCCCCACCCCCAAGTCCCCATGGTTCCACAATCACCTGATTTTCATTTGGACCTCTTTAACAGCTAAAGTAGATATAAATGGCTAAACACAGATCCCCAATCCCCCACCAGGGGGGACACGGCCGATTCTATAATGTCGCAGCCAGAAGGCTGTGGGCGTACAGGCAGCCAAGGGGAGAAACAGAACCGACACCGGCCTAGGCCCATCTGCAAGAAAAAGCGGAGAAGGAGTGACCCGGATGCTTCCGAAGCACGCGAGCGTGATTTTGGATGGAGGCGGGCCGGTGACTGCCTAGCTGCTGCCGGTTCCTGTAAGGGACATTTTTTCTGAGTAAATGGCGATTCCTCTTCCATGTGGCATCTGCTTGGATCACGATGCTAATTGTAACTGGAAAGGGGTGTTTTGGGGAGTGTATTCAGGAGAGGAAGAAAGAAAAAACTTAAAAAAAAAAAAAACCTAGATTGCTCAAAGTTTCTGCCTCTTTTGTAGGAATGGTAAATCAACTATGAGCAAGTATTTTAATTCAACATTAAGGGAAAAAAAAGGACTTTGGAAAGCATACAGAAAAAAAGGTAGTTAACGTTGGATCATGTGTAAAACGGAACCTCAGGGAGTCTAAACAAAAATGCACCTTCGGTCAACTTTTGCTTTTTTAAATTCCTCGTTTGACTTCCCGTCCCAGTGCACATGGAAATGACAGCTGCCGCGAGAGGTGTGGAGTCGGAGGAGTCTCCGGGAGCATCAGAGGGTTCGGGGGTTGTATTCTGGCAGTTTCTTGATCTTCTCTTTCTCAGTCTCACTTTCATCTCTTGCTATCACCAAGGAGTGTGAGTAGCCCATGGCGACCTGGGGGGACAAATCAGCGTTGGGTGTGCCTGAGGCGCCTGGACTAATCAATGCGTTGAAGAGACTCTGGAAACTGGGCTGCTAAAGCGGGTCAGCATGGAGAAAAACAGAGTGCCCTTGAAAACTGCAAAAAGCCCCTCTGCCCAAGACAGCTAGTTTCCATGTGACTGCCACCAACGCTCTGCCAATCAGAGCCTTCCAGGCTGCCCTGGGAGACCCAGCTGGAAGGAAGCCCACTGGGCCACCTCTTATCAGCAGGGACAGGTGGGGACATGGCTCCAGCTCCACTTCCATCCCCCCCCTCTCTGGCTCACAATCCTGCCTGGGTGAGGTGCACCACCCCTCTCTGTGTCTTGGCAGACAGGGCCAGCAGGCTGGCTGACTGAGCCGCAGGGGCCTCACCCCGCCATCTGACTCCTGCAGCCACGCAGCCTCTACTCTGTGGACCTGCGGACCTGCCTCCAGCCCAGTGGATCTGAGTCCTGGGTGTGATGGAGACGCGAGCGATGTGCTCGCCCGAGAGTGGATCTGCTGCGGCCAGTTGGTGCCATCTGTCATCAAGGGTGAGGACAGCCACCCAGCCTGGCCAGCAACCCTGTGCACTCTCTCCTGCAGAATGATTGTTACCTCTCAAACAAATCTTAGCGTGAGACACCAGGAAAGCCAGCTGAGATGGTAAACAAGACAACCCAAACAGACTGCGATGATCAAAATCATGAGGAGTGACATACCACTGGGTACGGACACGTCCCCGAGCTGGCACAGCTGCCCCCACTCACCTGCTCTGAGAAAATGCCATCCAGAGTCTTTACCTCCTGGGCTGCAGTGGAAGACTTGGGCTTGTGGTCCCCGTAGCCCTGGCGAAGCAAACAAGATGTTCGCAATCGAGGATCCATGTGGCTCAGTCCACAAGTGGGGAATCACGGCAACATTTCCTGGCCCCCACTAACCAGAAGCCAGTGATGATGCCCTCTGGCCCATGACAAGCCCGGCCACCCTTGCACACAAGGGCCAGGTGGAATCATCCAAGTTTATCCACAAAAGGTGCCACCAGCAGGCGACTAGCGCTTAACCTAAGGAAGACCAAGGTGCCCAACTCTAGCCTGCAGGACTTCTGTGTGCACAAGTCCCTTCTGGGGAGTATGGCACTGGTGACAAGAGATGACACCACGAGTGCAGGAAGAATGGCAACTGCGGCCCTTCAGGACCAAAGCGACCAAGAACACGGGCTGACCAAATGCCCTTGATGCCTCCACCATCCAGAGTGGAATAATCACCATCCAAAACAAAACAAAATAAAAGGGCTTAAGCGTGACAGGGAGACTATTAGCAATGGCACCAGAGAACCAGTTTCCCTCCCAGAGGTAGAAGGAACTGGATGAATTGGCGCAGCTAAGGGGGAGTCTTGTGCAAAGGTGTGGAGCTGGGCAATTGAAAGACTGAAGGCCCTGGCTCAGGTGAAACAGAGGGTCCCACAGGGCGGGAGAGGAGGACCCTCCCTCCCCAGCCCAGGCCTGCCCACATGTCCCTGGTTTCATCTCCTGCCAGGCCCCACCTCGGGCCTTCCCACACAGTAGATGTTCCCTCCAAGGTGCCAGGCCAACTTCTCACCCTTGAGAAGCTCCCCAAAAAGTCTCCCTTGCTCCCCTCTAGTTTCAAAATTTATATTTAGAAGGTCAAAGTCTATTTCTGATAGGCCCCAGAAAACATCCTTCCTCCTCTAAGAACTATCTGTAGAAACTGGGCCAGGCTCTGTCTCTTTCCTGTCAATGTTTCAAATCGGGCCACCAGAGCATCTGAGCCAGACTCCAAGGGTGTGCAGAGCCCCGAGAAAAAGGTGCATTCACCATCCATCCCAGCCACAGCTCAAGGGACCAAGGAACGCCCTTCCTTCCCCTCCTCTCCATCAACCACAAGAGTACCTTGCAACCACAAGAGTGCAGGAGAGGGAGACAGACTGTGCTTCTAACAAGAAATAAGGGACTAAAACTAAGACCACCAAGAGTTAAGCGGAGAATCAAACCATGACTAGTGTAGGCAGATCAGGATGCACTCCACAGCCAAGCTAGTCTTCCTAACAAAAACTCAAAGACCCGCCTTGGCCAGGTGCAGTGGCTCACGCCTGTAATCCCAGCACTTTGGGAGGTTGAGGCGGGTGGATCACCTAAGGTCAGGAGTTCAAGACAGCCTGGCCAACATGGTGAAACCCCATCTCTACCAAAAATACAAAAATTAGCTGGGCGTGGTGGCAAACGCCTAGAGTCCCAGCTACTCAGGAGGCTGAAGCAGGAGAACTGAGAATCATTTGAACCTGGGAGACAGAGGGTGCAGTGAGCCAAGATCGCGCCACTGCACTCCAGCCTGGGTGACAGAGAAACTCCATCTCAAAAAAAAAAAAAAAAAAGACTCACCTAGCACCAGGATCTAAGAATGAAAGACATTTGTTTGCGGAAGGCCACGTGTGTGAAATTGAGGGTCATGAGTTCTAACCTCATCACTCAAGTAACTGGTATTAACAACAGAAACACAGGTTTAAACTCAATTTGGAAAAATGAAGAATGTCCTCAAATCACCCACAACTGTGAGTTTCCCACTGACTTAGGCCTCCAGGGGAGAGGGAACAAACAGGCCCTTTTCCTACCATAACCCAACTGTGGTTTACAAAATGTGAGGGGAAACCGGATCTGAAAAGTCCCAATTTTCAGAGTTTACAAATGTGCAGAGATGACTCAGAATTATCTGACTAGCACAGAATTGTCCTTGAAAACTCATGGGACTCAATCGTGTTGCAAACCTTAATACAATAAGGGGGGAATCCCAAATGTTTTTCTTCTGTGTGTTTTGGGAGACAGGTGGAGAGAACCCAAAGGCCATGAGCCACCCTGACTGGCTTCCACTTCCCCTGACCCGCACAGGTGACAGCTTACCAGTTCCCCAAAGGTCGGTGACGGACCCCAGCTGATGGTGCTCTCATCGGCGGCCACAATGATGCTGCTCTTCCTGCAAACAGGCAGGCTGTCACTGCAGGGCCAGCAGCCCCAGACCTGCACCCACGCAGCTATGGCTCAAGGGCATGAGTGTGAGCTGCCACTTTTCCCTTGGCGTACTCATTCCAAGTAGCAAACACAATAACAGGGCCAACAGGTTTCTCCTCAATCCTAAGATTGTTCCGTGCAGGCCACTCAACGCTTCAACAAAACAACAAAGCCCTTAGACAGGCCTAGGGGCCAAAGGCAGGGGACCTTGCTGTGCATCCTGCACAGCTCTCTCTCAGTGGGAGGTCGCTTTGGGAAGAGGAGACCAGATCAGGATAAAGTGAAAGCCTGTTCCAGAGGGAGCAGCCTTCATGCATAATGATTTGGGCAGGGCTAGAGCCTTCAACAGATTAAAGCCACGCCGACAGAGGCCCCTCATACTGTTCCACCCACACCTGCCAGCTGATAAATCCAACTCCTCAGCAAGAAGTGCTAGCTAACTCAACAGGTGTCCTGAAATGAACTACAAACCACTGCTGCCAAGACAATGTCGTCTTCCCAGTGTCACAGCAACTCAAGTCCTGCTACGTTTCCAACTACGTATAATTTTCAACCTGCAGCGTAGGAATACATCAAGCTCTGCTTGTTTATTTCTTTGAACAGAAACCTTCAAAATGACTTTCTTCCCACAAGACAGGGAACAGCCATCTGTTCTAGCAGCAAATGGGCCCTCTCCCCTCCTGTACCCCCGGACTCTGGGATTCAGTGTGTCAGATGGCCTGCTGAGGACAGCCCAACAGGCAGCAGAAACAGAGCCCCATCAGGGAGGGGCACCCCATGGGTGTGTCTGACACCCCCATGAAAGGAAGAGACCTCATACCCACAGGAGATGCTGCCACCTACCCACAAGCCAGGCTCCGGATTCTCCAGCCGCAGAGGTCCTGCACTGCTTTTGGGTACATGGTAGATTCACGGGAGGTGTTGGTGGCCCCCCAGAAAAACAGACCACCTAAGGGAAGACAAAACATGTTCCCAGCGTGACCAGACATCGAGAGCTGAGTCTCATCTTCAGTATTATCAGGGTGAAAAGAGGACGGGATGGCAAACAAGTGTTCTGTCTAAAAGATAACTGGAGCCAGGCGTGGTGGCGTGCCTGTGCAGTCCTAGCTACTCAGGACGCTGTGGTGGTAGGACTGCTTGAGCCCAGGAGTTCGACACCGGCCTGGACAACACAACGAGTTCCTGTCTCAAAAAAATAAAGAACACTGGGAGGTAAAGAGAATTGGGGTTCGTGGTCTAGGGACAGGACAATGGCTACACGGTTCCGCACCAGAGCACTGATAAGCCAGGGGGCAGAAATCACTAACCCACTTCACTGACAGCAAAGGAGCAGGTGTAACCAGCATAGATCTGGGAAGCCCCACGCCCAGGGAAGTCAAACAGCTTCACCAGGCGGGGGACCATCTCATCCTTCTGCTCTGCGTGGCCCAGCCGGCCATAGCCACCAAAGCCCCAGGAGAAGACTCGCTTCTGGGAGTCCAGGACCAGCTGCAAGGAAAGAAAACACAGGGTTGGAACAAACAGACTTCCAACAGGCAACAAGAGGGGTCATCGTTTCTGTGCAGACAACCTGGTGCAAATGCTAAGGGCAAAGGAACAGCAACATTCAAGATCCCCTACCAGCCGGGCACGGTGGTTCACATCTAATCCCAACACTTTGGGAGGCCAAGGTGGGTGGATCACTTGAGGTCAGGAGTTTGAGACCAGCCTGGCCAACATGGTGAAACCCTGTCTCCAAAAACCAAAGAAATATCCTTTGCCTGCCTCCAGCAGAAAGATCCTCTACCTCCCGCCTCCAGCAGTGGGGGAGGAGGCAACAGGAGCAAGTGTAGCAAAATGGCATGCATTCAATAAGCCCAGTTTGCTATTTTCTCTGCCAGGGACTCCATTTTCCAATCCTTTTTTGTTCTGTTTATTTATTTAAGTTACAAGTCTTAACCCTTTCCTTAATCAGAAGCAACAGGGCTATGTCTCCTGAGAGTTGGGCAATCATTTGATTCCCACTACAACAGAGATTCGGCCAGATGCAGTGGCTCATGCCTGTAATCCTAGCACGTTGGGAGGCTGAGGCAGGTGGATTGCCTGAACTCAGGAATTCAAGACCAGCCTGGGCAACATGGTGAAACCCATCTCTACTAAAATACAAAAAAATTAGCTGGGCACAGTGGTGTGCACCTGTAATCCCAGCTACTCAGGAGGCTGAGACAGGAGAATCTCTTGAACCTGGGAGGCGGAGGCTGCAGTGAGCCGAGATAGCGTCACTGCACTCCAGCCTGGGTGACGGAATGAGACTCCATCTCAAAAAAAAAAAACAAAACGAAACAAAAAAAAAAACACAACAAAAAAAAAACAGATTCAATTGCAGAAAGAACAGAAAAGGCCTACCTGTTCCTGGATTTTTCGTTTCTTTTCCCCCCCTCGAGAGGGTCTCGTGCTCTGTTACCTAGGCTGGAATGCAATGGCACGATCACGGCTCACCACAACCTCCACCTCCTGGGCTCAAGCGATTCTCCTACCTCAGCCTCCCAAGTCGCTAGGACTTGGGTGTGCACCACCATGCCCAGCTGATTTTTGTGGTTTTTTTGTAGAGATGGGGGTCTCACCATGTTGCTCAGGCTGGTCTCAAATGATCTGCCCACCTTGGCCTCCCAAAGTCCTCTGATTACAAACATGAACCACTGCGCCCGGCCTGGATTTTTCTTTAGACTTCCCTCACCCACAGGTACAGAGGTAACCTGTACCTGGTCACTGATGAAATGAACTCAGAGACACTTCAAGTGTTTAAGATTTATCTTCTTCAGTCTCGTTTTCCCATCTTCTGACATGCCAATTCAGTTCTTTGATGTTTCATGTCTAAACCATGGGAATCTACAACTTACTAAAAAACTTGGCCTATAAGGCCCTAAACAAGAGCCAACTTTATTTCCCCTGACTACATCAGACAAAACAAATCAGTTTTTGGACTTGCACAAACTGAAATCTCCTACCCTAGTCCTAGCCCAATTCCCTGGGCATTCTTCATCGGCAAGAAGATTCCAAGGGAAGGAGGTGGTGAGCTGAGACCACTCAGTGGGGAGGACCAACTTGATCTCTGGAATCCTAGCCCAGGCTTTTTCAACAAAGCATAGAACAAAGAGACTCCTAGGCATTCTCAGACAGAAGAACCACAGGAAGGCCATTAAAATTAAAAGATACACTAACAGCCGGGCGCGGTGGCTCACACCTATAATCCCAGCACTTTGGGAGGCCGAGGCAGGTGGATCACGAGGTCAGGAGTTTGAGACCAGCCTGGCCAACATGGTGAAACCCCATCTCTACTAAAAATACAAAATTAGCCAGGAATGGTGGCAGGTGCCTCTAATCCCAGCTACTCAGGAGGCTGAGGCAGGAGAATAGCTTGAAACAGGAAGACAGAGGTTGCAGTGAGTTGAGATCCCACCACTGCATTCCAGCCTGGGTGAAAAAGTGAAACTCCGCCTCAAATAAAAAAAAAAAAGATACACAAACAAAAGATTGCACTGCAGTTTATCTAAAGTGACCTTTAAAGAAACAACCTAGGCCAGGCGTGGTGGCTCACACCTGTAATCCCAGCACTTTGAGAGGCCGAGGTGGGCAGATCACCTGAGGTCAGGAGTTTGAGACCAGCCTGACCAACATGGAGAAACCCTGTCTCTACTGAAAATACAAAACTAGCCGGGGCATGGTGGCGCATGCCTGTAATCCCAGCTACTCGGGAGGCTGAGGCAGGAGAATTGCTTGAACCTGGGAGGTGGAAGCTGTGGTGAGCCGAGATCACGCCATTGCACTCCAGCCTGGGCAACAAGAGTGAAACTGTCTCCAAAAAAAAAAGGGGGGGGGGGCGGGGGGGACAACCTACTGATTAAAAACGACTCACATCCCCAGTATGGGGCACCATCTACTGACCTGGAAAGATGTCTGTGATGTTATGTTAGATAAAAGCCAAAAGCAGAAAGTGCTTACCTTAAGGTGCAGGTGAGGGCGGCAAAACATCTACGTGTTTAAGATGTGTCTATTTAAATCACGGGAGAAGTTAACATAGGAGGCAGTGACAGGGAACCCTGCCCTGGGACCAAGGACCCTTTGGCCAAGGTGCAAAGCCCTCTTGAAGAAGCAAGCAGATGTCTACCTGGGATCAGTTCCTAGCCAAAGCCAAGCGTCAGGAAACTTGAGCATAAACACCCCTTCCATCCTGGTGCGACTCTCAGGAAGTGAGAAAAGCCGAGCCTCACCGTGTGGTTAGCGCCACAGGCCACGTCTCGTACAACCACGTTTGGTACAGGCAGAATCTGTCCATCTTTCGTCTTCTCAATGAAGATGGCCACTCGCCGGGGAACTAGTTCACAGTCGTACTCTATCCGCTGTGCCCGGGCGATGAACTTCCCATCTGAGTTGTGTCCTGTAGAGACCACAGAGCCGGCCATCAGCAGCAGCACAAGCACAAGGGACGTGTCAGTGTGCTCACACGGACTCTGTAGTGAGCCCCGGCAGCACCCCAATCTGGCCCTTCTGGGCCTTAGACCAGCACACGTTGGTCAACAAAGGCAGCATTTCCAATCTTAGGCACAGCACAGTGAGTGGGTCAGTGAAATCAATTTTGTGAGCTAAGACCAGTTATTTTTTAAAAACGAATAGAACAGAATGACAAAGAATACTCTACACATAATAATGGCACCATGTTACAACAATTCCAGGTAAGGTATTATACGTTCAGATTGGGTTGCAAAAGAAAACTTATTTCTTACAATGGGTTGCAGTCAAAAAAGTTGAAGCTGCTGATCAAGGAATGGTCTATCAAGTAAGATCTCTACCCCACTGGAGGGACCACAAGGAGCCCCTAAAAGACCAAGAATAGACAGAAAAGCTCCATACACAATCCCAGGCCTCTGTTTTTATGAATTACCAGTAACCTAAACGTATGGTTACGGGTGGCTAAAGCCTGCAATTCCCACACTCCGAATGACCCAGGGACTGGTTCGCAAAGACCCAGCTCAGCACACCACACACCAGAAGCCCGGCTGCTCCAGTCCTGAGAACACGCCAGACACCCAAGCTCCTGCAGCCACCTGCAGCAGCAGGGCTGCTAAGTAGTTTATAGTTTTAAACTGCTCCTGTTCCCACACTGTGATCATCAGTTTGGTTGGGCACGGTGGGCCACGCCTGGAATCCCAGCACGTTGGGAGGCCGAAGTGGGTGGATCACCTGAAGTGAGGTGTTTGAGACCAGCCTGGCCAACACAGTGAAGGCCTGTCTCTACTTTAAAAAACAAAAACAAACAAACAAAGATTAGCTGGGCGTGGTGGTGGGTGCCTATAGTCCAGCTACTTGGGAAGGCTGAGGCAGAAGAATCGCTTGAACCTGGGAGGTGGAGGTTGCAGTGAGCAGAGATCATGCCACTGCACTCCAGCCTGGGCGACAGAACAAGTTTCTGTCTCCAAAAAAAAACAAACAAAAAAACTTGTTGTTATCAGTTTGTAAACTAGCCCCCGGCTTGTGGCTAATCCCCCTCCATACGGCACGCTGGTGTGCACCTCAGCCCTTATTGGTATGTGTGTTTTTGAGCACTGTGCTATTTAAATACAGTCAGCCCTCCATGGCCACAGGTTCAACCAACAGTGGTCCAAAAATATCTGGGGGGAGGAGGAAACAAGGAAAAAAAAAAGATAATACAAACAATACAAGTAAGACCATACAGTAGAACTACTTACATAACATTTACATCACATTAGGTACTGAAGTAATCTAGAGATGATTTTAAGTGTACAGGTTACATGCAAATACTATGCCATTTTATATAAGGTACTTGAGCATCTTAAGATCTTGGTATCCACAGGGGGTACTGGAAGCAATCCCCCAGGTTACCAAGGAGCAACTGCACCCTGGAATCACAACTACGCTACACACAATAAAACTCCTGGGCTTGTTTACAGGGCGCCTTATAACACTCATCTCATAAGCAGGTTCTATTTTTTTTTTTTTTTTTTTGAGACAGAGTCTCGCTCTGTCGCCCAGGCTGGAGTGCGGTGGCATGATCTCTGCTCACTATCACTGTCTTATGACAGCAGTTCTCTACTGTTGACATAATCCCTTCCAGTGGAACATCTGTCCGTTTAAAAGTCTGAGGGTCTTGGCCGGGCGCGGTGGCTCGCGCCTGTAATCCCAGCACTTTGGGAGGCTGAGGTCGGCGGATCACGAGGTCAAGAGATTGAGACCATCCTGGCCAACATGGTGAAACCCCGTCTCTACCAAAAATACAAAAATTAGCCAGGTGTGGTGGCGCACGCCTGTAGTCCCAGCTACTCAGGAGGCTGAGGCAGGAGAATCGCTTGAACCCGGGAGGCGGAGGGTGCAGTGACCCGAGATCGCGCCACTGCACTCCAGCCTGGTGACAGAGCAAGACTCCGTATCAAAAAAAACAATAAAAGTCTGAGGGTCCCCACTAAGAAATTCCCCCACCTTCTAGGCTACGATGAATGTAAGAGCATCACAGTAAATAGAATGCATTTCCGGATATGTCGCTACTTTTCTCACAAAAATGGTATTTTTAAACACTTGCACTCTTCCGGACAAGGTTTCAGCAAGGCAGTCAACAAATGATTAGAGTCCTTTTATTTGCTATCGACACAGTGGATACTGAACAGACACAACTCCCAGACAGGAGAGGAGGCACATTTGGTGACTGCTTTTTCCACCTCCTTTAAAGAGCTGCACACATCTGCTTTCTCCAGAAGTACAGGACAGAAGCTACTCCAGAAAACATCGAACAGCGGGCTTCCCTGTCCCTCTAGAGGGGTGACAGCTCTTTAAAATAAAGTTAAATGGCATGGCTGGGCACGGTGGCTCATGCCTGTAATCCCAACACTTTGGGAGGCCGAGGCGGGTAGATCACTTGAGATCAAGCGTTTGAGACCAGCCTGGTCAACATGGTGAAACCCCGTCTCTACTAAAAATACAAAAAAAAGTTAGCTGGGTGTGGCAGCGGGCGCCTGTAGTCCCAACTACTTGGGAGACCGAGGCAGGAGAATTGCTTGAACCAAGGAGGTGGAGGTTGCAGTGAACTGAGATCACACCACTGCACTCCATCCCGGGTGACAGAGGGAGACTCCGTCTTTCTTATCTTGGCGTTGCCCAGCCCAGTTCAGTGCACTGCAAAAAAGGGGGCACAAGGCATGAGTGTGTGTGGATGAGACACGGCCATAGTCGGATTTAGGTTCATTCTAAAAGTGATCTATCTGGATTTGGACAACGAAACAAACACCTGCCTTAAAGCAAGTAATACGCTGAGAATAAGCGATTCTGTAGCTACAAATCAAGCCGATTTCCAAACTACCTGCAAGTTGAGTGTAACTGAGCACCTGCGAATTTGTACAAAGTGCTTACATGGTGCCTGGCACACACAGTCACTGCTCCATGAAAGTGAGCCGTTTTTATCACCAACAGCATGTCATGCTTCCTGACGGAAAATCGACTTGCCGGGGTGCAGAGGGGAGGCCAAGGCAGCAGGAGCGCGCACGTGGCAGGAAGCGGACCGCTGCTGGGCACCGCAGCAGGGCTGTGGCCATGGAAACCGCTCTCCAACTGTCTCGGGCTCCACCACGGCAACCAACGCGAAATGTGAAATGTGCGTAAGGGGCTGTTCTCTCTTATTCACTTCTGACTTGAAGTATATTTAGTTTCACAAAGTCACTGTTCCCCGAGGCTAAGGCCAGCGGGCTCGGCGCTATTTTTACCTTTTCCATCTGCCAGGCGCTGCGGCTGCAGGAGCGCGCGCGGCCAGCAGAGGGCGCCCGCGCCACACCTCGCGGAGGCCTCCCCAGAGGGGCTGGAGTGGAGGCAGAGCCACAACCGGGAAGCGCACTTCAGGGAACCGCACTTAGGGTCCGATGGGAAGGAGAATGGAGACCATCAGGTCGGAAGACACTCCCCCCACTAACTGAGAACTGATGCCTGAATTCTCCTTTTCCACCAATGAGATCGAAGAAACAAGTTTCTGGACAACTAGATTCTGGCTAGGGATGACGCACGGGGAGGGGGTCCACCAGGGCTCCTCACGTGGCAACCCGAAATAATCGCCCAGGCCAGGGTTTCCAGAACAACGTTCATTTTCCGTAATTTTCTCATTTTCAATAAAGGCATAATCTTTAAATGTGAAATTGAATGAAGGTGGTCTGATTTTTTTTTAACTTTGAAATCCCTTTATATAAATGAATTCCCAAATCAGAAAAAAAGAAATCTTTTGTAGGACTCCAGTCCCAACTTTTCCATTGAGGCAGTGTTGCAATACTCCATAATCCTGTGAATGAGGACGCGCTGTTCTGCTGAACGTGAGATCCACTTAACGGACAAAGGCTATTATCTGAGATCAATTACCCACATTTCTAACACGTGTGTGCAGCCCCACACTGATCTCTAGTTCTGAATATATACAGTTAGATTACAGAGCTTTTAAAAAATGTACTTCCATACCCAGCTGACCATATTCAGGGCACCCAAAGGAATAGAGGTTTCCTTTGCAGTCCATTATCATACTGAATTCAGCCCCACAGGCCATTTTGGTAATTGGCTGGCCGTTGTACATTATCTGAAAAGACAAGAAAGGAGACTTTCATTTTTTTTAAAGACTGATAAAAAGCCTCTACCTCTCTGCATGTTGGTGGGAAACAATTACTAGGTTACAAACGGAAGTTTAATAAACTCAGTAATTCTGAAGGCAAAAGCTGAAGGCATTTCTAGAACACAAAGCTTAGAAGATATGTAAAGAAGCACCCTCAGACCCCCACCCTCCCAGCACAGAGCAGTTCAAAGCCTAGCCACTGTCTCTTTAAGATCAATAAAACCAAGTCCCTCCCTTCCTTCATCACCTAGACCACTAATTAGGCACTTAGCATTCTTCTGCCTTTAGTAGTAGTTTGTTTTTAAGGTATAAATCTCACCCCTCCAACTCAAGTTTCTTAGAAAAAAAAAGACTGCCTATCTCCTGGGCGCGGTGGCTCACACCCAGCACTTTGGGAGGCCGAGGCAGGCAGATCAGGAAGTCAAGAGATGGAGACCATCCTGGCCAACATGGTGAAACCCCATCTCTACTAAAAATACAAAAATTAGCCAGGCGTGGTGGAGCATGCCTGTAGTCCCAGCTACTCGGGAGGCTGAGGCAGGAGAATCGCTTGAATCCGGGAGGCAGAGGTTGCAGTGAGCTGAGATCGCGCCACTGCACTCTAGCCTGGCAACAGAGCGAGACTCTGTCTCCCCTCCAAAAAAAAAAGACTGCCTATCTCGTATTTGTATTCTAAGCATCTGGCTGGTGACTTTATACAAGGTCAAAACAAAGTATTTGGGGGAAGTACAATTACATCCATATAACATCACTCACTTTCTTTGGAACAGAACAGGCTTACGACAAGGCATTTCTAACAGATTTCTCCATTTGGAAACAAAATGTTTTCAGGATGGTTTTCAACCCGACCACAAACTAAGCCTGTTTTAAAAACTATAGCAAGGCTGTGTGCAGTGGCTCACACCTGTAATCCCAGTACTTTGGGAGGCCGAGGTGGGTGGATCACCTGAGGTCAGGAGTTCCAGACCAGCCTGACCAACATGGAGAAACCCCGTCTCTACTAAAAATACAAAATTAGCCAGGTGTGGTGGCACATGCCTGTAATCCCAGCTACTCCAGAGGCTGAGGCCGGGGAATCACTTGAACCCGGGAGGCGGAGGTTGCAGTGAGCCGAGATTGCGCCATTGCACTCCAGCCTGGGCAAAAAGAGTGAAACTCCGTTCTCAAAAAAAAACAAAAAACAAAAAAACAAACAAAAAAACTCTACAGCATGTAACTAAACATCCAGACCCTGTTTTTACAAGGGGTAAATTAACTCAAACGGAGACCCCACCTTAGAAAATCAAACACAAAAGTAAAGAGAAACAAAAAGCCATGGAGCCGGAGCTGAGGAGGGGTCACCTGCGCGGGGCTGGGAACAGCGTCTGTCTGGTTGCCAAGGCCCAGCTGCCCCATCTTGTTTTCCCCAAACGCAAACACGGAGCCCGTTTCTGGAAGAAAGGAAAAATATCACAAAAGGGAAGATAATGGTGAATGTTTTGAACTAGATTTAGAATCAAAGGCATCAAAATAATAAAAACAGCTCATTTGCCAGGCAGAAGGCAAGTGAGACTGCCCAAAAGCTGGCAGTGCAGACGCTTCACAGCAAAGCCATTTCACATCAGAAACTGGGTGTGCAGAGAAACAGAGGGCAGCGTCTCCTACTCCCAGATGGGCCTCCTATGGCCACTGGGGAGGCTCCCAATGCCCTCAAGAAGCCACTCCATGCCAAGGTTCTCAGGGCCTCTTTCTGATCCTGACCAAGAGTCACAAGGGGAACTCCACCACCCCACGCCCCATCCCCAAGGCAGACCACCTGGCCTCTTGCCAAACTGAGAGGAGACACCAGCAGCCACCTCCTTACCCGTCAAGGCCAAGGTGTGGTTCCGCCCACATGCTGCAGACACAATCACTTCGTGGCTAAGACCCTCGATGAGTCTAGGGGCTTCTACTCTCTTGGTGTCACCATGTCCCAGCTGCCCCTTCTCATTTCGACCTGCAGATCACATGAGAGAAAGTAGAAAAGAGAGAGGGTGGTCCAGGCGGCACCACCAGGAGAAGGCGAGTACAAACACACTCTCAAATGATGCCCATCTGTCTCTGGAAGGTACCCTCCAAATTCCCAACAGCCAAGATCCAGAGCAAAGAACGCCCCGGCCCTCTGCCCGCTGGAATGGCGCCTGCTGCAGCTCCCCGGACCTCCTTCCCTGGGGCAGCAGCGGGACCACCCGTGCACACCTCCCACGTCTCTGCTACAAAGGGAAATGAGAGGCTCAGTGTGGTAGGGACACCATGCACAGGCGGGCATGCTCGCAGAAACACGCCGTTCCCACTTAGAGTGCCTGCAAGACAACCACCCCGTCCCTACCCTCTGAGATGTATTTTAAGACAGCACCCCATTTTGACACCTGGCTCACCAGAGTTTAATCACTTTGGTGCTCTGGGCATCCACTGAGGACCATTTGGTGTCTGCCCAATATTTCTCTTCCTTTTTCTACCCTGTAAATGGTGCTCACATAACAGTGCCAATCCCACCCCTAGGGATCGCCCCTCAAGGACTCTCAGCCACAGGAACCCTGGTGACAAAGCACAGATCCACCCTCAACACAACACGCCCAGCCCCACCTCCAGGACTGCTGCAGGTGCGACCAAGGCCCTGTATCTGTGAATTCCAGCGGAAGGCAGGCCTGAGGGCCAACCCCTACCCCCAAGTCCTCTGCAGAACCAAATTCAACTCCAAACAGACGTGGAAGTTGGGTGGGCCAAAAGGAGGGCTGGGAGCCCCTACACCGCATCTAGGTTTCAACACAAACTACCAAGTTCCAAAACAAAAATTCAACCGGCCACTCTCGGATCCCTCCCGATAAGAGAAAAACCACACATGTAACCTGACGTGGGGAAACTGACGGAGATCTTACAGTGGTGAGAAGTCAGGGCAATTCTAGGGGGTTTTGCAACCTTCTCCAGCAATGAACTTTTCACCCTTAGGTTGTGATAAAGGCAGACAGCAGAGCCATTAAGATGAGTTCCAGCTGTCCTGGAGAAGGCTTGCAGGAGCAGCCTCTGACTACAGAAGGAATTGCGACGAAGGGAAACCAGCCTCTGACTCGCTCTAATTAAAGAACGGCGGGCTGAAGGGCCAGCACTGGCACTCGAGCAGGAGAGGCAGATACACCAGCTTCCAATGGGAGCTGCCCAAGTTCATGTGAAAGGCATGTGAATACAGAGCAACAAGTGCAAGTCTCAGTGGACTGAGATGCGGCAGGACAGGGTGAGCGGGCCACAGATGGAGACCCCACATGAGCAATGCGTCAGCCACCCTCCCGTGGTACTCTACTCACACCAGACGCCGCCCCCTGCCTTCTAGAGTGGCGAGCAGTGGGCCTGTGACACCTTCCAACCCTGTCCTCACCAACTGCACTGTCTGCTCGGGGATCACACGTCTTGATGGCGGGACATACATTGTCCCTGCCCACAGGGTCAGAACTGAGGGCGCTTTCAGAGCCACCACGCAAGTGAAGCTCAGCGAGAGATCAGAACTGAGGTATTTTAAGTTTGGAACACTGACATAAAAGGCTGTGTTCAGTGTTGGAACACAAAGTAGGAGGGGTGCTCTGGGGGAAGGGACACACATCTATGCCAACCGGGAGAAAACAAAAACTGTGGCAATGTCAGCATGTCATCAAGAGACTATAAAGTATAAATTTGGGCCAGACACACTTTAGCTTTTTTCAACAGAATTACAAAATTAGCCATGTGCAGGGAAGACAACAGATGTTAATATATTTGGACTTTGGTACAGCAGCTCATGAAATCACAAAAAACGGTTCAAACAGCCCAAAATAAAAATGCAGTCATATGGACTAAAAGCTAGCCAGAGGACCAGCGACAAAGGGTGGGGACAAACGCCAATATGCCCCGCTGGAGGCAGAGGCCGGGAGTCACCAAAAGGGCTGGGGATAAAATGAGCCTTAGCCCATACCCTATGATTGGAATGATCTGGAAGAGGACACGGGCAGGAATGGGCCGGCCGGCTGCAGAGGACAGTGCCGTGGACAGAGGCTAACAGAAGAACTGGAACCCATCCCGAGTGCCCAGGTGAGGAAAAACAGAAGGGAAAGCCGAACAACTCCAAAAAAGCAAACTGAAGTATCTGGGGAAATATCCTAAGAAGCAGACAACACGGACAGTGAGCTGCCAAGCCTGCAGACCAGACTTGGGCAGACCTCAGACACGAGGGCCATGGCGGCAGGGACGCAGCATCCTATGACATGAGGCGGGAGGTAGAAAAGCCAGTGGCATTTCAAGTGGCAGCAACAGAGGTCTCATGTCATATCGTGCCTCAAAGAGGAAGGAAACTGTCTGCTGGAAGGACAGCCTGCCTAACACACTCACACACCTCAGTATCAGAAAAGATCAAGCTTCGGGCAGAAGATTCAGGAAAATGTTCCTTGTGTAAACACAAGGAATCAAAGAAGTAGGGGCTGCGTATGGGCAAAAAATGTCAGGGGGGAAGGGGATCTGCATGTAGCGTGTAGACAAGAGACGAGCTGGGAATTAGGAAAAAAGACATGGGCTGTGAACGAAGGAGCCCAGCCTTATAAGACGCGAGTCTCTTTTCCAGGCAAACAGAAGAACGTGCTGTGTGGGGACAGCTGGTGACAGTGGTCCCCAGTGCCCAGCACCCGCACGGTACTCACCCCAGCTCCACAGCTTCCCTTCCGTGGTGATGAGGAGGCTGTGTGCAGCACACGAGCCCGAGACCACTGTCCGCACCCGGACCCCCGCCAGGCACCCATATCTGTGGGGCCCCCACAAATTCTGACCGAGATTGCGGTAAGCAGCTGCAGAGAGAATGAGAATGCAGATCAGACACCTGGGGTGGTGGGGTGACCTCCAAAATGTCACTGGCCACCAAGCAGCCACTTCCCGAGGGTACCAGGGACAGGTGTTCCTCGGGTGCCACCCTGCCTTGGCTGTTGGGAGGCTGCACAAGGATCGGGTTTTCACTTCGAATCTCTGCGATGCCTCTGAAGGCCCAAAAATCAAAATACCCAGAAGCTGGCACAGGCCTGGCGTCACCTGCCACCTTTACACCCATTCGGCCCCAGCCCCCTCTCTGGGTCCCACCTCTCACAGGGCTCAGCCCCACGTGTTCTGCCATTGAGCACGCCCACCCGCAAGTGCCCGGGACCTGGTGCGAGGTCTGTCCAGGAGGCAGGAGTGCTGGCTTTCCACAGCCGTCAGCTGAGGAAGAGGCTGACCCAGGAAACCCCGCTCACCCTGACAGTAACCTACCCCTCCTCCTCACTCCCTGCCGCCTGCCCCTCCTTTCCCAGGCTCTCCTGCCCTCCATCTCCGGCCTTCACCCTGGGCCAGAAGGCTCTTTCTGAGGGGTGACCCGAGTGTCCTGTCTTCATGTTCCCAGCAGCTCCATCAGGCCCCTTGAGGAGGGGCACTGCTCACACAGTATCACCCCACCTCCTGCTCCCTTCTCACCCGTCCAGTGTGACAGCCACTTCATGACTCCCCTGACACCCACCCATATATTCGCTTCCCCTAGAATGTCCTTCCCACCTCCTACTTCTTCCTGAAAGCTCAAGTCAAGCACCAGTTCGCCTCCTTGGGGAAGCCCTCCAGGGCAACATCCACTGAGAAATCTCCTTCCCCCAGGGCTCCCCTGCCCCAGCTCTGCTCAGCCCTGCTCAGCCCACCACAGCTCTCTTCCTGAGCCCCCCAGCCCTCCCACTCCATGAGAAGCCACCCAGGGCTAAAGCTGTAGGCTCCCTCCAGCCTAGACCCTCACAAATGCCTGGCACGCAGCGAGCACTCAATGGGAAAGAAAACCACAGCATCTTCCTCACAAACCCCCCTTCACACCCTATTAGAGGATGGGGCAGGGCCAATTTCTTACTTTTCTTTTTTTTTTTTTTTTTTTTTTTTTGAGACAGTTTCACTGTTGCCCAGGCTGGAGAGCAGTGGCACAATCTCGGTTCACTGCAACCTCTGCCTCCCAGGTTCAATTGATTCTCCTGCCTCAGCCTCACGAGTAACTGGGATTACAGGCGTGTGCCATCACACCCAGCTAATTTTTGTATATTTAGTAGAGAGGGTTTCACCATATTGGCCAGGCTGGTCTTTAACTCCTGAGCTCAAGTGATCCACTCGACTCAGCCTTCCAAACTGCTGGGATTACAGGCGTGAGCCACCATGCCCAGCAATCTTAATTTTTGAAATTGAGATGCTCAAGAGTATTTCCAGGATTGTGGTGATTATCCTGAAATGCTAGCCACTGCCAAATCGAGTGTGTAAGACTGATCCAATGTAGGAACTGATAAAAAGGCTACAATGTCTCTATCAAGCGCCTGGCTGCCTAGAAAGTATCTGTGAAGTACGTTCCAGCCCCACCCTCCGCCCTCAGCAGAGGGCACCACATGCTCCCTCATTCAGGTGTGGGGGCAAGTGGGCAAGACTCCTGGCCGCAGGCGGGCAGGGGCCAGCCGATCCCGCATGGCACCTGAAGCAGCACACCTGCAGACACCTCCCCTGAAAGGAGGAAGAGGAACATCAACAATTTCCTGGGGAAAGAGCAAACCAAAAATAAAAGCCTCATGGTCTATATTAAAACTTAAGAAAAACTCAAGGAGGTGGCACCTAAATTAAGATTCAGGAACTGTATTAAACAAAACTCGGAAGGGATAAAGAGAAACCCAAGGTCTCTTTGCCATGAAGACAAAATGATGGCATGATTGACGAGTATCATCACGACCCTGTGCCGCAACACAGGAGGCCACGGGACGCCAGGCAAGGGTGCGGTGCCACACTTGAACTTGCTTGGCCAAGGGGAGTCTCAGGTGGTCAGATGCTCCTGGACTTACCAAAGCATCTTTCCCTGCAGTGCCCAGGATGCCACTGGCTCCTGAGGAGCCGGGTTGGGTTTCTTCCGGCCTCCCAAGGAAGGGCTGGAGGGACTGGAGGGACCGGGCAGGGGTGGGGGAGGGGGAGCAAGTCAAATTAAACGCCCTGCAGCAGTCCCAGGCTCTGCGGTCAGACTGAGAAGTCAATTCCCACGGCCTCCGGATCCCTGGGGTCTGGTCCCAATCACAGAGCTACTGTGTGGCTTGCTGTGGTGCTATCTTGCAAAAACCAAGACATCCAGGCTGCTGGTTTTCACCAGATCTACAGCAACATACATGCGCGGGAGGCAACAGAGTTAACTAGAGAGTGGGACTCCAACCCTGGCCCTGCCACTCGCTTCCTTTGGTATTTACTGCCCTTCCCTGGGCTTCTGTATCTTCAATGTCAACTGGGCTGCTCAGTTGAAGAACGGCTTTGAGAAATGATGCAACACGGGCACAGGACTGGCAACAAGGCGCCATCAGCACCTGGGCTTACGTTACTGTAGACCAGGAGGTGCTTCCCTGGGACAAAAGCCACCATGTGGACGTGGCCCCCTCTGGCTTGGGCCTGAAGGCTGGGCATTTTCCAAACAACGCGCTGCTGCTACCTGCAACTTAAACCCATTTCTAATTCAGCTGGCCCCCAGGTGTTTTCATGGAACAAGGTGATTTCCAACGCCCCTGTTTTAAGGTGCCAAGACGAGCCAGCGTGCAAATATTTGTTCATGGGGCAAAGCAATGCTGGAAAGCACTTTGGGAGTCTTTCCAGATGAAATCAAGAAGCCATAAAAGTTGGCTACATGCCAGCCTTCCTTCTCCTGGATGGGCCTTTTCCCTTAAGACACCAGTTTTCCAAAGGTAACTGGGGACAAAACATTACTTCTTAAGGACCTCTCTGCTTTCCCCCGCTCCAGACTGTTCTGTCAAACCAGTTCCTGCAACAATTTGGCAGCTTGCAAAGAAACGTGGACTCTTCTGCAATGCCTGAAATTTTGACACCTGACATTTGACAAATGTCTAGGACATTCTGACACCATCTCACAGACCTGGTCTCTTCATTTTAATGAAAACAAGTGAGGTGAGAGGGAAGATGGAAAAGGTGGCAATGTTCATTTGAGGATACTACTTGTATTTTCCTGATTAATCTTAACGGAATTAGTGAGTCACTTCAAAATTGTGCCTTTAAAAGACTAAGATTAGGGTTCAAATCCAGCTCATCACTACAGTGGCTGTGTGGCCTCAGGCAAGTCACTTGGCCTCTGTGAAAATGCATTTGTAAATGAAGGGAATACCTACCAGGCAGGTGGTCAACAGAACCTAGCACTTAAGAAGCACTCAATGGGTTTTTGAGGCACCATTCTCATACCTTGCTGTTTAGGCACTTCTTTTCGACCAATCAAGTCCCAGTTGGTTGCCCCAAAAATCAAAAGCTGCCCTTTGCACTTTGACCCTTCAAGTTTCTGCAGAGACAGAGAAAGGAAAAAAGAATTAGTGTGTAAGTCTGCACCTAGCTTTCCAAGGCTGTCCAATGACAGCACGAAACGAAAGAAAATCATTCAGTTAGCCCTTATGTCACCTGTGACCTCCACACGAACAGAGTCTCCCCACACTCCCCTCCCTCATCGGCAAGTGGCAATGCGGGCAACCCCAAACCTGCCCACAGCCGCTCACTTGCTAAGCCCAGGCTCATTTTTATCCTTTGACTTCCCTTTAAAATAGCTTTTGCAAAACACTAAAAAAAAAACCCAAATACATGCCTCCTTCGCAAACTGATGTACAGAGGTATTTGCAGGAAGCCTGCCGGACACTCAGGGGCGTTAAATCCAGCTCATCCTAGGGCCAAGTCTCTATTTCACATGGCAAGCACGGCCTGCGACCTCAAACCTTAGGAGCCTCACATCACTTCTGCTGCCCACTCTGCCGAGAGCCTTTCCATGGGGACTCAGGAAGAAAACAGTAGAGAACAAGGTTCGATTTCTCCACTGAAGGGAGACCAGGCAGAACACAGCTTTGGTGGGTATGCAGGGGTCTGAATCAGGCGGCCTTTGATGGCACCCTCATGCCGCTGTCCATGAGCCCGGGAGCCAATGGTGAGTGAAACAGGACCTCCCAGGGGCCCGGCTCTCAAGGAACAAGCTGTCACAGCAGCCAGCATACTTCAGTGTTCATCCTCAGTCTCTCAACACAAAGTCATCAGGGCCACCAACTCTCATACTGTCAACGAAAATCTACGCCATTTAAAAAGGCCATTGTTCAATTCTGGGTGGCACTCATAATATTCTCAGCACTTTGCTTCCTTAAATGTCAAAATATACTTTTTCAAGTAGGTTGTTAGTGGAAGACTCAATTCTGAACTCCTCACTCAGTCCACACTGGCAAGGGAAGCATTCACTGCTATCACTTTCCGCTCTTACACATCTTTCCTGGACGTGAAAAGGAAAGGGGTTTCCTTCAGTTTACAGAATTGTTCTTGGAAGGCTTCAGGAAAAAAGTCTGGCAAGGCGCAATGGCTCACGCCTGTAATCCCAGCACTTTGGAAGGCCGAGGCGGGCAGATTGCTTGAGCTTGGAGACCAGGCTGGGCAACATGGCAAAACCTTGTCTCTACAGAAAATAGAAAAATGAGCCTGTGGTCCCAGTTACTTGGGAGGCTGAGGTGGGAGGATTGCTTGAGCTGAGGAGCTGGAGACTGCAGTGAGCCAAGATCACACCTGCTCTCCAGCTTAGGTGACATAGCCAGGCCTTGTCTCAAAAAAAAAAAAAAGGGGGCCAGGCACAGTGGCTCACGCCTGTAATCCCAGCACTTTGGGAGGCTGAGGCGGGTGAATCACGAGGTCAGGAGTTCAAGACCAGCCTGGCCAATATGGTAAAACCCCGTCTCTACTAAAAATACAAAAAAATTAGCCAGGCGTGGTGGCATCCGCCTGTCGTCCCAGCTACTCCAGAGGCTGAGGTAGAAGAATCCCTTGAACCCGGGAGGCGGAGGTTGCAGTAAGCTGAGATTGCACCATTGCACTCCCAGTGTTGCTGCCCAGGCTGGAGTGCAGTGGCGTGATCTCGGCTTGCTGCAACCTCTGCCTCCCGGGTTCAAACGATTCTCTTGCCTCAGCCTCCCAAGTAGCTGGGATTACAGACACTCAGCTAATTTTGTGTGTTTTTAGTAGAGACAGGGTTTCACTATGTTGGCCAGGCTGGTCTCAAATTCCTGACCGCAGGTGATCCACCCACCTTGGCCTCCCAAAGTGCCGATAAAATGCCAATAAAATAACGCCGATGAAAGTTCCCAACCATGCCAATAAAAATGTATTTGTTGGCCAGGCGCGGTGGCTCACACCTGTAATCCCAGCACTTTGGGACGCTGAGGCAAGCAGATCACGAGGTCAGGAGATAGAGACCATCCTGGCTAGCACGGTGAAACCCCATCTCTACTAAAAATACAAAAAAAATTAGCCGGGCATGGTGACCGGCACCTGTAGTCCCAGCTACTCGGGAGGCTGAGGCAGGAGATTGGTGTGAACCCAGGAGGCGGAGCTTGCAGTGAGCCAAGATCGCACCACTGCACTCCAGCCTGGGCGACTGAGCAAGACTCCATCTCAAAAAAAAAAAAAAAAAAAAAAAAAAATATATATATATATATATATATGTGGGCTGGGTGTGGTGGCTCACGCCTGTCATCTCAGCACTTTGGGAGGCTGAAGCAGGCGGATCACCTGAGGTCAGGAGTTCAAGACCAACCATGGTGACAAAGCCAGCCCTGTCTCAAAAAAAAAAAAAAAAAAAAAAGAAAGAAAGAAAAAGAAAAAAGGGCAGCTCCAGGCCCAATCATTCTAACCTCTACAGTGTGATCACCCCATGGGTATGCTTTGGCAGTACGGCTCACGCATTTCTAAGATTACACATCTTCATGACGGATGATTTCCACTTCAATAGGAACCTTTACACGACCCAAACCTGATTAGGGCGTCCCCCAAGATATAGGTTCCGTCACGCTTGCCCACTCCACCACATTATGTAACAGGAAAAAGATGGTCAATCTACAGGAATGCATCCTGCAGTCCTCATGAAAAGGGGAAGTGAGGCCAGCCGCGGTAGCTCATGGCCCGTCATCCCAGCACTTTGGGAGGCCAAAGTGGGTGGATCACCTGCGGTCAGGAGTTTGAGACCAGCCTGGCCAACATGGTGAAACCCTGTCTCTACTAAAAATACAAAAAATTAGCCGGGTGTCTGTAATCCCAGCTACTTGGGAAGCTGAGGCAAGAGAATCGCTTGAACCCAGGAGGCAGAGGTTGCAGCGAGCCGAGATCACACCATTGCACTCCAGCCTGGGCAACAAGAGCGAAACTCTGTCTCAAAAAGAGAAAAAAAAAGTTGGGGGGAGGGAAGTGAAACAACACGGAAAGGGAGAACAACTTTGGTTCATTTAAATTATTTAGAAAATGACCTTAATCAGAGGGTGGCCCAGCCCCTGCAGCACCCACAACTCAGGTTACTTGAATTGGAGCCTAGCTTCCCCTGGTTATCTGCCCTTCTTTGTTTAACTGGCAGGCCTGGCTGGAATATGCTACAGGTCTATATTCAATGGCTTCTGTTGAAGTCCCTGTGGAAGGAGAGGCCTCTGGGTCCTCTGCCCAAGCCTACCAAGTTGGCATGGAGGGGGCAGTAGAGACCCAGGAAGGGTGCTAAGGCACTGGAGACCAAGCTCCCAGGCCAGAGGGCAAGCCTAGAAAAGAGCCCTGGAATGCCAGCAACTGCAGACCAGGCAGGCGGAGGTTCATGGGCACCTGTGCTCAGTATGAACCATTGAAGTCAAACCACCCTACACTGAGATGCAACCACTGCAGCAAAACTTCACAGTGCTGAGGCCACACCAGAAGCCTCAGCTCCATCAGGCCAGAGGGCATGGTTCAGGGGCAAGTTCAGACAGCCAGAGCTTAACCGCAGTGGCCTTGGCCTTGGGGAGGGAGTTTCCTGGGTGACCTGGACATTTGGTCAAGGGCTCATGAAGACTGATCCATCAAGCTAGCTAAGCATTTATAGGCAAACCCAACCACGCCAATAAAAATGTATTTGTGGGCCGGGCATGGTGGCTCACGCCTGTAGTCCCGGCTACTCGGGAGGCTGAGACAGGAGAAGGGCATGAACCCGGGAGGCGGGGCTTGCAGTGAGCCGAGATCGCGCCACTGCACTCCAGACTGGGCGAAAGAGCGAGACTCCATCTTAAAAAAAGAAAAAGAAAAAGAAAAAGAAAAAAATATATATATACACTCACACACACATATATATACACACACACACACATATACATACGTGTGTATACATATACATATATACGTGTGTATGTGTGAAAAACCCCGGTAAACTGAGTCTACTCCAGTGACGGTGGTCAGATTCCTATGAAGGACATTAACTGTTATTCAAGTTTTTACGTCATGGATCCTATTTCCTCACACATTAGATGGAGGTTAGTGTATTTCGTTATTATTTACATAATTGTTTGCTCTAAGCTGCTTTCTTTTATTTCTCTATAACTTCTTTCCTCTGCCTTATGTGGAATTAACATTTAAATAGAGTAACAGAGAACTCCCAGCACCCCTTCTCACTTAAGGGGTGCTCCTCTTCCTCAGAGACCAGAAACAGCCAATCGTGGGAGAGACTCCCGCGCTTGCGGGCTCCACCCGGGGCGGCGGGGCAGGGCGGGGGTGCCAGTGGGTGTGTGGGTGTCTGAAGCTCAGTGTGCCCTCCCAGGCGGAATCCAGCCTTCCCTGATGGGCCTACGGATTGTTTTTTTGGACGAACTCAGTGTCTGCGACCCTGCTTGTGTATAAAGGCCACGCAGCAGACAGCCTGGCAAACAGTCTGCCCAATGAGATGAGTGATTTTCATGTCATTTCACCTGGCTGCCTCCAGCAACTTGGTCACATAACCTGGGCAGAGACACACAGAAATGGACAGAAAAGGCACTGAGCTTCTTCAATCAACAAAATGGGATTTCTAGTCTAAAGCAATTTTTGAATTATGATCCAAATGCAAGGTGCGCGTTTACGGGGCCCAGAGTCAACCTTTTAACATAGGTCCATGTAGAAGACCGCTGCTCCGGGGAGGTAAGACCCCCGGGAACAATGCCGGCATCGACCAATTACCTAAGGGCCATCAACTGAAACAGACTTCCGGGTTGGCTTTCAGTTTTATTTATTTGCTCCTTTCAGATTCAACACATCTGTCTCAGGGTCCACAAAACCTTGGCAACCCAAGACTGGAAAAACTACAAAGACCTGGGCAGCTTGCAACACTCACCTGTTTTGTAGGATCTGGCCAAGGCTGCTGCCTTTACTTGCTTTAGGAGGTTATGAAGTGCGCAAAGAATTAGGACTGAATCTACCCTAGTGTGACACTGCCATCAATATTTGGAGTTCCTGGCATGCAACTTCCCAAATCCTTGGAATCTCCAAAGCAATGTCTTTTTGTATGCTAATGACTGACACTGGCAGCCCCCAGGCAGCTTCCGGATGGGGCAGTGGGAGCCTAGGGACTTTCAGCCCCATCCTCCAACCTCAGGAGGGAGATGACTGAAGGTTAAAGTGATGATCAATGGCTTAATCTACCATGCCTACATAATGAAGCCTCCGTTAAAAACCTGTAAGGACCAGGTCACAGAGCTTGTGGAGAGCTGAACATGTACCAGGTGGGTGGTCTGCAGAGGGCACGGAAACACAGTGCCCCTTCTGCCACATCTAGCCTTACAGGTCTCTTTATCCATAGCCTTTGTAATATCCTTTATAATAAACTGGTGTTTCCCTGAGTTCTGTGAGCCATTCCAATAAATTAATCGACCCCAAAGAGGGGGTCATGAGAACCCCAACTAGAGGCTAGTTGGTCAGAAGCTACCAGGGACTGGACTTGCAACTGGTGTCTGGGGTGGAAGGACAGTCTTGGGGACTGAGCCCTCAAGATGAGGAAATCTACCTCCAGGTGGATAGTGTCAAGAGATGAACTGGAGGACACCCAGCCGGTGTGTGCTGCAGAACTGATTGCTTGCTTGATAGCAGGGGGAGACCTCCCTTTACGTCTAGTCACAGAAGTCTTGTGTTGGGAGGCGGGGCGTGGTGGCTCACGCCTGTAATCGCAGCACTTTGGGAGGCGGGCAAATCACGAGGTCAGGAGTTCAAGACAGCCTGGCCAACATGGTGAAACCCCATCTCTACTGAAAATACAAAAATTACCGAGCACAGTGACAGGTGCCTGTCATCTCAGCTACTCAGGAGGCTGAGGCAGGAGAGTTGCTTGAACCCAGGAGGTGGAGGCTGCAGTGAGCTGAGATCACACCACTGCACTCCAGCCTGGGAGACAGAGCAAGACTCCATCTGGGGTGGGGGGTGCGGAAGAAGTCTGGTGTTGGTTGTTGAGTGTGGCCGTGAGAGCGGAGGAAAAAAGAATTTGAATTTTTTCTTAACACCTAGGCAATGACAACGCTCATCTGCCATAAGAATGTTCTATAAAATGCACATCTTTTACTCAAGGCAATTCTGCCCCTCAACAATGTAAGTATTTGGCTCATCTTCTACAAGCCCGACACCTGCAGCTTTGGGGTCACTGAAGGCAATATGGTTTTGGACATTTCCTGGGCGGCTGCTTTCACACAGACCTCCTCCTAGCAACCCTGAGCGGGGCAAGGCATGCAAAATGCTCAGTAAAAAAGGTTCTTTCTGCAACAAGGACTGCTGTCTGCCTGTGGCAGCACACAGGGTCCCTAGGACTGCTCAACAGAGAAACAGAGACCAGAAACCTGGGGCCAGGGAGACTGGGCAGGAGGCCAACCCAGGACAAGGGGCAGAGGGCTGCCCTAGGCCTATGGAAAGGCAATGGGGCTGCATGGACCCAGCCCCGAACATGGACCAAACTCAGTAGATGCTAACAAAACTTAAACGTGGGGCACTTTGGGAGGCCAAGGTGGGTGGACCACCTGAGATCAGGAGTTCGAGACCAGCCTGGCCAACGTGGTGAAACCCCGTCTCTACTAAAAATACAAAAAATTAGCCAGGTGTGGTGGTGGGCGTCTATAATCCCAGCTACTCGGGAGGCTGAGGCAGAAGAATTGCTTGAACCCGGGAGGCGGAGATTGCAGTGAGCTGAGATCGCAACATTGCACTCCAACCTGGGCAACAACAGCTAAACTCCAGCTCAAAAAAAAAAAAAAAAAAGCAAAACTTAAATGTAGGGTGTGCACTTTCCATGAGGCATAAAGGGGCATCATATGCTGAACCCTCAGCCTCCCAGGTGCTCTGATTCTAGAACAGCACCGACAGCCCAAAGGATGGGCATCATGGGCCCCTGTTGGTTTTAAGTGGATAGAGAAAGGAAGATGTAGCTTTTAGAGTCCTGCTTATACACATATGTAAAATAATAACGTATTTATGTGTATAAACAGGAACTTAAAAGCTGCAATGGACTGCTGTTTACTCACATTAAGACTTACAAACATGCAACCCAACACAGGGCTCGCGCCTGTCATCCCAGCACTTTGGAAGGAGGCTGAGGCAGGCAGATCACTTGAGGCCAGCAGTTTGAGACCAGCCTGGCCAACATGGTAAAACCCAGCCTCTACAAAAAGTACAAAAATTATTCGGGTGTGGTGGAACACACTTGTAATCCCAGCTGCTCGAGAGGCTGATCAGCACACAAAAATCACTTGAACCTGAGAGGCGGAGGTTGCAGTGAGCTGAGATCGTGCCACTGCACTCCAGCCTGGCCATAGAGGGAGACTCTGCCTCAAAAAAAAAAGACTAACAAATGTGCCATTTCCATTGACAAAGCAGCTTCAAGCAGCACAGCTGGAGACAGAGGTGGGCCAGGGAGAGCCAGTGTCCCTCACACACTCCCTGTCTCTACCTCCTTGGGTCAATCTCAGCATGGGGTAAGGATCTTTTGCTCTGATGGCAAAATTCAGCGTTCCAACAGTCTGGAGCTGTACAGCTGATAACTGCAGTCTTGGATGTCTAAACACAATCTTGCTTTTGGAAACTCACTCAAAATAGGATACAGGAGACGCGGAAGCTCACCTGGCCTTTCTTTTTAGTTTCATCCTAACATACTGTGTTCGGAGGGCAAATGTCTGGAGTCTGGCACAGCAGACTAGACGTCAAAGGAAAACAGTTCCTGTGTTCCAGTTTCTCAATACTTTGGCCATTGTCTAGTCTAGCCTGATCCAAGACCCCGGGCAAGACCTTTTGACAGCTTTTGACGGGCTCTCCTCCACTGCCTAACATGTTAACCCTTTCACCCAGAAGGCACTTTTACAAAGCATATTCCCATGTGCAATTTGCAGGGACATCAGGAGTTACAGCATTTGGAGATCCAGTTCCATCCATGACTTTGGACAAGGCCCTCGAATTCTGTGCCCCAGTTTCCCTATCTATAAAACGGACGTAGAAAATGTGTTATTAGACACTGCCTGCGCTTCTCTGGAGGAAAGCACTCTGCTGTTAACCCTTAAACACCCTTAGGAGATGGGCACTTATGGAAGGAAAAAAACCTCTCCGGGTGTCAGGCTCTACACCCCAGGTGGAAGTTCTTGCTCTCTGGGGGTTATCTGAGAATCTGGTGAAAACTTAGACCCTCTTCTGAAAAACATATCCCACACCACACCAAACTTAAAGAAAGTTCTGTGGGGGTGGGGAGATGCTGTGGCGGCAGATGCCGGGTTCAGATCTCCGGCTCTGCAGGCTTTTTCGGGAACGTTAACTTGAGTCAGCCACGACCTTAATTAAGATTTGAGAAAACAGAAGCCCGCCCAGGACCCTAGGAGATGCTTCTTCACTTGGGGGGGCTACAACAGAGCCCTCGCGAGCATCCTGCAGCTTCGGACCACCGGCGGCAAACAAAGCCCGAGCACCGCTCAGCCGGGGGGCTTCCCCGACCTCGGGGGAGGGCTCTGCGGAGCATGCGCGGCGGCCGTCAGGCCCCGCCCCCCCCGGGCGCCGGAGCCGAGGCGGCGGGAACCTCAAAGCCCCGGCGCAAACGGCCGCTCCCCGCAGAGCGCCGGCCGCCCCCTCCCCGCGGCGCCCGGGCGCAGCGGCGGCCACGGACGTGTGGGGCCCGCTGGCCGCCCCCTCTTCCAGGCCGGGCGAACTTACCGAGGTCCCCTTTCCCGGGGCGGGGGGGGAGGGGCGCAGAGGGAGCTGTGGGGGCGGGGCCATGACCCCCTCGTGCGGGCTTCGGCCGCCCCTCCCCCGCCGCGGGCCCGGGCGCGCGCCCCAACCGCCAACCGCCCGCGCGGTGCCCGGGGTCGGGTAGGCCGCGGGCCGCGCGCCCCGTACCGAGCCCTTTTGTTGCGCGGAGGCGGAGGCAATGATTCAGCCCGCGGCCTGCGCCGGCCCGGCCGCCGGGAGGGAGCGTGACGCGAGGCGGCCCCCGGCTGGAACGCGCGCCGTGCCGCGTCGCTGAGCCCGCCGGCCCCGGCCCTGCGCCCACCCGTCTACCCTGACCCTCACTCACGACGCGCTCCTTGGTGTGCTCGGGTTCGGTGATGACCACGGCCGCGCCGCCCGCCTTGCCTGCTGTCGCCGGCCGCGCCGCGCGCTTGCCCCCGCCGGGGGCCCCGTCGAGCTCCAGGCCGTCCTCGTCGCCGCTGCTGCCGCCGCCGCTGCTGCTACTGCAGCGCTCGGGCCGCTCGCGCTTCCTGCCCGCCGGGCCGCCGCGTTTCCTGGGCCCGGCGCGGGCAGTGCCGTTGCCCGAGCTCGGCTCCTCCCAGGCCGCCGCCGCCGCCTTCTTCCTGGGCATGGTCGCGGCTGGAGGGAGACACGGGGCAGCGGCGCACAATGGACGGGTTATAAACTGCGCGGGGGGAGGGGAGCGGAGACGAGCCACCCGGCCTCCACTTCCTCCTCTGCCCTCCCCAAAGTGGCGGCCGCAGGGTGGGCGGAGAGGGGGCGAGTTGGGAGAGGAAATCGCGCCCCTCCCTGGCCCCGGCGCGGCTCCTTCGGGGAATCCCGCAGGGCAGCCGGGAGCCCCAGAGGCAATCCCCTGGAGGGAGAATTGAGACCCCCGGCCTATCCGTAAGTTAGGTTTGCCCACAAAGCATCACAGTTGCAACCTCGCCCCCCAAAAGTAAAGGGAAAGTAAAACCAGCCTCCAGTCCCCTAGATTTTCATTAAAGAAGGCTTCGGGACACTTCCAGGATTCCCCCTTGGCACCTGGGTGGTAAGGGAGCCCCTGCTCCCCGGCTACCCCACCTGCTGCTTTTGTCTCCGCAGTCTCCCCCCAAACCCACTCATGGCATTTAATGCAACGCTCTCCCCCACCCCGCATCAGCCCTGGACCCCCGTTCGGCCCCAGCTCAGGGGTGCCGACCTCGGGCTCTAGTTAGCCGAATCCCTACGGCGGACTGCCCCCGGCGACGGGGGAAGAGCCCGAAGAAAGCTGGACCCCAGCCCCAAACACCTGCTCGCACAGACACGAAAAATAAAAACTTTAATGGTGCCCAACTCTCTCCCAGCCCCCTTGCCGGCCGTGCGGCCCGGCCGGTCTCCGATTCGACTGCAAAGTGTCCAGGGCCGCCGCCAGCTCCCCGGCGTCCCTGCGCTCTCCCCTGTCTGCTTTTTTTTTTTTTTTTAATTGATTTTGAACAATGGGATCTCTGTCTGTCTCCGATTAAACCACGTGGATCCGCCTTCCTTCCTCTTTTTATTCCTTCAATCACCCAGCCCCCCTCCCCCAGGTTTTTTTTTAACCTTTTCTCTTTAAAAAAAGGAAAAAAAAAAAAACTTTCCCAGACCCCACAAACTGATCACTGTCGATTTTCAGACCCTACCTGGTTGGAGTGATGAGAAACCGGAGAGAAAAAAGGAAGAGAAGCAACTAAAAGACGGATCGGAGGGCTTTTTTTTTTCCGGCCCAGACGAGGGCTCCAGCCCACTCACCAGATACACTTAAAATGTAAATACGAGCTTCCAGAACAAATGCTACAACACAAAACAGAAACACATGTGCGGCCGCGCGGCAAGCGAGCGCGCGGCGGGGCGGGAGGCGCGGGGCGCGGGGCGCGCGCGCCCCCTGCCGGCCGGCGGACCCGTTGCCGGCGCCCCCGCCCCGCCCGGCCTGGCCCTGCCCTGCCCACCCGAGCCTGCGCCGCGCGCCGCGCGCCTCGCCGCCCGCCTCGGCTCCGCTGCTCCTGCGCCTTTCGCGGGCCCGCGAGCGCGCTTTGGGCCTTCCACGCAGTGCGGCCTGCGCGTCAGGGACTTCTTTGCGGCTTAGGAGGATGTTGGATTGTTTTTCCTGGGCACGTCTAGACAGGTCACATGAGGACACTCGCTGGAAAATAGTTACTTCGCTCACGCAGCAGCCAACAAGGGACGTGCCCTAATTGAGTGATTGGAATGAAAGATGAATACAATTTGAATAATTTTTTCCTGTGCAGAGAGAAGCTGAGTTTTATTTGCCTGTGGATGTGTCCTCAGTATGTAACAAGGTGCTGTGACACGGAAGAATCACATAAAGGTTTGCTGTATTAGTGAATTAATTCATAATTAATTTGAGGGCCGTGGAGGCACTGGAAGCTGGCTTTGAGGGGAACTTTTTCATTTTTTGCCAAATATTTACTGAGCCCCCGGTACATGCAAGACCCACAGTGCCCGGGGCTGCAGAGCCAGTGAACAAGGTTTCCACCCCAGTGGAACGCACAGCCTAACGGAAAGACAGATCAGTAAACAAGTAATTACAACAGTGGTAAGCTTTACAAAGTGATGCCTGTGTAGGAACATTATGGCGAGGGGATTTATCCTAGTCCAGGGCCAGGGAAGGCATTCAGGTGGAAAGTTATGCTGAACAACTTAAAGGATGAATAAGACCCGATGAAAGGGGGCAGGAAAAGTATTCCAGGCCAGGTGGAGTGAACGGGACGCTCCACATTTCGAGATCTTGAGAGACACCTCCTGGGAGGGAAGCTGTCTGGTGGGGCTGGGGTGAGAAGAGCCAAGAGGCTGGGTTCTGAGGAGGTAGGCAGGGGTGCGAGGGCCTGCATAGACCCTAGTGAACCGCAGTGAGGCTTGATCTCGTTCGCGTGTCCTGGGACGGGTGAAAAAAGCCTTGCTTGCTTCCTACCGGTCTCCACCCTCCACCTCTCCACCCCACTTCCATTACGATCTCACCGTCACTTGCTCTCCTCTCAAAGCTTTTCTCCTGCTTCTTTTTTCCTGAGGCGTACCGCACAAGGAAGTTCCTTCTTCAGGCAACTTCTTGAAAACGCATAAAGTTCTAGGATTTTTGTGATTCATTCATTCATTGTTAGTGCAAGAAACAGGACTGGGAAGCATCAAGTGTCCTGTAAAGGAAGACAGAGAAACCAAGAGGCCCAAATCTAAGGTATTTGATCAAAGTCAAAAGTCTGTGTGTCAAGAGAGCTGAGAGTGCTTATGTAAAAGAACTTTGGAAATGAGAAATCAACTGGTACGTTTCAGAGATTTTCAGAAAAGTCAAGATGGAATAGAAGCACCCTTTGAAAGCCTATTCTTAATAGACCTGCATTTAAAAAGATTTTTTAGAGGTTAAACTTTGACGCTTTGATATAAAGCATAAGTAGAACCAACCAGAAAAGAATTTCGCCTAAATATGCCATCAAGTCCCCTTCAGGAAATGGCATGCTGATGCTTGTCAGCCGAGGCGGGTGGCTGGGTGTTTATCCTCTAAACACCCTGTGTGGCCAATTAGGAACACCACTGACAGTACCTTTAGATTTCAGTCTGCAAGTCTTTTCCTTTTTTCTCCTGCCCCTTTATAATGCTTTTTGCCAGCTTAAAAGACTCATGCCTCAGACACACTGATGCAATGAGACGCTAATATCATATTGCATCATCTGATCCTAGGTGTGGTGCTCCTGAAACTGGTTTTTCTTGAGGTTATGCTGCAGTAGAAAAGCACTTTGGGTATAACACCCTGGAACTGGCCCTACTTGTCAGAAGACAAAAGTAATTTTTGCAACTCCATGCCTCAATTCCACACCACTATTCTCCCAGGGAAAGCCTGCGTGACTCTCCCGGCTGGAATTGGGTGTGCAACAGACATTCATCAGTTAGGCGTGTCATGCTGCCACTTATGTAACAAATGTTACATAGTGAGGTGCACCTACAGGCAAGCTGAAAATGACACTTCCTCCTTCAAACTGTGCTTGGAATTTCACCTCGCTTCTAATTGAGCAAATTCTCCAGGGACAGGATGGTTTGGTGCAAAACCGGGAGAGGGGAAGGGAAAGAAGGTGGCTGAGATTTCTCTGACACTTTGAGGCACAGGTGTCTGGCACTGTGCTGAGCATTTTACACCCAGAATTTTGGAAATGTGGCTGCAAGTGCCAGCCTGCCGTCACTCTTTAACCTCATCTTCAGCAAAATCATATTGCAAGTTAGATTCAGCTACGCTTAAGTTCTTTTCCAGGGGTGAGGTGTGATTTTTTCTTTCTTTTTTTTTTTTTTTTTTTTATTTTTTTAGATAGAATCTTGCTCCTCCAGCACCCAGGCTGAAGGGTGATGGTATGATCCCAGCTTACTGCAGCCTCTACCTTCCTTGCTCAAGCGATCCTCTCGCTTCAGCCTCCCAAGTAGCTGAGACCACAGGCATGGACAGCTACACTTGGCTAAATTTTTTTTCTTTTTTAATGTTTTGTAGAGACAAGGTCTCTCTCTGTTGCCCAGGCTGGTCTCGAGTGGTCCTCCCACCTCAGCCTCCCAAAGTTGCGGGATTATAGGGGTGAGCCACTGTGCACAGCCTCAGAAGTATAATTCATTTTTTTTTTTCTTTTGAGGTGGGGTCTCGCACTGTCACCCGGGCTGGAGTGCAGTGGTGGCAACCTCCACCTCCCAGGTTCAAGCAGTCTCCTGCCTCAGCCTCCCAAGTAGCTGGGATTACAGGCGCATACCACCACGCCTAGCTAATTTTGTATTTTTAGTAGAGACGGGGTTTCACCATGTTGGCCAGGCTGGTCTTGAACTTCTGACCTCGTGATTTGCCCGCCTTCGCCTCCCAAAGTGCTAGGATTACAGGCGTGAGCCACTGTGCCCAGCCTCAGAAGTGTAATTCTATTCAACTTGGCTACAGAAAGCTACACCTGTACTTGAAAGATTAATTTTCTGATCCAGTGTCTATAAAAATGAAACCAGTGATCCTGGGAGTGATGCGCTAACCAATGGAAACGATTCTTTCTCTTTTTTTTTTTTTGGAAACTGGGTCTCACTCTGTCACCTAGGCTGGACTGTAGTGGCGCCATCTTGGCTCACTACAGCCTCGACCTCCTGGGGTCAAACAGTTCTCCTGCCTCAGCCACCCTAGTAGCTGAGACTGTAGACGTGCACCTCCACGCCCAGCTAATTTTTAAAATTTTTTTGTGGAGACAAGGTCTCACTATGTTCCCCAGGCTGGTCTCAAACTCCTGACCTCAAGCAATCCTTTTGCCTTGGCCTCCCACAGTGCTAGGATTATAGGCATGTGTCACTGTGCCTGGCTTCTTTTTACTCTTTTCAATGTGACTACCACAAAATTTAATATTACATATTAAGTTTTTTGTAGCTCATATGTTATTCCTGTTGGACATCACAGCCTTCGAAAGCATAGCTGGAAAACCAGTAATTTCCTCCAGACCCCACTCTTTCTGCATCTGTTCTCTAGTTTCTCCTCTCTGTAAAATGGCAAGATAGAGTTTGGGCTAAATTTCTCTTGAGGTTACTTCTGGATTTCGTATTCCCTGATTCTGAGGACAGTAGTCAGCGGGGAATCCCTGTCATAGTGTTTGGAGAGATGTTTTCTGGGAGATGCAGATCCGGTCGTCCTATTTCTGCCAATGAGTCATGAAATTTTCAAACGCAGAGTCTTTAAATATTGTAGTTGGACCTTTAAGTTCTCTGTCTGTGAGGCATGCCTGGGCTTGGCTTGTGGCTTCTTCATCTTTGTTTTTCTAGCAAGCACCCAGAGCAGCCCGGCGTGTAGTAAGCTGTCAATATATGTTTGTTCATCTAAATAATATCCAGCGGAAGAACTGAAGCCCAGGGAGATGCTGAGGCCTCCTGAGGCCACACAGCTGGCAGATAGGATAGCCAGGAAGTGTACAGGCATCTGCATCAGTAGGAGGATTGTCAGAAACACAGAATCTGGCCAGGCGTGGTGGTACACGCCTGTAATCCCAGCACTTTGGGAGGCTGAGGCAGGACGATTGCTTGAGCCCAGGAGTTGGAGACCAGCCTGGACAACATGGTGAGACCCCATCTCTACAAAAATTAGAAAAAAATTAGCCAGCCGCGGCCAGGCGCAGTGGCTCACGCCTGTAATCCCAGCACTTTGGGAGGCCGAGGCGGGCAGATCACTTGAGGTCAGGAGTTCGAAACCAGCCTGGCCAACATGGTGAAACTCCCGTCTCTGCTAAAATATACAAAAATTAGCCGGGCGTGGTGGCAGGCAACTTAATCCCAGTTACTTGGGAGGCAGAGGCAGGAGAATCGTTTGAACCCGGGAGGCGGAGGTTGCAGTGAGCCAAGATCGAGCCATTGCACTCAAACCTGGGGGATAAGAGTGAGACTTCTCTCAAATAAAAGAAAAGAAAAGAAAAAAATTAGTCAGGTGTGGTGACGCAAACCTGTAGTCCCAGCTACTTTGGAGGCTGAGGTGGGAAAATCGCCAGAGCCTGGGAAGTCCAGGCTGCTGTGAGCCATGATCATGCCATTGCACTCCAGCTTAGGTGACAGAGTGAGACCCTGTCTCAAAAAAATAAAAATAAACACTGAATCTCAGGTTCAGCCCCCAGACCTACTGAATCAGAATGTGTTTTTTTTTTTTTTTTTTTTTTTTGAGTTGGAGTTTCCCTCTTGTTGCCCAGGCTGGAGTGCAGTAGCGCAATTTGGGCTCACTGCAACCTCCACCTCCCAGTTCAAGCGATTCTCCTGCCTCATCCTCACAAATAGCTGGGATTACAGGCACCTGCCACCACACCCAGCTAATTTTTTGTATTTTTAGTAGAGACGGGGTTTTGCCATGTTGGCCAGGCTGGTCTCGAACTCCTGACCTCAGGTGATCCACCCACCTCGACCTCCCAAAGTGCTGGAATTACAGGCGTGAGCCATCACACCCGGCCCAGAATGTGCATTTTTAACAGGTGATTTTTATGCATCTTAAAGTATGAGAGGTGCAGCCAGGCATGGTAGCTCACACCTATAATCCCAGCACTTTGGGAGGCTGAGGCGGGCAGATCACCTGAGGTCAGGAGTTCGAGACCAGCCTGACCAACATGGAGAAACCCCGTCTCTACTAAAAATTAGCCGGGCGTGGTGAGCGGAGATTGCGCCATTGCACTCCAGCCTGGGCAACAAGAGCGAAACTCCATCTCAAAAAAAAAAAAAGTATGAGAAGTGCTACTGAAATCATACCACTTTTCCATACCCTGTGGAAGCCATTCAAAAGGTGGTTTCTCATACTTTAAGATGCATCTAGCTGGGCGCAGTGGCTCACGCCTGTAATCCCAACATTTTGGGAGGCCGAGGAGGGTGGATCACGAGGTCAAGAGATCGAGACCATCCTGGCTAACACGGTGAAACCCCGTCTCTACTAAAAATACAAAAAATTAGCCAGGCATGGTGGCGGGTGCCTGTAGTCCCAGCTACTCGGGAGGCTGAGGCAGGAGAATGGCATGAACCCGGGAGGTGGAGCTTGCAGTGAGCAGAGATCGCGCCGCTGCACTCCAGCCTGGGCGACAGAGCAAGACTCCGTCTCAAAAAAAAAAAAAAAAAAAAAGATGCATCTAGTCCAGGGTGAGGAGGTCCAGGATGCAGAATACCAAGACTCACCAAGCTGGCTGATGTGGTTAGGCTTTGTGTCCCCACCCAAATGTCATGTTTTTATTTATTTATTAATTTATTTATTATTTATTTTTTTATTTTTTGAGACGGAGCCTTGCTCTGTTGCCCAGGCTGGAGTGCAGTGGCGCGATCTTGGCTCACTGCAGGCTACGTCCCCTGGGTTCACGCCATTCTCCTGCCTCAGCCTCCCGAGTACCTGGGACTACAGGCGCCCACCACTTCGCGTGGCTGATTTTTTGTATTTTTAGTAGAGACGGGGTTTCACCGTGTTAGCCAGGATGGTCTCGATCTCCTGACCTCGTGATCAGCCCACCTCAGCCTCCCAAAGTGCTGGGATTACAGGCGTGAGCCACTGCGCCCAGCTATTTATTTATTTATTTTTATTTTATTTTATTTTTTTGAGATGGAGTCTCACTCTGTTGCCCAGGCTGGAGTGCAGTGATCTTGGCTCACTGCAGCCTCTGCCTCCTGGTTCAAGCAATTCTCCTGTCTCAGCCTCCCAAGTAGCTAGGATTACAGGCACACACCAGCACACCTGGCTAATTTTTGTGTTTTTAGTAGAGATGGGGTTTCACCATGTTGGCCAGGCTGGTCTCAAATTCCTGACCTCAAGTGAGCCACCACGCCCGGCCTCCTGCTGCCTTTTGAAGAAGGTGCCTGCTTGCCCTTCTGCCATGATTGTAAGTTTCCTGAAGCCTCCCCAGCCATGCTGAACTGTGAGTCAATTAAACCTCCCTTGTTTATAAATTACCCAGTCTTGGGTAGTATTTTTATAGCAGTGTGAAATCGGACTAATACACTGGCCTAATGAAGACTTAAGGAAATTCAACAGATATTTACTGACCCTCTACACTGCCCCGGGCCTGGCAGCTGGTGCACCCACTTCTCTTCCTGAGGGTTGGAGGAGCTCACGCTTTTGCAGCCCCTGTTGCCTGCATCTGAAGGAGTAAGCAACCACTTCACAGTTTTGCCATCAGCTGGGCCTGCTCTTCCTCCTTTAGTACAGGAGAAATTTGAAATGAAAATGAGCACACCTTGGGAGTTAAATCTAATTTTTCAGGAAAAACAGGATCGAAATCACTTTCATCAATGTCTGCCTGTTAGTTTGTAACCACCGGCGCTCCCAATCTGCAGGAGTGTTTGCATTCATGTTGTGTTCCTGGCTTGAGATAGAGCCACAATTTGTAAAGCTGGTCTGTAATCAATAGCTCTCCAGTCGGCCGGGCGCGGTGGCTCACGCCTGTAATCCCAGCACTTCAGGAGGTCAAGATGGGTGGATCATGAGGTCGGGAGACTGAGACCATCCTGGCCAACATGGTGAAACCCCATCTCTACTAAAATACAAAAAATTAGCTGGGCGTGGTGGCACGTGCCTGTAGTCCCAGCTACTCAGGAGGCTGAGGCAGGGGAATCGCTTGAACTCGGGAGGCAGAGATTGCAGTGAGCCAAGAGTACCACTGCATTCCAGCCTGGGTGACAGAGCGAGACTGAGTCTCAAAAAAATAAATAAATAAAGGCTCTCCAGTCATTTTCTAAGACTATCCCTCACCTAAGCTTGCAAATAAAAGCTAACTTCTGCAGAGATTCCATCTTCCCCTGCCAGTGGGCAATATGGATGTATAGTCATGAGATTAGAAAAAGAGAGGCTGGCCAGGCACGATGGCTCACGCCTATAATCCCAGCACTTTGGTAGGCTGAGGCAGGCAGATCACCTGAGGTCAGGAGTTAGAGACCAGCCTGACCAACATGGGGAAACCCCGTCTCTACTAAAACTATAGAAATTAACCAGGCGTGGTGGCAGGCACCTGTAATCCCAGCTACTCCGGAGGCTGAGGCAAGAGTATCGCTTGAACCTGGGAGGTGGAGGTTGCAGTGAGCCAAGATCATGCCACTGCACTCCAGCCTGGGTGACAGAGTGAGACTCTGTCTCAAAAAGAAAAAGAGACAGAGGCACAAACAAAGTGCAGGTCCTACAGCTGTTCATCCAGCATCGATTGCGAAATGAAGCCTAGCGGGTGGGCGACTTTTGGGTGAGGTCAAGAACCATGAGAGTTGGAATGGACGAGAAAAACCAAGGCTTTGGGCCCAGCTGCAGAACTGTGTCATTTGCCGGGAAGGTTAATGACAAGGCCAGAAGGAGTGCCGCCTGTTTAATGTATCAGGTGGCCCTGGTGGCTGGGAATCATTGCATTTCAGGCCACGTCATGTCATGCAAAAGCATAATAACCTTTTGAAAAATGAAGAAATCGATCCCGTGGGGAGTCCCTGCAGTGCCAAATATCTGGACTGTCTGATTTTCACATTCACTAAGTGGCCTGAGTCAGCTAGATGAAGCAGAGGAGTTCTTAAATAGAACCAAGATGCTCTCTCTGGTGTGCACTGAGCTCTTACCTTGCGCCAGACATTGGGCCAGGCACTCCCCGTAAAAAGCTGGTTTCATCTTCATAACATCCATGCAACACGGATACTTTTGTGGGTCCCCGTATTAGTTTGCTAGGGCTGCCATAACAAAGTACCACAGACAGGGTGGCTTAAAATCAGAACCTTATTTTCTCACAGCTCTGGAGGCTGTAAGTCTAAGACCAAGGGGTCAGCAGGGTTGGTTTCTTCTGTGGCCTCTCTCCATAGCTTGTAAATGCCACCTTCTCTCTTGTCTTCACGTGATCTTCCCTCTGAGTGTGTCTGTGTCCTCATCTTTTCTTACAAGGATACCGGTCACATTGCATTAGGGCCAGTGTAATGACCTCTTTTTAACTTTATTACCTCTTTTGAGACCCTATTTCCAAATACAGTACAGCCACATTCTGAGATACTGGTGGTTTGCACTTCAGCATATGGACTCGGGGGGACGTATTCATCCCCTAACAGTCCATTTTATAGATCTGGAAGCCAAGACATAAGTTAAGAAACTTGTTCACGGTCTCACAGGTGGAAGTGGTGAAGTCAGAATCTGAAAACCCATTCTTTCTTTTTCTTTTCTTTTCTTTTTTTTTTTTTAGAGATGGTGTCTCACTCTGTCTGTCAGGCTGGACTGCAGCCTCAGTCTCCTGGGCTCAAGCAATTCTCCAGCCTCAACCTCCGGAGTAGGTGGGACTATATGCGTGTGCTACCGTGCCCGGCTAATTTTTTCATTTTTAGTAAGAGATGAGGGCTTGCTGTGTTGCCCAGGCTGATCTTGAACTCCTGAACTTAAGTGATCCTCCCACCTCGGCCTCCCAAAGTACTGGAATTACAAGCATGAGCCACCTTGTCTATTTTCTTTTTGTTGTTGTTAATTTGTGTGTGTGTGTGTGTGTGAGATGGGAGTCTCACTCTGTCGCTGAGGCTGGAGTGCAATGGCGTGATCTCAGCTCACCACAACCTCCGCCTCTCGGGTTCAAGCGATTCTCCTGCCTCAGCCTCCCGAGCAGCAGGGACCACAGGCATGCGCCACCACGCTAGGCTAATTTTGTATTTTTAGTAGAGATGGGGGTCTCTCCATGTTGGTCAGGCTGGTCTTGAACTCCCAACCTCAGGTGATCCGCCCACCTTGGCCTCCCAAAGTGCTTGGATTACAGGCGTAAGCCACCATGCCTGGCCCACCTCATCTATTTTCAGAGGCTGAGATTTATTGCCGCTAACTTCAGGGTTCCACCCAAGCCATTCCTACACTTATTCCACTGTCCCCACTGGCCTCTCCTTAAACACCCCCTCCTGTTAGGACTCCTGCTTGCTCCTTATCTTGCTATCTCTACAGAGGTCTTGGTTCTGAGGCTGGAAACAGAAGGGCCTCTGGAGTGAATAACACATGGTTCTGTGGGCTTTGAGTGTCACGCAGAGGCATCATCTTAAAAGACAATCTCGGCCAGGCGAGGTGGCTCATACCTGTAATCCCAGCACTTTGGGAGGCCGAGGTGGGTGGATAACCTTAGGTCAGGAATTCGAGACCAGCCTGGCCAACATGGTGAAACCCCGTCTCTACTAAAAATACAAAAATTAGCTGGGTGTGGTGGTGCATGCCTGTAATCTCAGCTACTGGGGAGGCTGAGGCAGGAGAGTCGCTTGAACCTGGGAGGTGGAGGTTGCAGTGAGCTGAGAACGCACCACTGCATTCCAGCCTGGGCGACAGAGTGAGACTCCATCTCAAAAATAATAAATAAATAAATAAATAAATAAATAAATAAATAAATAAATAAATAAAATAAGTGTTTGGATCATGAACACTTATGTGGTTCATAAAAGTGATTGAGTTTTCATGTTCATGTGTTGAATGTGCCTCCCTCAAACCTTGTTAAGTCATCAGCACATTACCCATTTGATGTGAACTTAGAAAAAAATAAAAGAGGGCCAGATAACAGTGGCTCACACCTGTAATCCCAGCACTTTGGGAGGCCAAGGTGGGTGGATCACTTAAGGTCAGGAGTTTGAGACCAGCCTGGCCAACATGATGAAACTCCGTCTCTACTAAATAAACAAAAATTAGCTGGGCATGGTGGTACATGCCTGTAATCCCAGCTACTCAGGAGGCTGAGGCAGGAGAATCACTTGAATCCAGGAGGTGGAAGTTACAGTGAGCTGAGTTGTCACCGCTGCAATCCAGCCTGGATGACAGAGTGAGACTCTGTCTCAACAAAAAAAAAAAAAAAAAGAAAATGTTTTTATTTAAAGAAAGACATTTACTCAGGTGTTGCATAGCTCTAGCAAAAATGAGGAAGATGGTTCCACAAACCACCTTGGCTTGAGGAATAGGATTTGATGCTTCTGGCTCCTCCCAACTCTGATGTTCTCCAGTCTACGATGGACCATGGCGTCTGACTGTCTAGAAAAATCCATGATGAAGGAAAGTTGGGTAGTGTACAAGAAAGCAAGCCTGCTTGAAGGCATGCATTGAATTACACAGGTTGGGTCCCAATCCACAGAAAGCCTTTTGCCTTTGAAAGTGTTACCAGGCGGAGCACTGGGGCTCACGCCTGTAATCCCAATACTTTGGGAGACCAAGGTGGGAGGATTGCTTGAGTCTGGGAGTTTGAGACCAGCCTGGGCAGCGTAGGGAGATCCTGTCTCTACATAAAATTTAAAAATTAGCTGGGCAGGCTGGGCGCGGTAGCTCACGCCTGTAATCCCAGCACTTTGGGAGGCCGAGGTGGGCGGATCACCTGAGGTCAGGAGTTTGAGACCAGCCTGGCCAACATGGTGAAACCCCGTCTCTACTAAAAATACAAAAATTAGCTGGGCATGGTGGCAGGTGCCTGTAATCCCAGCTACTCAGGAGGCTGAGGCAGGAGAATTGCTTGAACCTGGGAGGCGGAGGTTGCAGTGAGCCGAGATCACACCATTGCACTCCAGCCTGGGCTACAGAGCAAGACTCAGTCTCAAAAAAAAAAAAAAAAAAAAAAAAAAAAAAAAAAAAAAAATTAGCTGGGCATAATGGTGTGCATCTGCAGCCCCAGCTACTAAAGAGATTGAGGCAGGGGGCTCACTGGAGCCCAGAAGGTGGAATGAGTTATGCTCGCGCCACTGCACTCCAGCCTGAGCGGCAGAATGAGACCCTGTCTCAAAAAAATTTAAAAAAAGTAGAAAAAGTGTTGCCAAGTGTGCGACCTCGTCATCAGACAGTGGCAGGATTATGGGGCTCAGGAAGCAGGAAGTCAGCACCAAAGGAGGATGTACCTCGCTGGTGGGAGCCTGATCTTGGCCTATATGTAGGAAAGAGTCTTTTTTTTGAGATGGAGTCTCGCTCTGTCGCCCAAGCTGGAGTGCAGTGGCGTGATCTCGGTCCACTGCAACCTCCACCTTCCAGATTCAAGCAGTTCTTTGCCTCAGCCTCCCGAGTAGGTGGGACTACAGGTGCCCACCACCACACCTGGCTAATTTTTGTATTTTTAGTAGAGATGGGGTTTCACTATCTTGGCCAGACTGGTCTTGAACTCCTGACCTCGTGATCCACCGGCCTCGGCCTTCCAAAGTGCTGGGATTACAGGTGTGAGCCACTGCATGGGGCCAAGACAGTCATTTCTGTGTCCACTAGTTGCCCTGCAAAGTATCATTTTTAGCTGGAATCCAATCCTTCCTTTGAGGAATGAGAAAACTAAGACCCAGGGAAGCTGAGCTGTCTCCAAGTCTGAATCGAATGGAGGGGAACCATGTGTCCACGCCCTCGAGGCTGTGGCTTAGTCCCTGCCACTCTGACAACGAAACCACTCATTATTTTTCATCTTCTCGGCGGTTTAAATCACTGTTATTATGCACGCATTTTTCAAAAGAGTGCATTCCTTACCAAACCTCATTAAATTTCTCGAGACTTGAGCTGGTTCCCCTTCCTTGCTTCAGAGGGAAGGAGGGAATTTGGCTGACACAGAAGCATTTTCGTCCCATACCATCACCACCTGATGCTGTCTGTCCAAAACAGGGTGTTCGGGATGTCTGGGCAACCTGTCTGATACAGAGGGGGTTTCAAGATGACTCACAGAGCAGGGATGGGCACAGGTGACCCCACAGTCTCAAGCAGGGCCCTTCTGGGGCAGCTGAAAAGTGTGGACTAGAGCAAGAGATAGCTCTGGAACTGTTTGGGTTCAATTCCCAGCTCTAGCTGGTTGTGGGGGCTCATGCCTGTAATCCCAGCACTTTGGGAAGCCGAAGCAGGACAATCACTTCAGGTCAGGAATTTGAGACCATCCTGGTCAACATGGTGAAACCCTGTCTCTACTAAAAAATACCAAAACTAGCTGGGCATGGTGGCTTGTGCCTGTAGTCCCAGCTACTCGGGAGGCTGAAGCTGGAGAATCGCTTCAACCTAGGAGGCAGAGACTGCAGTGAGCTGAGATGGCGCCATTGCACCCCAGCCTGGGCGACAGAGACTCTGTCTCAAAAAAAAAAAAAAAAAAATCGGCCGGGCTCAGTAGCTCACGCCTGTAATCAAGCACTTTGGGAAGCTGAGGTGGGTGGATCACGAGGTCAGGAGTTCAAGACCACCTAGGCCAAGATGATGAAACCCCGTCTCTACTAAAAATACAAAAATTAACTGGGCATGGTTGCGGATGCCTGTAATCCCAGCTACTCCAGAGGCTGAGGCAGAGAATTGCTTGAACCTGGGAGGCGGAGGTTGCAGTGAACCAAGATCGCACCACTGCACTAAAGCCTGGGCGACAGAGCGAGACTCCGTCTCAGAAAAAAAAATCTTGTTTTAGACCAGAAAAAGCAGCTAAAAATAATACATGAGGAAGGTCCCGGCTCACATCAGTAAGATGCTTTCAAGTTTACAAAGCACATTCATCTTCCCTCTTGGGTCTCATGACCAGTTGGTGAGGACATGGGTCACAGATTATTATGCCCATTTTATAGTATGGGAAACTGAGACTCAGAAAGGTCAAGGGTCTTACCTTTTAACTTTTCTCTCTCTCTTTATTAGACTTGAAGCTTTGAGAGGGAGGGCTCAGACTTACCTTGTTTCCTGCTGTGTCCACAGGCTCAAGCACAGCTTCCAGAACATAGTATTTGTTCAGCAAATATTCTGCAGATGAGTGTAGTAATGAAGCTGTTCTCATAAGTTAATAAGAAATCATGGCAGAAAGAATGTTATAATTAAGCATTAATCAGGCTTCACTTTGACCCACTTCCTTATAACCAAAAGTCACCTAGCATTAGATATTGACTATTTGTATCCCCGTTATTCCTATAGATAGGAATTTTTTTTTTTTTTTGGATGGAGTCTCTGTTGCCCAGGCTGGAGTGCAGTGGCATGATCTCAGCTCACTGCAACCTCTGCCTTCCGGGTTCTAGCAACCCTCGTGCCTCAGCCTCCTGAGTAGTTGGGATTATACGCACATGCCACCACACCTGGCTAATTTTTCTATTTTCAGTAGAGATGGGAGTTTTGCCATGTTGCTCAGGCTGGTGTCGAACTTCTGACCTCAGGTGATCCGCCCACCTCGGCATCCCAAAGTGCTGGGATTAGAGGCATGGGCCACCACACCTGACCTCTATAGATAGCATTTCTGACATTAGAATCATAAGGATTTTGTTTAAATATTGTTTACAGCCAGGGGGACACAGTGGGTCATTCTTGTAATCCCAAAACCTGGGAAGGCCAAGGCAGGAGCATCTCTTGAAAACGGGAGTTTGAGACCACCCTAGGCAACACAGCGAGACCCTGTCTGTACACAAAATTTAAAAATACAAAATGAGGTCAGGCGCGGTGGGTCACACCTGTAATCCCAGCACTTTGGGAGGCCGAGGCAGGCGGATCATGAAGGTCAGGAGATCGAGACCATCCTGGCTAACATGGTGAAACCCCGTCTCTACTAAAAATACAAAAAAAAAATTAGCCAGGCGTGGTGGCAGGTGCCTGTAGTCCCAGCTACTCGGGAGGCTGAGGCAGGAGAATGGCGTCAACCTGGGAGGCGGAGCTTGCAGTAAGCCAAGATCACACCACTGCACTCCAGCCTGGGCGACAGAGACTTCGTCTCTAAATAAATAAATAAATAAATAGGCCGGGCGCTGTGGCTCATGCCTGTAATCCCAGCACTTTGGGAGGCCAAGGTGGGCGGATCACAAGGTCAGGAGTTCGAGACCAGACTGACCAACATGCTGAATCCCTGTCTCTACTAAAAATACAACAATTAGCCGGGGGTGGTCATGGGCACCTGTAATTCCAGCTACTCAGGAGGCTGAGGCAGGAGAATCACTTGACCCCGGGAGGTGGAGGTTGCAATGAGCCAAGATAGTGCCACTGCACTCCAGCCTGGACGACAGAGCAAGACTCTGTCTCAAAAAAAAAAAAAAAAAAAAGAGAAAAGGCTGGGCTCGGTGGCTCATGCCTGTAATCCTAGCACTTTAGGAGGGTGAGGCGGGTCGATCGAGGTCAGGAGATCGAGACTATCCTGGCTAACACAGTGAAACCCTGTCTCTACGAAAAACACAAAAAATTAGCTGGGCGTGGTGGCGGGCGCCTACAGTCCCAGCTACTCGGGAGGCAGAGGCAGGAAATTCACTTGAATCGAGGAGGCAGAAGTTGCAGTGAGCAGAGATTTTACCACTGCACTGCACTCCAGCCTGGGCAACAGAGCAAGACTCGCTCTCAAAAAAAAAATTAGCCGGGCGTGGTGGCGGGTGCCTGTAGTCCCAGCTACTTGGAAGGCTGAGGCAGGAGAATCACTTGAACCCGGGAGGCGGGGGTTTCAGTGAGCTGAGATTGCGCCACTGCACTCCAGCCTGGGTGACAGAAGGCTTCGTCTCAAAAATAAATAGGCCAGGCACAGTGGCTTGCCAGCATTTTGGGAGGCCGAGGCAGGTGGATCACCTGAGGTCGGGAGTGAGCGACCAGCCTGACCAACATGGAGAAACCGCGTCTCTATTAAAAATACAAAATTACCCTGGCGTGGTGGCGCATGCCTGTAATCCCAGCTACTCGGGAGGCTGAGGCAGGAGAATTGCTTAAACTCGGGAGGCGGAGGCTGCGATGAGCCGAGAACACGGTGAGCCGAGATTGCGTCGAGCCGAGATTGCACCATTGTACTCCAGCCTGGGCAACAAGATCGAAACTCCATCTCAAAAACGAAAGGTCGGGCGAGGTGGCTCACGCCTGTAATCCCAGCACTTTGAGAGACTGAGGCGGGTGGATCACAAGGTCAGGAGTTCGAGACCAGCCTGGCCAAATGCTGAAACCCCGTCTCTCCTAAAAATACAAAAATTAGCCTGGCACGGTGGCGGATGCCTGTAATCCCAGCTACTCGGGAGGCTGAGGCAGGAGAATCGCTTGAACCCAGAAGGCGGAGGTTGCAGTGAGCCAAGATCAGGCCCTGCACTCCAGCCTGGGTGACAGAGCGAGACTCTGTCTCAAAAAAAAAAAAAAAAAAAAAAAAAAAAACCCTAGCTCCAAACTCCTCAAGGAGATGGATTTGAGATTTCCTCCCATCTCCTCCTTCAGCAGCCCTATGATTGAACCTCTTTGTCTGCTGCAACCTGGTGTCTCAGTGTTTTAACTTGCCACGCACTGGACGAAGGACCCGTTATGGCTACAGTGATCCCCAAGATGATAAAACTAACCTGTAGCACAGTTTGGGTGAACATCCCTGGCACTTCTTTTCTTGGAACAAGATCTAGCAAATACCAACAAATGATAGGAGGGAATTTGTGATAAATGCTCTGAGAACTTCAGGAAAAGGAGAGGCCAAATTCAACCTTCGAGTTAAGAATGGTTTTTACATTTGAACCTCAGTTAAGCAAAATGTTATCTCCCAACCATTCAAATTTCATTCTGCTCATCAGTGGACAGATGATACAAAAATCCTACTCAATTACTACTATTATTTTAGAATTCGTTATAAAACAATAAAGCATTTGTGCCAGGTGTGGTGGCTCATGTTTATAACCCCAACACTTTGGGAGGCCGAGGAGGGTGGATCACTTGAGCCCAGGAGTTCAAGACCAGCCTGGCCAACGTGGTGAAACCCTGTCTTTACTAGAAATACAAAAATTGGCCAGGTGGTTGTGCGCACCTATAGTCCCAGTTACTTGGGAGGCTAAGGTGGGAAGATCACACTTGAACCCAAGAAGCGGAGGTTCCAATGAGCAGAGATCGCACAATTGCACTCCAGCCTGGGCAGCATGGCAAAACCCCATCTCTAAAAAAATACGAAAAAATGCCAGGCGTGGTGGCTCACGCCTGTAATCCCAGCACTTTGGGAGGCCGAGACGGGTGGATCACAAGGTCAGGAGATCGAGACCATCCTGGCTAACACAGTGAAACCCCGTCTCTACTAAAAATATGAAAAAATTAGCCGGGTGTGGTGGCGGGCGCCTGTAGTCCCAGCTACTTGGGAGGCTGAGGCAGAAGAATGTCGTGAACCCGGGAGGCGGAGGTTGCAGTGAGCTGAGATCGCACCACTGCACTCCAGCCTGGGCGACTGAGCGAGACTCCATCTCAAAAAAAAAAGAAAAAATTAGAAAAAGCAAAAAACAATAAAGCACTTGTGAAAAATTTGTTTTCTCTCATTATATGAGTACCCACATACAGCCATGTCCTTGGGCTTGACTCTTGGCTCACAAAGGCTAAAATATTTCCTTTCTAGGCCTTTACAGAAAAAGCCTGCCAAGCCACTCTTTTTTTTTTTTTTTTTTTTTTTTTAAGGTAGGGTCTCACTCTGTCACCCAGCCTGTAGTGCAGTGGCGTGATCAGGGCTCACGGCAGTCTTGAAATCCTGTGCTCAAGAGATCCTCGTGCCACAGCCTCCTGGGTAGCTGAGACCACAGGCATGCACCACCATGCCCCACAAATTTTTATTTATTTATTTAAGAGATGGAGTCTCACTCTATCGCCCAGGCTAGAGTGCAGTGCCGCGATCTCAGCTCACTGCAACCTCTGCCTCCCGGGTTCGAGGGATTCTCCTGCCTCAGGAATAGCTGGGATTACAGGCACGCGCCACCATGCCCAGCAAATTTTTGTATTTTTAGTAGAGACAGGGTTTTGCATGTTGACCAGACTGGTCTCAAACTCCTGACCTCAAGTGATCTGCCTGCTTTGGCCTCCCGAAGTGCTGGGATTACAGGCATGAGCCACTAAGCCTGGCTGCCCAGCTAATTTTTAAATTTTTTTATAGAGACAGGATCTCACTGTATTGCCCAGTCTGTGTTTTGTTTCTTGATCTGGGCGCTGGTTACATGGGGTATTAAATTTGTGAAAATTTATTCTGCTGTACACGTATGATATGTGGGCTTTATCTATCTATCTATCTATCTATCTATCTATCTATCTATCTACCTACCTATCTATCCATCCATCCATATATTATACCTCAGTGAAAAGTTTAACACAGGCCAGGTTCAGTGGTGTGTGCCTGTAATCCTAGCATTTTGGGAGGCTTAGGTGGGTGGATTGCTTGAAGCCAAGAGTTCGAGACCAGCCTGGGCAACATGGCAAAACCCCATCTCTACTGAAAATACAAAAATTAGCCAGGCATGGTGGTGCATGCCTGTAATTGCAGCTACTCAGGAGGCTGAGGTGGGAGAATCCCTTGAACCCAGGAGGCGGACGTTGCAATGAGCTGAGATCACACCGCTACACTCCAGGCTGGGCGACAGAGTGAGACTCTATCTAAAAAAAAAAAAAAAAAAAAAAAAAAAGAGGCTGGGTGCGGTGGCTCATGCCTGTATTCCCGGCACTTTGGGAGGCTGAGGCAGGCAGATCACCTGAGATCGGGAGTTCAAGACCAGCCTGACCAACATGGAGAAACCCCGTCTCTACTAAAAATACAAAATTAGCCGGGTGTGGTGGTGCATACCTGTAATCTCAGCTACTCGGGAAGCTGAGGCAGGAGAATCACTTGAACCTGGGAGGCGGAGGTTGCTGTGAACTGAGATGGCGCCATTGCACTCCAGCCTGGGCAACAAGAGCAAAAATACATTTAAAAAAAAAAAAGAGAATCTGCCTTCTGCTGGCTGGGCGCGGTGGCTCATACCTGTAATCCCAGCACTTTGGGAGGCTGAGGTCGGCGGATCACCTGAGGTCAGGAGTTCAAGACCAGCCTGGCCAACATGGTGAAACCCCGTCTCTACTAAAAATACAAAAATTAGCTGGGCATGGTGGCAGGTGCCTGTAATCCCAGCTACTTGGGAGGCTGAGGCAGGAGAATCGCTTGAACCCGGGAGGCGGAGGTTGCAGTGAGCCGAGATTGTGCCATTGCATTCCAGCCTGGGGGACAAGAGCAAGACTTCGTCTTTTTTTTTTTTTTTTTTTAGACAGAGTTTTTGCTCTTGTTGCCCAGGCTGGAGTGCAATGGCGCAATCTCGGCTCACTGCAACCTCCGCCTCCCGGGTTCAAGCGATTCTCCTGCCTCAGCCTCCCAAGTAGCTGGGACTACAGGCATGCACCACCATGCCTGGCTAATTTTTTGTATGTAGTAGAGATGGGGTTCCACCATGTTGGTCAGGCTCGTCTCGAACTCCTGACCTCAGGTGATCCACCCCCCTTGGCCTCCCAAAGTGCTGGGATTACAAGCGTGAGCTACCGCGCCCGGCCGAGACTTCGTCTGTTTTTTTTGTTTGTTTTTTTTTTTTTACTTTAAGTTTTAGGGTACATGTGCACAACGTGCAGGTTTGTTACATATGTATACATGTGCCATGATGGTGTGCTGCACCCATTAACTCATCATTTAGCATTAGGTATATCTCCTAATGCTATCCCTCCCCCTTCTCCCCAAGAGACTTCATCTTAAAAAAAAAAAAAAGAATCTGCCCTCTGCCCTTAAGGGGCTTTCATTCCAGTGGGCAGTGTCTATTACTTCAGACCCTCCACAAGACCTTTCACCATGTTCCTACCACCCAGCCATCCACCTTAGGATCCAGGCACTCCTGAATGTTAACTTTCCCCACACCAACCAAACATACACCCCAGAAAGAATGCCATCCCACGGCAAGGCTTCATGTCTAGAACCTATGCTCACCATCTGTCAGACTCCTATTCACCCTTCAAAGCCCTTTCCAAGGCTTCCCAGAAGCCTTCCCTGACTTACCAATAATGAGGATAGGGATGATGATATAGAGCAGGGATTATTGTTACAAACCTCAGTTCACAGAATGGAAAACTGAGGCCCAGAGAGGTAAAGTATCTAGTCCAAGGTTGAACTACTTTTTTTTTTTTTTTTTTTAAGAACAGAGGTAATGTAGGGTTTGAATGCAGGTCCTCCTGATATCAGAGTCAGCGATCTCAACCACACACACTACTGCTTCCATAACAGAAGAATATTTTCACACATCTGTGTTCCAAGTTTTGAATCTGGCCGGGCACAGTGGCTCATGTCTGTAATCCCAGCGCTTTGGGAGGCTGGGGCTGGCAGGTCAACTGAGGTCAGGAGTTCGAGAGCAGCCTGGACAACATGGTGAAACGCGGTCCCTGCTAAAAATACAACAATTAGCCTGGAGTGGTGGCTTGTGCCTGTATTCCCAGCTATTCGGGAGGCTGAGGTAGGAGAATCACTTGAATCCGAGAGGAAGAGATTGCAGTGAGCTGAGATCACGCCGCTGCACTCTAGCCTGGGCAACTGAGCAAGACTCCATCTCAGAAAGAAAAAAAAAAGTTTTGATTCCCTATCACATGCTTCATAAATTACAATGTCATGAAATCTTCATAACAGCCAAGTCTGGGTAATGGGTATAATACCTTGGGGCAGGTATTATTATTGTTATCATAGCTTTTTTTTTTTTTTTTGAGGTGGAGTTTCACTCTTGTCTCCCAGGCTGGAGGCTGGAGTGCAATGGCGTAATCTCGGCTCACGGCAACCTCTGCCTCCCGGGTTCACACTATTCTCCTGCCTCAGCCTCCCAAGTTGCTGGGATTACAGGCGTGGGTCACCATGCCTGGCTAATTTTTATTTTTCCGAGACAGTCTCGCTCTGTCGCCCAGGCTGGAGTGCAATGGTGCGATCTCAGCTCACTGCAACCTCCACCTCCCAGGTTCAAGAGATTCTCCTGCCTCAGCCTCCCCAGTAGCTGGGACCACAGGTGTGCGCCACCACGCCCAGCTACTTTTTGTATTTTTAGTAGAGATGGGGTTTCACCATGTTGACCAGGCTGGTCTTGAACTCCTGACCTCAGGTGATCCACCCGCCTCGGCCTCCCAAAGTGCTGGGCTGATAGGTGTGAGCCACTCTGCCCGGCCTGTTTTTACCATTGCTATTTTATACGTGCTCAGAGAGATGACCTAAGTTCCCAGAAGTGACACACGGGAAAGCGGCAGAGCTGGATTCAACCCAGGCTTGTGGAATCCCAGAGCCTATGCCCTT